>NC_000008.11:41981314-42284345 GCF_000001405.40 Homo sapiens
CTCAAAAAAAATAAATAAATAAAAGAGATGAGTGACCATAATATTAAAAGTTTCCTTAATTTGTATTAACTATGTAAATAGAGTTAGCAAAAAGTTATGTTCCAGCCAATCTTTGATAAAGAACTAAAGTTTCATTAGTTTCAAGTATATCCAATAACCAGAAATAAGCTAACCCTGGTCTGCTTTAATAATGAGAAAAGGGCGACTTGTAATTAATATATCAACTGACCATCCTAAATGAATGCCTCTGTACTGCTCAAAGAAATTTGGGGAGTATTTCTTTAATGTGGCTTAGTCTCTCTGCAAATATATAATTAAGTGCTTTACAAATTACCTAGACATAACTGAAGTCTAAATTAGCAAGCATTCTAAACTAATGACATGTAGTTTAAAGAGACTACCGGCTATTCTAAATGCTACTGGACCAAGTGTCTGAAAAATAACCAGTCATACTTAGATGAAAATGCTGGTCGTACATTCTACTACTAAATGAAACACCCATATTAGAAGGCAGAGATACTCACCGCATTTTTGCCTTGATCTCGACAGGAGCTGCATGTTTTACACTCGATGCACTGCCACCGTAAGGCCTTCACTCGAACCGTTAGTTCAGGGGAAAACTTTAAACAGGATGGATGGCCTAATACGAGGGAGAACATTCATGAATGAAACAATCAAGAACTATTTTGCTATTATAGTACTAAAGAAATGATGTAGAAAAAGGCAATCATCTTAAATACAAAATATATATCAAATAAAGCAAGATGCACCAGGAAGCCTGCCACACATTTCTCATCAGGACTTGGCACCACAATTCAGTTTTATTAATGTTAAAGAGAAGTTAGGACCCCTCCCCACAATTTGATTATTAAAAAAAACTTGACAAACTCCAAACTTTTATTAAGCCTACATCAAAGCATTATGTGTGTACATATCCGGTATATATGTATATATATGAATACATATATGTTCATATATGAGAAATGCTCATATATGCATTACTGAATATACAAAAAAGCTGTTTACACTGATAACATCCTAGAAAACTGAGCTATATATATCAAGAAGGATTTTATGTCTCAGTTTATACCCTTTTGTGCTGTCATTTTTTAAATGACAATGTTTTACTTTTGTAATTTAAAAAATACAGTTAGTCCCCTTATCCGCAGTTTTGCTTTCTGAGGCTTTAGTTACCCACAGTCTACTGCAGTGTGAAAATATTAAACAAGCAACTCCTAAGTTTTAAGCCGCACACTGTTCTGAGTAGCATAATGAGATCTGCTGTCCCAGCTGGGCTGCGATCACCCACACTGCATACACTACCCATTTGTTAGTCACTTAGTGGTTGTCTGGGTTATCAGACTGTTGCTGGTATCACCATGCTAGTGTTATTATCATGCTTGTGTTGGAGTCACCCTTATTTTACTTCATAATGGTCCCAAAGCACAAAACTAGTGATGGTGGCATGTTGTTATAATTGTTCTATTTTGTTATCTATTATTCTTAACCTCTTACTGTGCCTAATTTATAAATTAAACTTTATTATATGTATGTATGCACATGCACAGGGAAAAACATAGCACCATATACAGAGTTCGGTTTTATCCAAGGTTTCAAGCATCCACTGGGGGTCTTGAAACCTCCAAGAATAAGGGGGACTCCTGTATATAATAAAAATACCATCACTTAAAGTGAGTTATCTGCTCACAATTTAAGGCATGCAAGCTAAAACTAAAACCAAAAGCAGTATTTCTACTGTGCTCAGAATGAATAGCAAGAGAAAAAAATGCTTCCTCTTCCAAGAGTCAGTTATCAGTCTGATTCTCAAAAATTAAGGGTAGCCAATTTCCCCTCAACTGAAAAGAGCTGTCCCTCTCCTCTAAAAGTTGGTCGTGCTTATTTTTCTTTGGTGAGAGAAAGGGCTTGTTAAATCTTCTCCTCTCTTTTCTATTCCTAAAGGATTTTCTCTTTTATGAGATAGCAAGTTTATTATCAAAACATCACTAACACTGAAGGAAAATCCAAGAGGTGTGAAAATTTCACCCACAATCCTATCATCCTAGAATAATAGCCATTTTTATGTTAGACTTTCCTGTTTAAACTAGCTGAAAGCTCTGCATGACTGTAATTTTAGCAAACATACAGTTTTTGTTTTATTTTAAATTTTAAGTAAACTTTATATTCCTTAAACTGATCATATTCCACTGACTGATATACTATAACCTGCATGAACATTTCCCTATTGTTAAATACTGAGACTACGGAACACTAAAATGAATTATTTCATGTTTACAGATTCTTTACTTCTTTTAATCCCTTAGAATGAATTCCTGAAAGTGGGATTGGTGAGTCAAATGTATTAAACATTTTTATAGCTTGATATGCACTGCCAAAACATTTTCCAAAAACTATGATATAATATGCAGTGCCACCAGCAAAAGAACAAGTGTTTTAGCACAACTACATGAGCTCTAGGTCTGTTATATTTCAATTGTGATTATTATAAACGCTATACAATGATACTTCACTGCTACTGTGGTATGTGTTCCTATTACTACTTGAGTAAAACACTTTTCATAGGCTCAACTATTAGTTTTCTTTCATATAAATTGCCAGTTCACAGGCTCTGCTCTTTGGACTTCATGCTTAGAAATGTAAACATGTTCTTTATACTTATATAGCTTTTGGCCCTTTGCCATATTTAAAGCAGTTATTTTCCCCCAAATTATTCTTGCTCTACTTTAAGCATGTTACTTTTTAATTTAGAAAATATCAACGTTCATGTATCCAGCTATGCCCATGCTGTTCTTCTTTGGCTATTGTGACAGCCAGTCTCCAGGCTGCTCCCTAGGCATTCTTGCCTCCTGCTAGTCATACTCTTACAACTCCCTCTCATAATGAACTGGGTTGATCTGCATAACCAAGAAGATATTGCTGAAATAACACAGTGTGACTCTAAGGCCAGGTTATAAAACACACTGCAGATTCCACCTCACTCTCTCTCAGACACTCATCGGGGGAGGCCAGCTGCCATGCTGCAGGCATGCATGCAGTCCTGTGAAGATGTCCACATGGCACGGAACTGAAGCTTCTTGTCGACAAGCCCGTGGCAGCAGCAACTTGCCAGCCAGGTAAATGAGCCATCGTGGAAGCCTTCAGATGACTGCAGCACCAGTTAAAATCTTGGCAGCAACCTCATGAAAGATACCAAGTCAAAACCACCCAGATAAGCAACTCCCAAATTCCTGACCTACAGAAACAGTATGAAGTAAAAAATGTTTTGTTGCTTTAAGCTGCTAAGATTTAGAGTAATTTATTTCTGCAGCAACAGATAACTAGTAGTTAATTGTTCTACAATTTCTTTAAAAGTTACCGCTACAGGGGCTGGGCACAGTGGTTCACGCCTGTAATCCCAACACTTTGGGAGGCCAAGGCGGGAGGATCACGAGGTCAGGAGATCGAGACCATCCTGGTGAAGTAGAGATGGTGAAACCCCACCTCTACTAAAAATACCAAAAATTAGCCGGGCGTGGTGGCAGGCACCTGTAATCCCAGCTACTCCGGAGGCTGAGGCAGGAGAATGGCGTGAACCCGGGAGGCAGAGCTTGCAGTGAGCCGAGATCACGCCACTGCACTCCAGCCTGGGCAACAGAGTGAGACTGTCTCAAAAAAAAAAAAAAAAAGTTACCGCTACAGTAATAGTTTTCAAATTATGCTCATCCTTAGCTTAGAGAGACGCACAGACCACCTCAAATATAATGCTACTTAGACGGCAGGGCTGCAGACACAACACTTCCTCTCCTCGGTTTCATTCCCACCCCACCTAGAACAACTCATTCTATGTTTTATATATTTGGGTTTTAATTAGGGAATTTGGAAATAACTGCATTGTATGGCATGCCATTATATTTTCATCTAATCTTTCATGATTTACGGTTTATATTTAACTATGAAATCCATCCAGAGTTCATTCTGGTTTGTGACAACACGCTGGATATGACTACCTAGCACTCAAGATCTGTTCTCACCTTCTACTATGCATAAAAACTGAAAAGCTAAAAAATCATACTTCTTAAGACTCCTTTGCAGCTAGGCTCTAAGTTCTGACAAGTGGATGTGTTCTCCAGGGATATTCGAAAGGTAAAAACAAAGCAAAGATCATCCTCCTCCTAGTACTATTTTCTAATGATAAGCAAAGTCATGGTAACAACCGTATCCATGCTTCTCCCTCGTAGGTATCTAGAGCTATTGTAATGATGGCCAAACTTAGCACTTCAGCACCAACTACAGAGCGCAACTGTTGTGCAGTGGACTCCCCCCTGCTTGCACCTCTTCCAGATAGAGGCAGACACAGTAACTCCTCAGATGGGTCAGTTCTGCAGTGACCCCAGAGTCAGTCCTTAAAGCCCAACCTCCAGCTTGCTTCTTCAGCCCTGACAATGATTTCACAAATACCTAATTCTTATACTTAACTTCCTTCCTCTTGAAGTATGTAGTGTGGTTTCTGTTTTCTGAACTAAATCATGGTTGTTATCACTATAAAACACTGAAAATTAAGCCAATGGTCAAAGATAATGCTGGTTTGCTAAGGCCTTCCTGTAAGGTCTTGTAAGTTTTTTTTTTGTTTGTTTGTTTGTTTTAATTTAAGACAGAGTCTCGCTCTGTTGCCAGGCTGGAGTGCAGTGACGCCATCTCAGCTCACCACAACCTCTGCCTCCTGGATTCAAGCAATTATCCTGCCTCAGTCTCCTGAGTAGCTGGGACTACAGGTGCGAACCACCACGCCCAGCTAATTTTTGTATTTTTAGTAGTGATGGGGTTTCACCATGTTGGCCAGGATGGTCTCGATCTCTTGACCTTGTGATCTGCCCGCCTCGGCCTCCCAAAATGCTGGGATTACAGGCGTAAGCCACTGCGCCTGGCCGATCTTGTGAGTTCTTGAAATGTAGAGCAAGAATATCTCTGGAACTGGCAAATTAGGAGATTCTGCAAAATCTTTCTTAGGGCCTAGAATTTCACATTGCTCGCTAGACTGCAGTATCAACACTATTTCCCAATGTGACATATGTAAGTTTCCATCAAGAAAAACAAATCTGTTATCATCCTGGTTCTATTCATCAAGCCTGAGGCATAAATCAAGAAAGACGAAGTAGCGATTATTAAAGAAACCAGCAATAACTTCAAACTGATTGCTGTGATTTAAGCAGATGTTAAATACTGAAATGTAAAGACCAAGAGGAAAAAATAAACCCACAGAAAGTGTTTTATATATATAAAAAAAAACTAAGACCTGATTTAAATTAACTGAATTACACATTTCAGCTATATATTCAAATCCCTCCCTAGTACAGAAGCTCATCTCAGTCACCTAAAACCATAATCAAATTAAAATACAGTCATGCACCACACAATGACGTTTCAATCAAATACAGCCCACATATGGCCGGGTGTGGTGGCTCACATCTGTAATATCAGCACTTTGGGAGGCCAAGGCAGGCAGATCACCTGAGGTCGGGAGTTTGAGACCAGCCTGGCCAATATGGTGAAACCTTGTCTCTACTAAAAATATAAAAATTAGCCAGGTGTGGTGGCAGGCACCTGTAATCCCACCTACTCGGGAGGCTGAGGCTGGAAAATTGCTTGAACTCAGGAGGCAGAGGTTGCAGTGAACCAAGATCACGCCACTACACTCCAGCCTGGGTGACAGAGGAAGACTCTGTCTCAAAAACAAACAACAAAAAACCAGACCACATATGACTGTAGCCCCGTAAGGTCATACTACTGTATTTTTACTGTACCTTTTCTACATTTAGATATGTTTAGATACACAAATATTCACCAGTGTTACAACTGCCTACAATATTCAGTACTGTACGGGTTTGAGCCTATGAGCAACAGACTACACCACATAACCCAGATGTGTAGTAGGCCATCCCTCTTGGTTTGTGTCAGAACACTCGATGATGTTCACACGATGATGAAACCTTCTAAAGACATGTTTCTCAGAACTTATCCCCCATAATTAAAAGATGTATGACTGTATTAATCTCATAAGGATCAAGGATACAAACTCAAGTCAACATACTTTCCGCTTGCCTTCGTAACACATTTTAGAAGAAAAACAGAAGGAAATCACATACCACTGTTGCCACAGTCGGCACAGGAGATGAGTTCCTCTGGCTTCTTTTCTCGGTTTTGTTCTTTTGTACCAAGACAGAAACTACAGATGGGGATTGGTTCAGCAACCGGCTGTGAAGAAAAACACAATTCATTCCAGTACTAATACTTTTATTTAGTATTACTACAAAGACATCAAAATTATAGTTTTAAATTCCTACCAGAGTAAGTTTAGGACAATTGTATTACTCTCCTAAATTCCAGCTAAGTAGGTGAGTTTTTACAAAGCCTGCTCTGGCTGGGCCTTTACAACTGGTCCTTGTTATGACCATTTAGAAACTTTACTCCAAAAAATCCTATCCCAGTCATGTTCATCACTTAGAACCTAAATGATACAGTGTGGATTTTAAAAAGCAAACCCTTAAGATTGAAAAATTCAACTGGAATAAGTTCAAGAAGACACAGTGTAAGCGCTGAAAAAGCATGTGATCTAGTACAAGAGCAGTAAGATATATACAAGTAAACAGACACAGTGACTCCTCGGCAGAAGACATTAAGTGAGAGAAACAGTAAGTGTTTTCTAGCAGTACGAAAAAGAAATTCCAACTGTGGTGTGGAGGAAGGGAAAGGTTGAAAGGGGAAAACAACATGTACTAAGCATCAGTATTATGTTTTGGGATCTTTAGAAACTTGTCCAAGGACAGTAGCTAACAAATGTTAAGAGTGGTTTGTTTAATCTATGTTCCTCCTAAGAGTGATGGAGAGAAGGCAATAGAGGTAGTATAAGTAGCATAGACTTAGGTGTGCAGTCTGGTAAGGCCAATGCTTAAAGCACATAGCTTCTGCTATAAGGGAGGGGAAAAAAAATAAAAGAAAGAAGCTAGATAAGTTCGTGAAGACTGCCACCGAAGGTAAAGAAGTTGGACTCTCAAACTCATTAAAATGTATACATTAAATATTTGCTTTTTATATATCAATTATACCTAAATACAGCTTTAAAACGAAAATAAATTTTTTTAAAATTGGACTTTATCCTATAGGCAAGTTTACAGAACCAGGAGATAATCACTTGGAGAAAAATAATTATTGTAGCAATATCAAAGACAAACGGGGAAAACTCCAAAGATAGGTAAAACATTTAAACAGTGGTTACAATGATCTGGTGAAGACAAGATGAGAACTTGAACCAAAGCTAAGGAAATGAAATAGAAGAAATAGCAATGGGCTTAAAACCAGTTTTGAGAGTAGCAGAAAAACAAAGTGAGTTAAATATGACTAAGTGAACTGAAAAGATGGTGACGCTATCAACTGTGCACAGCAAGTCATTTTAAAGCAGAAAGTTTGGAGGAAAGCAATTTGGAGGAAACTGGTGAGTTCCATTTTAAATGTGTTTAGTTGGAGGTACCCTCAGTCACCTCTCAACTGTTTATGCTAGGCACTGTGCAGGATGGCAATGGAAAACCCTCAAGATGCATTCATTCATTGGTTCATTGATTTGCTTGCTTCCCCAAGGACAAAGTATCGAGATGCTTTTAGTCTACTGGGGAGAACAGATAAAGTACAATAAAATGTTTGTAGGTACCATGATAGAACTATAGTAATAGAAAACAGGAGGAAAGTGGGGAAGGAGGTACTTTCACAAAAGTACCCTTTGACTTAAGTTTTTCCAGAAGTATTTAACAGGCAGCCCCACCAGGTTCAAAAAGGTGTTCAAAAAGGTAGAAAATACACAATCAGGTTTGGGAAGGGAAGGTGAGCTTAGTTTGGGGCTTACTGAGCTTAAAAATGCTTATGTAGCCGGGCACAGTGGCTCACGCTTGTAATCCCAGCACTTTGGGAGGCCGAGGCGGGCGGATCACCTGAGGTCAGGAGTTTGAGACCAGCATGGCCAACATGGTGAAACCCTGTCTCTATTAAAAATACAAAAATTAGCCAGGCGTGGTGACATGCATCTGTAATCCCAGCTACTCGGGAGACTGAAGCAGAAGAATCGCTTGAACCCGGGAGGTAGAGGTTGTAGTGAGCCGAGATCGCACCATTGCACTCCAGCCTGGGTGACAAGAGCAAGAGTCCATCTCGGAAAAATAACATAACGTAACGTGACGTGACGTGACGTGACGTGACGTGACGTAACATAACATAACTAAAATAAAAAATAAAAAATACTTATGTAACATTCATGTAGCAATACCCACTGACAATATAATACAGAGAGATCTGAAATTTAAGACAGAGACTGGTCTGGATTTAAAAATCTAGAAGTCATATACATACAAAATGGCATTAAAGCCATCAGAATTGATGAGTTTTCTCACGGAGAAAGGTATGAAGAAGAGAGCTAAGGTGAGAATACCAATAATTAAGTGGCTGGCAGAGAATAAGCCAGAAAAGCAAACAGATTAATGAGAGAGTTGGGTGGAACACCAATATCAAAACATCCAACACAAATAAGCTAACAGTAGTGCTCAGCCAAGAGACTGAGAGATGAACGGCTAGTTGTCTTAATAATTATGGCTTAATCATAATTAAGACTACCACATCCTTTCCTCAAAAAGGAGTATGAAAAAAGAACTGGGGAAGTAAGTCAGGAAAGACTTTATCCAGCAGTAAAAATCTGGGGAAAAAAAAAAACCCAACAACTCTAAAGAAGGCCTAGGAAGAAGGTAGAAGCCAGTCATGAGATTTGAGCTTTATTCTGTAGCCTCTAAGGTACAACTGGGAGATTTTAGGCAGAGGAATAGTACGGCCAAGATTTAAATTTTAGAAAAGTCATTCTGTAAGCAGTTAAAAACTGATTGCAAGGGATGTGATCTATAATCCAGGCCATGAGCAAAGAAGGACTGTATTAAGGCGCTGAGCAAAGAAATGGAGAAAAGAAGATAAAAGATATTAAAAGATAAAATTGTCAGGACTTGATGGCTAATTGCTTTGGGGAGAGAAGCATAGTAAGGAAGACAAGAGACTGGGAAGACAGCACTAAGAAAATGAAAAGGCAAGCCACAGAATGTAAGACATTAACAACAAATTTAACCAACAAATGGCCCATATCCAGCATAAAGAACTTTTTACATTGCAGTAAGGAAGAGGCGGACAGTTCAACAGAGATGGCAAAGACTTCCACAGGTACTTTCCCACAGAAAATACATGAATAACACATGAAAGGCCAACAAACATAAGGAAAGATGTTCAACCTCATTAGTCACCAAGAAAATAGACTTTCGAGAATGGCTAAAATTATGAAGACCACTGATATTAAGGGTTGATTAAAAAGTGGAACAACAGCCAAGTGCAGTGGCTCACACCTGTAATCCCAGCACTTTGGCAGGCCAAGGCGGGCGGATCACAAGGTCAGGAGTTCAAGACCAGCCTGGCCAACATGGTAAAACCCCGTCTCTACTAAAAACACACAAAAAATTAGCTGGGCATGGTGGCGGGCATCTGTAATCCCAGCTAGTCAGGAGGCTGAGGCAGAAGAATCATTTGAACCTGGGAGGCAGAGGTTGCAGTGAGCCAAGATTGTGCCATTGCACTCCAGCCTGGGTGACAGGGCGAGACTCCGTCTCAAAAAAAAAAAAAAAAAAAAAAAAAGGTGGAACAACACATGCACTGCTGACAGGAATATAAATATAAATTGACAAGACCAATTTGAAAATGTTGACGTTATCTACTAAAATTGAACATGTCCATACCACATGATCCAGCACTTCCACTCCTAGCTATATACACAATTGAAGTACATATTAATAAAACATACACCAAAATGTTCAGAGCAGCATTATTCATAATAATACATTTTATTCAAACAAAATTTACCCAAATAATTAGGTGGTTAAACAGATAAACTGTGCTGTATTCATACAGTAGAATGTTAAACAGTAATAAAAATAAACAAATGCTGCCAACAACATGGATGAATATCACAAACTATATTGAAAGAACAGAAAAAAGAATACATCCTGTACATTTTTTTAATGTAATGTTCAAATATAGTTCTACATTGTTATGTCAGGAAAGTGGTCACCTTTGGAAAGGAAGGAAACAGTAGTGAATTGTAAACAGACTACTGAGGTGCTGGTAATGTTCTCTTTCAGGACCTGGATGGTGGTTTCATGGATGTTAATTATGTGTAGTTAAGGTGTACACTTATAATCTGTGCATTTTCTGTATGTATATTTTAATTAGAGTTAAATTTAAATTAATCAAAAAATATAGTATAGGACCATGGTACCTTTGGAATATTCTTCAAGAAACATCAATAGTGATTTGGACATTAAAGTTTGGAACTTAGGAAACAGGCTGAAGATGGACTGAAAAGATATCAACATACAGGTGATAACTGACAGCACTCAGAACGTGGAGGGGGCAGAAAAGGGTAGAAAGTAAGGAGAGGGGAGTACAGAAATGGGATAAAGACTGAGAGAAGCATACCAACATTCAGGAGCACCTGAGAAAAAAAAGGAGACCACAAAGGACCAATCTAAGAGAAAACAGAAACAAAAGAAGTAATGACACAAGAACTTCAACAAGTAGAAAGTAATCAATAATCAATTTTGGAAAGATAAAGTATCTACTGGAGCCTGGGCAACAAGCAAAACCCCATCTCTACAAAAAATACAAAAATTATCCGGGTACGGTGGTGAGCACCTGTAGTCCCAGCTACTTGAGAGGGTGAGGTGGGAGGATCGCTTGAGCCCAGGAAGTCAAGGCTGCGGTGAGCCATGATCATGCCACTGCACCCCAGCCTAGCAACAGAGCGAGACTGTCTTTAAAAAAAAAAGAAAAAAAAAGGTATTTACTAGATTCTGCAACTGAGAAATAGTTGAAGGCATCACTGTGAGAGAGCCCTTGTCAGTGACAGAATAAGAACTAAAGTCACAGGACCAACAAACTGCCATGAACGGACAGAGAGCAGACAAAAGGTAGCTAAAAAGAAATTGCAATAGGTTTTAATGTATTCTAAGTGTTCAAGATGGGAAAGACTAAACCTATTTAAATGTAGAAGAGAAGACAAATGTAATAAAAGAGATTGGACCTATTAGAGGCAGTGAAGATCAAATGATGTGTCAACTCTTCTTCCTGGGCCTCTCTCCACTACACCATCTTTTATAAAACAGGGGTGAGAGCATGGAAAAGTCATTCTCCTCGAGGGATATGTACACAATTCAATGTAATGACCTATGAATGGCAGGTCACAGTACCAGGTTCACATATAAAGCTCATTGTATCACTTTAGCAGTCTGGATTAAAAAAAGGAACAAAGTTGGGTTTAGAGCAATCACTGAAGAGAAGCCTACTTTAGGACAGGGAAGCTAGAGGGAAGACTGAGAACAGTATCGCAACTCAAACTAAATTACCAAAATTAACATATTTAAGTATAGCAAAGTACTTGGCCAATCTACTATACTTCTCAGGGACAGATTAGATCACTTTATTACTACTTAACGAAGCAAACATAAAAGGGAAAAAAAGGAGAAAGTCTGGAAAACAAATTATTGTTATTCTTCAGCATAGGAAACCTGTCTTCAAACATGTGTCTTTATCATCCAGAACAAGACAGTAAAGTTTCTAACTGCAAAAAAAATGGTATTCAAAATCATAACTAAGAAACCGCTAGCAAAATTGTCCCTCTATGTCCCTGTATATTCCCTGTAATATTACTACTGTTAACACTTCTTTTATATATGATCAGTTTCACATTACTAGACTTTGTCTACCCCAAACCAAATTAGCTTCAGCCATTCAAACCTATTCATCAAAGTGAAGGGTTGAGGCACAGTGATTCAGACCAACTGGCTGTGTTGTTACTTAGAGCTGGATAGACAGTTTAACCAAATTATTCTAGCACTTATCAAATAATCCCAGTCTTAGACCGTGCTTACTCATGACACAAAACAATTTGCTGATTAGTCCCAATAATGACAAGTTTATACAATATTGATATTTACAGTGTGAAAATAAAGCTGAAAAGCAATTTGTTAAGCCAAATAAAGGCGTTATTCCAAACAGAGTCAAGCTGTATAAAAACAGTTTTCAGTCACACATGGCATGCTCCCCACTGAAGATGCATATTCTTTGGCCAAGCATAAAAATAATAAACTTTTCAGCTACCAAACCAAAGTGAATCCACAGAGATATACTATTACTGACAATGATCATGACATTTTAACTAAGTGATAATTTCAGTTTGTTTTTTAAGTGCAATTTGGGAAAGAGTAACAGTACCTTGGGGGTTTAAGTCATTTCAGCTGATGAGCTACAGCAACAAATGGTTTAAATAAATCATCTAGGTTAAGACACAGTCTATCAGTTTTCTTTAATTTATTGGTCAAATAGCACTGCTAATCAGTACACCATGATTTGTTTTACAATATGCCAAACTATATTGTTAAAAGCATTTAAAAATTATAACTCCAGGTCACTCTCATTCCCAAACTATTAATGAGCATGAAAACCAGTGAGGTAGGGCTAAAACTATATTGGGTTCACCATAAGATTTGAATCTGAAATGCACTAAGGTGGTTATAGGAAAAATAGAAGAGATATTCAAAGCATTTTCCAAGAAAAACTCTACAAGCTGATTTCAATTGCTCTGTATCACAAAGACAAAAACTACTGATAATCAGTGAAAAAATCTGTGCAGAGACAGAAAATATGCCATATATTTCTCTCAGACCTATCCAAGCTTCTTTCTTATACCTTATTGTTCCCATGATCTATATAAAGTAAACCTGTTCCTACAACTAATAAAAGAAAAAAGGTTGTAGCAAATGACTTTACACACCATTAAACACAGCAGCCACAGTGAATCTGTTAAAAGGTAAATCAAAGCATGTCATTCAGCTGCCCCCAACTCTCCAGTCCAATTGCTTCCATCTCAGATTAAATGCCACATGAACTACAAGGTACTGTGTGATCTGTACTCCCCTGCTTTCCCCCTCAGTTACCTGCCTGACCTCATCTTCTATTGCTCTCTCCCTCTACACTCCACTCCAGCTTCCTTGCTTAGGTTTTCAAGGCAGTGGTTACAGGCACAGGGCCTTTGCATTTGCTTTCCTTCTATATCTAGAATGTTCGTCCCAAGATCTTTCAGATCTCTACTCAGGAAGTCACCTTCTCAGTAAGGCTTTTTTTGAACACCCCATCTAGCATTTCAAAGCAACCCACCAACCCCAATAATTCACAAGTTCCTTCCCTGCTTTGTTTTTTCCCCTTAACCCTTTTCACTAATTAACATGTGTGTATGTATATCTTATTATTTATTCTTAACTAAATGTAACTTCTATGAAGACTCTGATTTTCACCTGTTTTTTAGGACCATATTCTTACTACTAAAAGCAATGCCTAGGCTGGGCACGGTGGCTCACACCTGTAATCCCAGCACTTTGGGAGGCTGAGGCAGGTGGATCACGAGGTCAGGAGTTCAAGAGCAGCCTGGCCAACGTGGTGAAACCCCGTCTCTATTAAAAATACAAAAATTAGCCAGGCATGGTGGCAGGCACCTGTAATCCCAGCTACTCAAAAGGCTGACGCAGGAGAATCGCTTGGACCCAGGAGGCAGAGGTTGCAGTGAGCCAAGAACGTGCTACTGCACTCCAGCCTGGGCAACAAGAGCGAGACTCCATCTCAAAAAAAAAATAAAAATAAAAATAAAAACAATGCCTAGTATATAGAAGTCACTCAATAAGTATTACTGAATAATTAATTGAATTACCTTGTAGAACTAGATATAATAAGAGTACCTTACATAGAAAGAACAATGAGTTGGGTATGAGCCTGATAAAAAGCCATGTGTAGTGCAGTAATAATCACAGCAGTACAGAAATGCTCTATTGTTTACAAAGCAATCTCACAAAGTGATTTCATGGCCATAACTAAGTAAGATTTCTGCCATAGCAACTCAAAAGCAGAGGGAGATTTGAGGCAGAGGGCACCAATATTGTGTACCTTGTGTCGTCGGTTGCCCTACATCTCCTTTAAGCACCCTGTTGAGATCTCTATAATAATCACCAGATGGCAGTATTGAGGCAAACACAGGGTGGATGATTCGGTAACAAGCAGGCATTCTGACTTGAACTTTTAAAAACAGGAACAGTAAAAATTTTGCCCAATGCTCTCTGTTGAAGTTTATACCATGAAATAATTTTTAATCATAACCATTTAGAATATCTTAAATAATGACATTTTCTAGATACACAGATATATCATCTGAGATATTCCCATCTAAAAAGTCCAATTTTCATTTCTTTTTTTTTTTTTTTTTTTGAGATGGAGTTTTGCTCTTGTTGCCCAGGCGGGAGTGCAATGAGGTGATCTCAGCTCACTGCAACCTCCATCTCCTGGTTCAAGTGATTCTCTTGCCTCAGCCTCTCGAGTAGCTGGGATTACAGGCATGTGCCACCACACCCAGCTAATTTTGTATCTTTAGTTGAGACGGGGGTTTCACTAGGTTGGTCAGGCTGGTCTCGAACTCTTAACCACAGGTGATTCACCCACCTTGGCCTCCCAGACTGCTGGGATTACAGGAGTGAGCCACCACGCCCGGTCCCAATTTTCATTTCTTTCCCCCAATACTGTCTTTAATTTTTTAAAGGCCATAAACCTTATCTCTATTTTCTAATATCTTCTGAGGCACTCAAATCTAACTTTATTTTGTCTCTATTCTTAAACACTGACAAAAAGAACAGTCAAGAACCTGTTTTATTATATGCAATTATTTCTAGTTAAGACTGAATTGAATGATAAATTCTATAATTTGTCACCACTGAAATTTTCATGGAAAAAAACTGCACTTGTAAACTCAAACTCATAACTTTGGAAACCTCTAAGAGATCACTTAATAAGCAATCAGGCAATACAGGTATGTGGTTTCTAAAAGCTACAAAATTTCTCAAGTTTTACAGCCACTGGAAATTACTGAGACACACTGGCATATCCAATTAAAAGAGTATGGAAGAAGTACACATATAATTCATGTAATACTCCCTATAACACTCAAACATGCACTAAGCAACAAAAAAGGATAATGAGCACATCCTACCATAGATTTAAATACAAAACATCTATAAAGTATCTATGGTTTCAATGTCCCCTCCAAGTCTGGTGTTGTTAAGAGGTGGGGGCTTTCGGAAGGTAATTGGGCCATGAGGGCTCCACCCTCATGACTAGATTAATGCTGTTATCAGGGGAGTGGGCTAGTTATCGTTGGAATTTGGCCCCCTTTTCCTCTCTGTCTTGCGTGCTCGCTTCTGTCTTCTGCCCTTATGCCATGTTATAGCACTGCAAGAAGGCCCTCACAGAGAGATGAGGCCCCTTGATCTTAGACTTCTCAGTCTCCAAAACTATGAACCAAATAAACATATTTTCTTTATAAATTACCCAGTGTGTAGCATTCTGTTACAACAGCAGAAAACAGACTAAGGCATACACAAAACTTATGTTCAACTATAATTATTGCAACTCGTTTCTTTAAAATCTAGTAGTGTACCACAAAAGGACATATATTATATATTATATGATTCCATTTATATGAGGTACCTAGAATAGACAAATTCATAGAGACAGAAAATAAAACAGGTTACCAAAGGCCATGGGAAGTGGAGAATGGGAAGTTATTGTTTAATGGATACAGAGTCTGTTTGAGATGATGGAAACGTTCTGAATGGATGGAAAAGAAATTGATGGTATCACGACAGTGTGAATGTACTTAATGCCACTGAATTATACACTTAAATAGTTAAAATGGTAAATTTTTATATAAATTTTACAATATAAAAATGAACAAAACCAATTAGTATAGATTTTTCATATTCTCACAAATCAGATGATTTAAGTAATAGGTCAAAACCCATGCAATGAAAAGCAACTACTATAATTTGTTCTCATCTTGAAACCTGTATTTTTAACCATTCCTGTGGAACCCTAGGAATATGTTAAATCTGGTATGCAGTAAACAGAATTAGAAATATAATTGTAGCCCATCAAAAATGGAAAAAAAAGTTACTAATAACAATTATATTTGGCTACTGAATTTAAATGTTAGCCATTTTATTTTCACTGTACCTACATGGAAGTTAGTTATCTTTTAATCCAATTGCATAAAAACAACTCACTTTGTCTTAAGAAAAATTTTTAAGAATTAAATCTATAGATCAAACACTTTTCAGTCTCAAACAAAAAATTCTTTCTGACCACCATATATCTTATCCATCCAGGTTACTCTGAGCATAAACCACCATAAGCTTCTCTCAAATCTATCCCTCTACAACTACAACCTAGACTGCCTCTCCAGTCCTCTAGTGGCTCCCAGGTACTTCATCCTACTCCCTTCTTCTATAATCAAGTAAAGTAAATTTAACTTGAAATTAACTTTCTTCGGTGGGTATTTGTTTCACAGAACTTGAAACAAATAATTTTCAGCAGAGACATTATCTATAAGCTGATAAACATCTACTGACAAGCACTCTACTATACAAATACCTGAAGGATTAAGAGGAGTTAAGTCTTAAGCTTAGAAGGGTGGAAAATTGGACTATTTTCAGGCATGGTATAGTGAAGGAAACCAAAATGATGCTCAATGACTGGGCATGAGGAAAACGAGTATTGCTAGGTTGTCAAAATATAACCCAATACACAGTAAGAAGTCTAGTAAATGTTACTCCTTGGTGGGCATTTTAACATAACATAAAAATTTGAATCAATCAAAGAAAAGGTTGTACTCACATTTTCAAAGCACTTATAAATGTCAGTCAATTCAAAGACAAAATCCACACAAAACAATTAGAAACCAATTAAGTACCATTCATATTTTCACTCACACACCAAAAAAGTAAGCCTTCTGGAAGAATCTCTGCAAAATTCGTTATTTCCAATATCATAAGAGTAACAAACTGCACACATATTCCCTTTAGGAAACTCATCCTTTGTTGGAAAGTGTTCATACTTTGAGAAAGCTGAATGTTCTAAAACGTATGGTTCTCTTCCACTCAGGCAAGCTCTTCATGTCAATTTTACCAAGTTTTTCATTCTTTCACTAATAATAGCCTTTGATGAACTCATGCTCTGACCAAATCCTTTCTGACAGTTTTGAATTCCATTTTTAGCCACCTTTTCCAAACTGATATCCTAGGTGAGCAGATATCACCACTTAATTCACCTATGCCTTGCACTTAGTATATACTAAGTAAGCGTTTGTTGAAATTAAAATGCAATGAAACCATGCTTAGCTCCATTTATCATTACTTACTCAGAGCCTTTCCTCCTAGATTCTATATCTTCAAGGAAACTATATCTGGGTGGACTTTAATCTCTTTAAATTCTTCAGCATCCCATATACTATCAAGTACTCTATGGCTGCTTATTAAACATTTTTAAGGATAAGCTGTTCTCAAAAGTACACACCTGCAAAAGATTTATAATAATTAAAAAAAAAATGAATGGCCTGGGAAAAGACCTATAATTTCCATTACTTATAGTATATAACTTTCTATAATTTTAATCAATTCCAACATAACCCATTAGCCATTACAAAACTTTAATAGGGATGCTAAATTGAATTCATTTTTATTATGATGAGTTCATTCAATGACTTCTACAATTAGACATCAATAAGATTACTGGTGAAAGTTAATGATATAATTGGATCAGTAATGATAAACTTCAATTTCCACTTTTACTATGTATGTAGATTATTGGAAATTCAGATAAGAAATCAATCATCTATTAAGATACTCTAACAATCTTCTATTTCTTAATCAGAAGTGACATCAAAAATGACAATATCCATATTTGCTGAATTTAAATTCTAAGTTAAGAAACTGCAAAGCGTTATCTTCCTTTCACAGGTTTAGTGGTTATTTGAAAGCTCCACTTTCTATTTGTCAGTGATACATTTCCTCATTCATCCAAATACTGGATGATATTTACAAATTATTATTGCCTCTCCCTTCCTTTGTGGTCCTTTTCTTTCTACTTTAGTTTCTTTTACATGTTTGTACCTCTCTCCTGACTCAGTCATGTCACCATATGCAATCTCCTCCATAGACTGACTCCCTCTACTCTTTCTTTGACTTTTTTCTGCATATTGCTACCAGATTAATCCTCCTTAAATACTATTTTTATCCAGTCATTTGCCTGGCTCAAAACTTATAAAATATATCTCAACTGTCAACTCCCACAGGCTGGCATTCAATTCCCTCCTTTATATACTAAACTACCTTTCTCACTCTATCTTCCTCTATTCCCAATCTACTCATTCATCTTCAGAAATCATACTTTACGCTCATTCTCCAGGGTATTTTACCCCTTCTCTCAAAGTCGTTTGTATCTCCACCTACAAGAATCACCTCAGCAGCACTTAGAAACAAACTGGGTTCTGCCACTGTGGCATCACTTTAAGCAAGTTACTTAAGTGTTGAAAAGTACAACATACCTGCCTTTCAAGTTAATGTGAAGATTAACAGATAAAGTTATGGCTGTGTAATTCAAATGTAAGAAACACCTAGTAAGTGCTAGTTTCTGCTACACCTTTTTCAAAACTGTATCTATCCTTCAAAGCTTATTTTTGTTAACTGACTGATTGCCACTTCTTAACTCAGGGCAAGTTTTAGTTCTATTTTAACTTCCTGAAATAGGCAAGTTCATTAAAATTTCCTGTGGCCTAAGAAATTTTCTATATATGGTATTTACTTATGCAACTGCATTAAGAGTTTTAAAGTCTTTGTACATACACATTTGCCACACTGCATATTACCCACTTAAAAAAATAATTTAGTGGTACTTGAGTATAAGAGCATTAGCAAAAGAATATTTCTATGCTAAAATATATACAGAAGTGATGGTTGCCAGGCCCGGTGGCTCACGCCTGTAATCCCAGCACTTTGGGAGGCTGATGCGGGTGCATCATCTGAGGTCAGGACTTTGAGACCTGCCTGGCCAACCTGGTGAAGCCTCGTCTCTACCAAAAATACAAAAATTAGCGGGGTGTGGTGGCAAGCGCCTGTAATCCCAGCTACTCTAGAGGCTGAGGCAGGAGAATCACTTGAACCCAGGAAGCAGAGGTTGCAGTGAGCCGAGATCACACCATTGCACTCCAGCCTGGGCAACAGAGCAAGACTCCATCTCAAAAAAACAGAAGAAAAAAAAAAGAAAAAAAAGTGATGTTTTAGAAGAAGATGTTCAACAAGACTTTCATGTTCATTAAATTTTTAAAATATTGTTATTGTAGGCATTTATTTCGGCCAAAGGTTTAAGAACACGTGAACAAATCGGCATATAGCATCATTTTCTTCAAGACCTATGAAGAACAATAACTGATACATATCTGATAGAATGCAAGGTTCTGCTATCAGAATCATGATGTTTGGAACTGAAAGGGATCTGCAAAAATCATTATACGCTCCTCAGTTAAACAAAGAAAAAAAATCACTGTCAAACGGTGCACATGACTAGTAAAGTGACAAAAGTGACATTCAAAGTCAGGTAGATATTCTGACTCCAAGTTCATAACTCTAAATACATTATGCAGTTTTCAACTCAGTTGCTCAAGTGAACAATCTATAGATAAAACGTGAGGGAGGGAGAGGAAGGAGGGAAGGAAGGAGGAGGAAGGAGGCTTTACAGGTAGAAAATGCTCGGTTTCTATTATTGGTAAATAGTGATACTAACATAATATAGTGTAGAATGGTTTAAACTTGGATATTTAAAACAAATACTGACCAGAGGTTCTCTGCTGCCTTCCTCAAAGAACAGCATTATTCATAGCAAAAAGAAATCAATCTTTACTCCCTTTTTCCACTCCCAGAGAATTATTAAGAAAGGGGAAAAGATAGACAAAAATATGGAACCAAAGCAGGTTCCTAAATGTAACTAATAAGACCTTTTATTTTAACACAGCACATTAGTGTCTCTGTAACTAAGTAAGACAAAAACTTTTCTGCCTAAGAAACTAAGACAAGGCATTGAGAGGGTCAAGAAAGGTGGAAGGAGGTTGAAATGTAGAGTAAGTGGCAGCTAGTGACAAGTTCCTAAAGGCAACATGGTCAAGGGACTTTTCAAAAAACTGTCTAAGACTACATTCTAAAATTTTTCTATGCTACAATAAAAATCTTGAAACTTGCAGCCCACTAAAAAAACAAGTATGTCATTTTTCAGTAATTTTTTAAAAGGCATGGGGCTTAAGTTTGATTCTGTGCAGTGCAGAGCAGAGGGAAGAGACACACCCAAAGAGCTAGGGCAAAAGTAAGATGAAGGCCTTGGGAACCTAGCCAGAAGTAAGCTTAACAATGCAAGTTCCTGAGGATCTGTACAGATCTTGAGAAGAATGAAATTCTCCTACAACAAGGAATAGGGGCTTGTCAAAAGACAAGCCTCAGTTGTCAGCTATATCTAGGCTGCAGCAGGAAATGCTTGGTTACCTATAAAGAGAGCATCTTAGAGTTCTAGGTCTCCTACATGTATGCAAAGATACTTAGTACGTCTTTGTCTGCTTCATTGTTTTTAGTTTTAATGGAAAAGCTTCACTATTTACCCCAATTATAAAATCGTAACATTCATACTAAAATTTTTATAATAAAACGAGAGATAAGACTAAAATTCTCTCCTAATCTTTTGCTTCCTCCTCTTAATAGCCAGCATCTACTGAGAACTTAATCACAAGCACTGTTCTATATGCTCTACAGGTATTAACACCTTCAGACCTCACAACTGTCCTATGGGGAAGGTAATATCATCACCACTTTCCAGATAGGAAACATCCCCAGAAAGATTAATTTGGGTTACCCAAGTCATAAAGATGTAAGTGGCACAGCCCAGATACAAACCCAGGCAGTCTGGCTCCAGAGCCTGCATTCTTCAACCTGATGTACTGTCTCTTTTCCTGTATATTGTTTTCAGCTTTTTCTTTACATAGATTTAAAACAAAACAAAACAAAACAATCAGCCTGGCAAACACGGCAAAACCCCATCTCTTCTAAAAATACAAAAATTAGCCAAGCATGGTGGTGTGTGCCTGTAATCCCAGCTACTCGGGAGGCTGAAGCACGAGTATCACTTGAACCTGGGGGGTGGAGGTTGCAGTGAGCCAAGACAGCATCACTGCACTCCAGCCTGGGTGACAGAGTGAGACTCTGCTCAAAAACAAACAACAAAAACAGAACGAAACAAAACAAAACAAAAAACCCACACATAAACACAGACGAGTCCACAGCAGGATGGAGTATAATCTGTTTTTTTGTTAAATTTCTATTTCCACATCAACAA
The DNA here is from genome assembly GCF_000001405.40 of Homo sapiens. Taxonomy (NCBI): domain Eukaryota; kingdom Metazoa; phylum Chordata; class Mammalia; order Primates; family Hominidae; genus Homo; species Homo sapiens. Next base: position 42,002,687 of record NC_000008.11, read on the forward strand.
ATCCAAATCAATATCATCTTTCTTAAGGCTATATAACACTTCACTAAATGCTATAAGGTAATTTGACCAATCCCATATTGATGAACATTTAAATTCTAATTTTTTATTATATGCAATATTGCAGTCAAACAGCTTTGTACTTACATCTTTACTACTTTTTGGATTATTTCCTTAGGACATATTCCTTGAACTGGAATTACTGGGCCAAAAGGTATGCACATTTCTAAGATTTTTGATCCATACTGCCAAAGTGAATTTCAGGGAGGCTGTACTCCTGCCAATAATAGTACCATCTATTAAGCTGCTGTGTCTCAAGTCCAAGTTCACTCTTCTCTACCGGGCCTTATGATGTGGGGCTCAGATTCTGCACACTTCATTTCTCCTGTCAGGCGGCTTCCCATTCATCTCCACCAGCCGGGAACACACTAGAGGAAGACTAGAACGTAAAGGTGACAAAAGAACGGACTTGCTCCTTGCTATCTCCTATCCTGCCACTGGAACCCTAGCATTGGCCCTTTCCGAGGAGAAACGGTTGTTTCCAGTCTTCAGCTTCCTTCAGCTCTCAGAACTAGACTTCCCATGCGCCCTCAGAAAGCCCAACAGCAGCAGGGCAAGACATCTTTTTGAGAGATCTGAGACCCAACTTTGTGGGGCCTCTCGCTCAAGTCTTTGAAAGCAATCAGGCAGCGGGCCTTCCTCCTAAGTCTGAATCTCAGCTCTGTGGAGCCCCTCCTCCAAGCTTCCAATAATTCAAACCTCTTTTTTTTTTTTTTTGTTTCCCCAGCCCATGGGGTTGTAGCTGATTCAGGAAGTTATTACCTTGGTGTTACTTCAATTTTCCATTTTGCATTTCAGTTCTCCAGCATCTGCTTTATCAATTCCCTATACATCATTTTCTTTACTGAAGTATCTAGTGTGGATTCTATTTAATATCTTAGCAACTTGGCATACCTACCTATCTTCAGGAGGTCATTGTTACAGGCTAAATTTTGCTCCCTGAAAAATTCATATGGTGAAGCCCTAATTCCTCAATGTGACTCTATTTGGAGAGAAGGCCTTTAACAGAGGTAATTGAGGTTAAATAGATCATAAAGCTGGGGCCCTAATCCAATAGGACTGGTATCCTTATAAGAGAAAGAGAAATCAGGAGTGTACTCGCAGAGAAAAGCTCGTGTGGACACAGCAAAAAGGTGACCATCTGCAAGACAAGGAGAGAGGATAACCTTGCCGGTGCCTTGATTTGCAACTTCCAGTTTCCAGAATTGTAAGAAAACAAATTTCTGTTGCTTAAGCCATTTAGTCTACGGTATTCTGTAATAACAGCCCTAGCATACTAGTAGTCAGCTAGTGAAATCACCTCATACTATTCATATCCTCAATGTTACCTACACAGACCATTATCTTTAGTATTTATTGTGTATAAGGATATTTAGTTAGGTGCTAGAGAAACAAATATATAATAAAACTAGCTCCCTGCTGCTGGGTCTTATGATCTAGTTGTAAAATTAAGACGTGTGCATTAACATTACAATACAGGATAGCATATGCTAAGTAACAAACATAATGAAAATATTACAGGTAAGTTGCCCAAATAACTGATTCAAATTAATGGTTCCTAAACTGTATAAGCCTGAAGGATTCAGGAAAAAAAGAAGTAGGAGCACACTTATTTTTTAAGTAACTACATAAAGCTTTAGTAAGCAAAGCCCTTTTTTTAGACATGGATTCAAGCACTCTCACCAGACTCTGCAAAGAATGAAAAGCTAATTCTTCCCTCTAAAACCACTGACACATTTTGCAGTCTAGATACTCAACTTTATAAAAAATCTTGAAAATAAGAACCCCAACTTTCAAGATCCTACATTACCTTCTTTAATTCAATAGACTAGTAAATGAGATCATTTTTTCTAGAAATGACTATTCACAATGCTGATCGACAGTTAAAAATCACTACTTCGGCCGGGTGCGGTGACTCACACCTGTAATCCCAGCACTTTGGGAGGCTGAGGCGAACAGATCACCTGAGGTCAGGAGTTTGAGAGCAGCCTGGCCAACATGGTGAAACCCTATCTCTAATAAAAATACAAAAATATTAGCCGGGTGTGGTGGTGTGCGCCTGTAGTCACAGCTACTCAAGAGGCTAAGGCAGGAGAATCACTTGAACCTGGGAGGCAGAGGTTGCAATGAGCCGAGATCACGCCATTGCACTCCAGCCTGGGCGACAAGAGTGAAACTCCGTCTCTAAAAAAAAAAAAGGCACTATTTCTGCATATAAATGGAATCATACAGTCAGTAGCCTTGTAAGTCTAGCTTCTTTTGCTTAGCAGATTACATCTGAAATTCATTCATGTTAATGGCTGTGTCATAGTTTGTTACTTCTCATCGCCAGTAACAATCCATTGTATGACTAGGCCACAGTCCATTCCCCATTTGAGGAACATTTGAATTGTTTCCAGATTTTGATTCTTATAAAGCCATTATAAATATTCGTGTTTAAAAAAAATCAGTACTTTTCTGTCTTCAAAGTCCTTTCAGAAGATATTCTTTTCTACACTACCCTAATGTTGCCCAGAAACACACAAAAGCATACTCTAAGTTAATATTGCATCAAATTAAAATTTCTGACTTAAATATATTTCATCTTCAATACTACCTCCGTAACAGTATAAATAAAGCCTTAAGTGTTTAACGAGTTTGAAGCCTGAGGACAGTAGCTTTCAAAAGAAAAGCCAGTGTGATAAGGGTGGAGAACATAGTGACGTAATGCTCAATAAGGAAAACCCTGACAAATGCAGACTGCACACACACAATAAGAGATCAGGAAAGCGAGGCTGAAGCAGCCAGCTTGGTTTCATGCTGCAAATTTTTGGCAGACATTCAACTCCTTCTGCTGTTTTCCTAGCCAGCACATTTATCTATGTAATGTCACCAGATCCAGAGAGGGAGTGAGGTTGGAAGGAGGGGGAAGAGGAGAAAAACTGTTTTACAGGCTGCCAGCCCTTCCACACATGCTGTTACTATACAAAGGATGTCTAGAAAGCCAATGTGCTGCACATATTCAAATGCTGCAAGCAAATACACACACACACACACACACACACACACACACACACTCACTCTCTTTCTCCCCATCCATCCATCCATCCAAAGAACAACTGCAGAAAAGGGAACTGCCTTTGAAAAAAAGCCCATAATTAAAGTCTTGATCCAGAAGCAATGACTCCCTTCTGAAAATGATTTCAGTTCTTGGGGGAAGAAGGTGGGGATACTAACCCTATGGGGAAATAACCTGTATTCTGCAAAAAAGCCTGAGCTGATCTGGTCCCTGACAACTACAAGCATATGCTACCACAGAAATAAACAAAGTTTCTGTGAAGCAAAAGTATACCATCAAATAACAATTACCTTATTAATACCTAATATACACCCACCACTTTGCCAAGGACTAGGAGGAATAAAAACGAATTTTAAGAAACAGTTTAGGGACCCTAGAAGAGTCTAGCCTTGTCTGCACCTAGGACAGTTTCCTGTTCTTAGCACTCTTGTAAGTAGGTGTCTGGGAGTATGTTATGTGTGTGTGTGCAGGTGCACATGTGTGTACACAATAGTAATATCAAAACCAAAACTGTACCTGGAATGTAAAACTAGAGATCAAAACTCTATAGCTCATAGAAACAGTCAGGCCTATTTGCTTCTATAAATGGACACTCCAACTCCGTAACATCTTACGTTACGTCACCTCAGGTTGGGTATCCCTTATCTCTGAAATGCTTGGGACAAGAAGTGTTTCAGATTTCAGATGTTTTTTGGATTTTGGAATATTTGCATTATACTCACTGGTTGAGCATCCCAAATCCAAAAATTCAAAATCAAAAATGCTCCAATGAGCATTTCCTTTGAGAGTCATGTGGACGCCCAAAGAGTTTCAGACTTTGGAACTTTTTGGATTTGGGATGCTCAACCTGTACTAGCAAGTATAATAAATGAAGATATAAACCAGGAGTATTTATTTAACCTAAGAAATCAGTTGACTGGGCACAGTGTCATGCCTGTAATCCCAGCACTTTAGGAGGCCGAGGTGGGCGGATCACCTGAGGTCAGGAGTTCGAGACCAGACTGGCCAACGTGGTGAAACCCTGTTTCTACTAAAAATACAAAAATTAGCTGGGCATGGTGATGCACACCTGTAATCCCAGCTACTTGGGAGGCTGAGGCACAAGAATCACTTGAACCCGGGAGGCAGAGGTTGCAGTGAGTCAAGATCATGCCACTGCACTCCAGCCTGGATGACAGAGCAAGACTCCATCTCAAAAAAAAAAAAAAAAAAAAATCAGTCAACTTACTCTAATCTAAAACCAAAAATGCCTTTTTCATAATACTGTATCTCCAAAACTATCATGCAATTTGCCCCTAAGAACACGTCATAAGAAACAAATAGGAAATACCGTGTGCTGAAATCAGGAGTTATAAATAACTTTATTATTCTACAATGACACAGTTTATATAGACAATATAGAATCCTCAACATAGAGTAGTGCTGAGAACTTCCTTCAGATTAATTTAACAATCAACCAATAAAGTAGATAGTCTGATGAAAGGCTAGTTCTTTAATCCTAATTCTCCAAATATGGGGAACTGACTTAACCTGCCTGGGTTCTTCATTTGTAAAATGAAAATATTTGACATGACTAGCTCTAAAGTCTCTTTCAGTTCTTAATTTCTAAAATTATAGTATAAAACAGGGTTTCTTACTTTCAAGGACCTCATTATCTAGTTAAAGATAATCATAAATGAATTAGTAAATTATGTAAGACAGTGACTGGTCCAGAGCAGTTACTTAAGAAATGTGTGGACTGAGTTCTATAAGGCACTAAACTGAGCTTTTAAGGGCTGAGGAGTCTAGAGAATGAGAGATGAAGTTGAGTTAACTTTAAAACACAGCAAAGGTTTCTCCTGGGACTAGGACTAGAAAGTTCATTAAAATTTTTATTGTTGGCCGGGCGCAGTGGCTCAAGCCTGTAATCCCAGGGCTTTGGGAGGCCAAAGCGGGTGGATCACGAGGTCAGGAGATTGAGAACACCCTGACTAACATGGTGAAACCCCGTCTCTACTAAAAATACAAAAAATTAGCCGGGTGTGATGGCGGGCGCCTGTAGTCCCAGCTACTCAGGAGGCTGAGGCAGGAGAATGGCGTGAACCAGGGAGGCGGAGCTTGCAGTGAGCTGAGATCGTGCCACTGTACTCCAGCCTGGGCGACAGAGCGAGACTCCGTCTCAAAAAAAAAAAAAAAAAAAAAAAAAATTTTTATTGTTAACTTCATAATCCCAATCAATTAATTCAAATTCCATATAGTCAGTATCTCATTACTTCATTTTATTGATAAGGAAAAGATACTAAGCATCAAGGCTTTAACTACATAAAACAAACATTTGCAAATTCTGTACTACTTAACCCCCCAAAAAAAACCCTCAGCCAAGTATGGCTGATATATACAGAGCCAGAGAGACTAGTAAAAGATTAGGCAGAGTGTGAACATGACAGGCTTGATCCACAGACAGTAACTCACAAAGCTCCCCTCATTAGGATAATCCAAAGCTAACATTTTCAACTCCAAAAATCCTAGAGCCTAAAAACTGAAACCCTATCCTTAAGTAATATTTTCTTTTTTTGAGACAGGGTCTCACTCTGTCGCCCAGGCTGGAGTGCAGTGGCACAATCTTGGCTCACTGCAACCTCTGCCTCCTGGGTTCAAGCGATTCTCCTGCCTCATCCTCCCAAGTAGCTGGGATTACAGGCGTGCACCACCACACCCAGCTAAGTTTTATATATTTTTTGAGTAGAGACGGGGTTTCACGTTGCCCAGGCTGGTCTCGAACTCCTGACCTCAAGTGATCCGCCTGCCTCTGCCTTGGCCTTCCAAAGTGCTGGGATTACAGGCATGAGACACTGCGCCTGGCCCCTCGAGTGACATTTTTTTAACACTGTTCTCAAGAACAGTGCCATCTAGTAGAACTTTCTGGGATGATGAAATGTTCTATATCTCTGTTGTCCAATACTGTAACCACTAGCCACATGTGAGCTAGTGGGTACTTGAAATGTGCTAGTGGTTATCATTACTTTAACTTTAATTAATTTAAATTTAAATAGCTACATGCACCTAATGGCAACTGTACTGGTTTAGTTCTAGAAAGTCTATATATAGAAGACATTTTAAAATTGTAATTTAAAAGTTGGTGAATAAAGCAATATAAAAGATGAAGAGAGCAATTTTTTACCTTGAAAATCAATTTTTAATGTAAACTCTACAGTAAATGACTCTGCATACACAGCACCCCTGTACAAGGCTGGCTTTCATACCAAGTGTCTCAAATCACATATCATCATTCACCTTTTAATATCACGCTCTCAAGTTTTAGTTTAATTCGTTGCGGAAAATACATTAGTGAGAACATTGCATATAAATAACTAGCTACATCAGAGAGAAAATCAGTTAGTTAACTACAATGTGTCTCTTTCCTTGACCATAAAATGGGGATAACAGTAACTAGATCTGCAGAACTTGAATAAAAGAACAGGAACCATAAAGTAATCTGAAGTAAAATATTAAAAGGTAATGCTATTAGTTTATATGAAAATAAAAATTTTAAATATTATCTTATGCTGTTATCTTAGGAAACTTCACAGGAACTGGATTCTTGCTGAACAACCATATACAGCACCACTGTGCTAGGTGCAGATAATCTAGTATGTAAGTTTAAAAAGAAAAAAACACCCTACATAAAAGACCATAACAAGTATCTTCATGGAAAAGGTGACATGTGACCCTGAGACGACTAATGGGTGCATGTGGGTGCATTTTACATTCTTCACAAAACCTTTAATTTTTTTTCTGTTTTTCCACAACATATTAAACATTAACATCCTTTGTCAGGCCAGGTGCAGTGGCTCATGCCTGTAATCTCAGCATTTGGGGAGGCTGAGGTGGGAGGGTTGCTTGAGCCCAGGAGTTCAAGACCAGCCTGGGAAACATATGAAGACCTTGTCTCTACAAAAAATTTTAAGTATTAGCTGGGCATGGTGACATGCACCTGTGGTCCCAGCTACATAAAAGGCTGAGGTGAAAGGATTACTTGAGCCCAGAAAACAGAGGCTACAGTGAGCCATGATCACAGCACCTACAGCCTGGCGACAGGACAAAGCCCTGTCTCAAAAAAAAAAAAAAAAAAAACAAAAAAAAACAAAACCACAATCCTTTGTAAAAAGCACAGGTCTCATTAAAGAAAAAGTACAGATTTACCCAACAGAAAAAAATAAATAAATAAATAAAACAGGATAGTCGCAGTAGCTCACACCTGTAATCGCAGCACTTTGGGAGGCCAAGGCAGAGGCAGATGGATCACTTGAGGTCAGGAGTTCAAGACCAGTCTGGCAAACATTGTGAAACCCTGTCTCTACTAAAAATACAAAAATTAGCTTGGTGTGGTCGCGCACGCATGTAGTCCCAGCTACTCTGGAGGCTGAGGCAAGAGAATCGCTTGAACCCAGGAGGCAGAGGTTGCAGTGAGCCAAGATCGCACCACTGCACTCCAGCCTGGGTGACTGGTATTGTCAATACCATCTATTGACAATAGGCCAGAAGACTGCAGATCAGACACTCTATGTACTTGTTGAGTAAACATTGTATCAGAGCACAGAACTAGTTTCCTATGAGAAAGTAGAAATTGGGTTCAGATTCTAGGACTTCAACTTTATCCATAAAGCAATAACATTTACTAATTAGGGCAGATCTACAGAAATCTTGGGTTGCCTCAAAAAGATTCAAGAAAACCCAGAGCTCTGCCTGGCTTTCTTCCACACACACGTAGGCAAGTCTCTTCACGATTCCAAACCCTCAGCCTCAGGGCGCCCTACTGTGCAACAAGTCTGATTATCACCTCCCCATCACTGGGGTATGTGAGACAGCCCAAGTTTACATCTGTTGTCCTAGTACTTCCCTTCATCTCAAAAGTGATCTGGCTTGTGTAACAAATCTTATGGCCCACACCTTCACTAACCCAGCAGTCACTCCCAGCCAGCATTATAAACTGTTTGTGCTCTACTATGTGCCCAACCATTCTTGACACCAGATTCTTCTTTGCTTCCCCAGGGTTTCCTAAGCCTACTGGCAAAGAAGGTCCCTTTTCTTCCTCTGGGGTCACTAAAATAGAAGGATACGAGTCCTAAAACACCAGCAACCATGATCCCAATCATTTGGAGAAAACTCATCTGAGACAGGAAACAATGTAATCAATTCAAAGAGAGAGCAGAGATAAGAGGAGATAATCCAGGCAATAATCTAATTCCCAGATCAGTTGTCCCCAAAAACCAATTCCATCCCTATCATTCCTTACAGTTTGGTCCTATGCACTAACAAATCGCCCTTTTTACTCAAGGGCTTCAGTCACTTGCAACCCCAGACCTAACATGCCCCTTACATGTTAATTTAGATTATATTTTATTTTCTGAGAAAGTCTATCAAAAGCCAGAAAAGAACCCAAGTCTAATATACCTAGTTTTAGAAACTCAGAATGAAAAGCTAATTCTTCCCTCTAAAACCACTGACACATTTTGCAGTCTAGATACTCAACTTTATAAAAAATCTTGAAAATAAGAACCCCAACTTTCAAGTTCCTACATTACCTTCTTTAATTCAATAGACTAGTAAATGAGACCATTTGTTCTAGAAATGAGTATTCACAATGCTGATCGACAGTTAAAAATCACTACTTCGGCCGGGTGCGGTGACTCACACCTGTAATCCCAGCACTTTGGGAGGCTGAGGTGGGTGGATCACCTGAGGTCAGGAGTTCGAGACTAGCCTGACCAACATGGAGAAACCCCGTCTCTACTAAAAACACAGAAAAATCAGCTGGGTGTGGTGATGCATGCCTGTAATCCCAGCTACGCAGGAGGCTGAGGCAGGAGAATCGCTTGAACCCAGGAAGCAGAGGTTGTGGTGAGCTGAGATTGTGCCATTGCACTCCAGCCTGGGCAACAAGAGTGAAACTCCATCTCAGAAAAAAAAAAAAGAATAAGAAACTCAGAACAAGTTTGTGGCAAGGAAATATTGAGGCATACAGAGGATTATAAAAGCACAAATATCTTCCCAATTCCCTGGAGCCCAAAACTAACTTTAGGAAGAACAGAGGTGTGGGGAAAAAAAGAAGAGGAAAAAAAAAAAAAAAGAATAACAAAGAGGAAATCCAACCCCCTGAAAAAGATAGGCAAACTACTTGAAGAGACACTTCACCAAAGAAGATATGTACATAAAACACATGAAAAGATGCTTCACACAACCAATCGTTAGGGAAATGCAAATTAAAATCACAATGAAATACCACTATCTATTAGAACGGCTTTTTAAAATGACAATATCAAGTACCAGTGAGGAGTCTGAATAAATGAGATACTCATACATAGCTGGTAAGCATGCAAAACAGTACAGCCACTATGGAAAACAGCTTAGCAGTTTCTTATAAAAGTTAAACATACCATTACCATACAACCCAGCAACACACCTCCTAGGTATCTGCCCAAGTCAAATGAAAACCTAGAGTAGTAGACTGAAATCCCCCACAGACAGCTCATCCTAATCCTTCGAACCTGTAAAGGATAATTTTATTTGGGAAAAGGGTCTTCACAAGTGTGATTAAATTAAGAATTTTGAGATGGGGGGGTTATCCTGGATTATCTAAGCAGGCCATACATGTTGTGACAAGTGTCCCTAGAGAAGCAGAGGAACAGGTGACACACACACAAAGGAGAAGACATGATGTGAAGAGGCAGAGATGGGAGTGATGCTGCTGCTGACCACAAGCCAAGAAATGCCAAGAGCCACCAGAAGCTCAGAATGCCTGCAGGGGCAATGTGTCCCTGCCAACACTTTGAGTTCAGTCCAGAAATACTAATTTCAGACTTCCGACCCTCAGGATAGTGAGGGAATAAATTTCTGCTGTTTTAAAGCTATCCAGTTTCGCAATTTTTTACAGCAGCCACAGGAAACTACTGTACTATATTCACACAAAAACCTATATATGAATGTTTATAGAAAGCTTATTCATAATTGCCAAAAACTGAAACCAAATGTCCCTCAATAGGGGAAGAGATAAACAAACTATGGTGTACCTACCACACCATGGAGTACTACTCAGCAACAAAAAGGAACAAACTATTGACAACTACATGGATGAATCCCAAATGCATGATGCCAAATGAAATAAGCCAAACTTAAAAAACTATACTTGATTCCATTTATATGACAGTCTGGAAAATGTAATATTATAGGGAGAATAATAGCTCAGTGGTTTGCCAGGGTTGGGGGAGGGTGATGACTACAAAAGTCAAGTTTTTTTTTTTTTTTAGTGGATAATGGATCTTTCCTATATCTTGATTGTGGTGATTGGTTATATAACTCTATCCATTTATCAAAACTCATAAAAGTAGACACAGAAAAGAATGCATTATTGCATGTAAATTTATAGATAAATAAATATAGCAATACAGAGGGAGGTGGCTCTGTCATTTTTCTTTCTTTCTTTTTTTTTTTTTTTAGATGGAGTCTCGCTCTGTTGCCAGGCTGGAGTGCAGTGGCGCGATCTTGGCTCACTGCAACCTCCGCCTCCCGGGTTCAAGCGATTCTCCTGTCTCAGCCGCGCATGCCACCAAACCCAGCTAATTTTTGTATTTTTTAGTAGAGTTGGGGTTTCACCATGTTGGCCAGGATGGTCTCCATCTCTTGACCTCATGATCCACCCGCCTTGGCCTCCCAAAGTGCTGGGATTACAGGCGTAAGCCACCACGCCCGGCCTTGGCTCTGCTTTTTTTCAATTACAAATGCTCATGCACACATATGTATGGTCACTTCTGTATTCATCAGCATTTAAACACAATATATGGGGTTCCTTGCTCCTATCCTAACCAAGATTAATGGTCCTTCTATAATTTTCATTCAAAACTGTCCTTGATATTTACTTATTTATTAACCTATTTTATCTAAACAGAGGGTGGTTTACTTTCTAAAAAGATCACTCCACTGACTGCAGATTTAAAGGGACAAGAACAGAAGCAAGGAGTTCAATTAGGAGGCAAGAACAATGACTTAGTCAAGAGGGAAGTAAAAAGTGCTAGATTCTGGATATACAACAGAGCAGGGTTTGGCAAACTGTTTGTAAAGACCAGACAGTAAATATATTCAGTTCTGAGGTCACAGGGTCTCTGTTAAAACCACTCAAGTCTGCCGCGGTACCGTGAAAGAAGCCTTGGACAACACAGAAACGAAAACAAGTGTGGCTGTGCTCCAATACAACTTTACTTATGGACACTGAAATCTGAATTACATATGATTTGCATGTGTTTGAAATATTATTTTAATATTTTTCAACCATTTAGAATTGTTAAAAAAAAAACATTTTTAGCTCATGAACTATAAAGAGGTGGGGGCCATAATTTGCTAACCCCTGTTCTAAGGGGCAGAGCCAAAAGGATTTGCTACTGTACTAGACGTGATGTGTGAGAAAAGAGATGCCAGATATGCTATTAAAGTTAACTATGCTTTTGCTACAGTTAATTTTCATACCAAACTGTTCCATACACAGTACAAAGCAAAAGAATTTCTGGGCCATACTCTGTAATCAGCTATTATAAGCCATTCACAATCATCTATACCCATACTATATATATCCAAGGCCAAACTCCACAGAAAAATCAATTGAAGATAAAATACCAGTTAAATGAACCACATTTTTGGCTTGAGATCAAGAGGCTATGCTCTCTTTTAAAACACACACGCAGAAATGCCTCAGGCAACCAGTTTCTTAAAACACATAGATAATTAAGTCAACAAATATACCTTCAATCCACTGTATGATCAATAAGGGGCAGCAGGTTACAGCAATAAGACAAGGACAGATCGGGGGGCTAAAGAGAAGCAAGGAAAATAAGAAAACAGAAAAAGATTAAATGGGGCTCGGAGGACAGCATATTAGCACTTTTTTAATAAATAAAGGAAGAAATTCAGAGATATTACTCAACTAGAATAAGTGACCTCATATACAAGGGAGGTAGAAACTGAAGTAGAAGCTGGAGCAGTATGTGATCCAATGAAATACTTCGGTACATGCAGTTATTACATGTAGTTACAGGTTCAGGATTACTTGAAATACTTCGGTACATGCAGTTATTAAATGTAGTTACAGGTTCAGGATTACGCTAGGAAAGGATAGATTATGGGTTCAGTTCTCTAAGGAGCTGAGAAATCACTGTCCATAACTGTTCAACTACTCCTCATCTTTAAGCCTCCAGAAACACTATTTCAAATGGGATAACCAGTGCATGAAGGGAGATAGTAAGGCAGAAGAGAGGAGAACAATATAACAGAGTAGGCTATAATGTCAAAGTCAGAGGTTGTCTGCCAATGTTATCCACAAAAACTTCTCAAAGCTCACAAGTAATATGTCCAATGTGGTCTCATGCCCCTTCTGTGCTAAAAAGAATCCGGACTACCAAGCTGGCAGCCCTATGCTACAGTAAGCAGAGTTGCAATCTATAGCCAGATCCCTTCAACATGGATGAGCTGGGGGGAAAGCAGAACTAGGAAGCCAAGAGGACAGACAGATAAGGAGGTAACTATGCAAACAACTTTCCAGATACCACGACAGCACTTAAAAGCAGATCCTATACAAAGTCTTTCTTGCCTTAAGTTCAGAATACAAATTACTGCCACTCATAAAACAGCATTTGCCTGTGGGCAATACAAAGATGTAAGAGACACTGAACACTTACCTTCAAGGCGCTTACAAATTAGTGATCTAGAAAGCTTTTGCTGCCAAACCACAACCTCCTATACAGTCGTATAAATTTCAATGTATAGATAAATTTCAACTCCTGGCATATGTACTATTCTATCCTTTCAGCAGAGAAACAGGTAATAAAGGGTGAGCTAAATATGTATGTTGAAGGATATTTTTCATTTGAAAATTTAGGTTTTCAAAAAGCATTTTGATTTCATAATTTTGTAGTAACCATCTTTTTGTCCCATGCAATGCTATGAACAACTGAGCTGAACATCAATTTATCTATTCCTACTGCAATAAGCCAAAACAGCCAAAAAATCTGACGTTCACACAGGGATTTAAAAATAGCAAAGTTTGCTCATGCATATAGACACACTCTAGACATAGACTTTTCCAATTGAAACAGACTAGCTCATTTTTCCCCTTGAAGTAACTCCCACAGACATTTTAATGCAAATGCAGATGAGGCAAAGACTCTTAACTCCCATTAAATAACCAAAAGGCAAGGTACCAGGACATCAGAGCCCCAGAAACTGCACGTTAACAGCAGTGCTTCCCAAACAGGTCTTAAGGGAGGCAAGAGATGAGGGAAGGGAGGTTGTCCTCCCTTACACAAATAAGTTAAGTTAGCAAAGTTAAACAGGTGTAGAGGTGGGAATTCCACAGTTCCTTCGCTATGTTTATGTGAAATATGAATATGTACCATTTGCTATGCTTATTCTGCCTTGGAATCCACTGTTCTCTGAACACATTCAGGAACTGCGTGCCAAGGAAGCAATTTGAGAAACACAACTCTCTTCTTACTGTTTTAAAATTACTATTAAATGCAGGCAATATAAAAATTAATAGCAAAGTTCATTTCAATTAGTTAAACCTTTCCCTTATAACAAATTTGCACACAATGTATATTCTAACAGTTGTTTTCAAAATAATATATTTATATTTGGTATATCCAAGGATATTTGTATAATCATATTTGAAAAACCATCATGAAGTACACAAAACACTTAACATGTCCACATAAACATAAAACAGGTTGAGAGATTAACAGTTGTAAATACAAAAGTCAAACTGTAATATCCATAAAATAAGGGTCAAAGAGAACTGTAATGTGAGAACAACTAAATCTACTGTTTAAAAAAGGGGGACATATATGATACAGAGATATACAAGTAGATGGCTTTACTATAAAGAGAGGAGGGAGATAGAAGAAATTTTTCTCCAAGGGTAGCACTTACAGGTCAAAACTTTGTTCTTAATTAGAAAAATAAAATTTTATCAGCCTTCACATTTTTAAAGATACTAAAAACTTAACAAACACAGTTTTTCAAAATATATTTTATATATTACTAAACTATCCAAATGACTCTGGATCTCTGAGGGATGCAAAAAAAAATTAGCACTACATACACTTTTATTTTCCCCAAATTTTTATCAATATCTCTTCAATAGTTTAAGCCACTACTTCAATAAAAAGATACTCTCAACACTTGTTTAGATACTTGATAGAGACTACTTATTAGTTTTCTAATAAATATATAAAAAATTTAAAAGACAGTATGCTGTGAAAATAAGGAAGCTGTCAGCCTTACAGTGGACTCATCTGAGGACAGATTATCTATGTATCTCTATCACTGGCACATAGTAATAAGCACTCCACTAATTTAAAGGGTTACTGAATGAATCCCCCGCACGTTGTCAGGTTGACAGCATTGAGATAGTAGAAGTCTGGGCTATTCATTCATTTGTTCAATTAATATTTCAAACCACTATGAGCCAGGCCCCTTGAGAGACACTGAAAAATAAACAAAAAAGCAGCCTTTGCCTTTAATTCTAGTAGGACAGGCAGATAAATGAACAGACTATCATAATACAGGGAGAAAAACGTCATAGTATCAGTATGCCTAATGGACCATGAGAATATATTTGTTTATAAAGGAAGGGAGTCATGGCACCAAAGCAGAGAGGTAGTAGTGGGTAAGTCAAAGAGGCTTAAAAGATGAATATTCGCTATTTTTGTTTTTGTTTGTTGGGGTGGGGGGATCTAAAGGAATGAATTTGCAGACAGAAATATATGTATAAAAATGTTAAGACAGTGTGGTGCCAACAAGGGACTACAGTGTGCTGGAAGGCAGAGGGTTAAGAAGAGCATGGCAAGAGATGAAGTTGCAATAAAGGCAAGGAAGCCCGAACCTTGTCCAAAAGACAATAGAAACCCACTCCACTTGCACTTGAGGATTCTGAACACTGGGAGGACATATTTTAGAGATAGCACTCAGACAAAAGTAGAGAGGGAAGCTCTCAAAGTACAGAGCTAGAGTCTGCTAAATAATAAGCTCCACGAGGGCAGGGAGGTTGATCCATCTGTTTACTGCTGAACTCACCGCACTTAGAAGTACCTATCATGTGTCACCACTTATTTATTGAATGACTAAAGGGAAACCATCTGAAAGACAACTACAATAACCCAAGAAAGAAAAGACGAGGGCATGAACCAAGGCAAAATGAGACAGATATAGGAGGCATGACTAAAGCTGCCAAAGAGCAATTACTTTATATTTTTTGCTTGTCAGTATTTAATGTCACCTTTCCTTTCTACTAATACAACTCAAAGAGACTAACAGTATTGTAAATTCTAAGCTCTGTAAAGAAATTCCAAGTTAGTTTAACTACAGAGCTACAAAAATGTCACAGAAAATTGTTCCTAGTGGCAATATTAAAGAAATAAAAATTATTAGGCCAGGCACGGTGGCTCACACCTGTAATCCTTGCACTTTGGGAGGCTGAGGTGGGCGGATCACCTGTGGTCAGGAGTTCAAACCCAGTCTCTACTAAAATACAAAAATTAGCCAGGTGTGGTGGCACATGCCTGTTAATTCCAGCTACTTGAGAGGCTGAAGTAGGAGAATCGCTTGAACCCAGGAGGTGGAGGCTGCAGTAAGCCGAGATTGTGCCACTGCACTCCAGCCTGGGCAACAAGAGCAAAACTATCTCAAAAGAGTAAATAAATAAATAAAAATTATTTAATTTACAGTCAGACCTATGAATAGCTACTAACCATCTCTGTTAAGGCCAGAAAATTATATGTATCAACACTTCCTAAGTATTAAAAACACATAGAACAGGCTGGGCGAGGTGGCTCATGCCTGTAATCCCAACACTTTGAGAGGCCGAGGTGGATGGATCACCTGAGGTCAGAAGTTCGAGACCCGCCTGGCCAACATGGTGAAACCCCATCTCTACTAAAATTACAAAATTAGCTGGGCGTGGTGGCCACCCCTATAATCCCAGCTACTCGGGAGGCTGAGGCCGGAGAATAGCCTGAACTGGGGAGGCAGAGGTTGCAGTGAGCCAAGATCGCACCACTGCACTCCAGCCTGGCGACAGAGCGAGACTCTGCCTCAAATTAAAAAAAAACAAAAACAAACAAACAAAAAAACCATGTAGAACAAGTTGTTCGGTGCTTAAACTGAAACGGATGAATTTAACTTAAATTCCTAACCAAGAGGCAACAGCATCTGGTTAATCAATGAATGTTAGAGAATAAATTCTCCACACAAAAAGGCAACATATCAGCATTTAGGGAAAGTCATTTGATCTCATCTGTAAAAATAAGGGTTTGAATTTAAAGAAGTCCTAAGACTTTTAGTTCTACAACTAAATGATATTTTTACCTGTTTGAGATACCTCTATTGAGAGGCCTTACATTGGTTTGCATGTTATTTTGAAAGTGTTCCTCTTTATTTTTATATACAACTCCAAGAAAATTTTAAGATTCTTATGTGCCAGGAACATTTTTTTCCTCAATTTCCTTCAGTACATTAGTATATTGCTCAATTTTAAGATTCTTATGTGCCAGGAACATTTTTTTCCTCAGTTTCCTTCAGTACATTAGTAAACTGCACTGCAGGCAGGTCAGAAGAGAAGAAAAGTAACATCTATAGAAGGCTCACTATTTTCTAGTGCTATACTAGTTGCTATCAAATATAGTGTGTTTTTTATAATTTTCAAAAGTATGTTGCAGTATCATTATCCCATGAAGAAACTGAGGGCAAAGAGGTTAACTACTCTGCCAAATTCACACGAGTTAAGTGATGAAACCAAAAGGTAAACTCCAGAGCCCAAATTATATTCATTACCCTAAATGATGGTAACTGATTGAGTATCCAGGGATGTCCTCTTCTGGTCTGGGGATTACACAGTTTTCAATATTGTCCAGAAAAAGCAATTTACAGATATGCTTCACTGCATACCTATACTCAAATTCTATAACTCCTTCTATGTATCATGGTTTCTTTCCCCCATATAATAGAAGGGAAAAATGGGCATTTGTGCAGCTCTTTAGGAGTTCTAACTAAAGTTCCAAGCAATAGACCTTAACCCTTTTTTTTCCTCCAATGATATACAAGACAAATGACAATCACATGTATAATATATTCTCAGGGGTATCCTTAGGTATATAAACAACTAATGTTCCAAGATAGCATATTCAAATGCAAATGAATCAGTGATGCAGTGATGTTATCAATGTAATTACCTTCTTTTTTTAAATAAATCATTCCTTTAAACTATTTTCATATCTTATAAGTGAAGAGTGATATGCTGCCAATCTAGAACTATAGCCTGCAAGCCAAATCCAGTCTACCACCTGGTTTTGTAAATAAAGTCTTTCTGGAACACACAATCATTTACATGTTACCTGGTTCGCAGACTTGAGTAATCAGCAGAGACTGTATGGCCCGCAAAGCCTAAAATATTTACTACCCTGCCTTTTATTTACAGAAAGAGTTTGCCAACAACCATTCTAGACTGATATCCAATGAATATCCCCCATTCTACGTCTATTGGGAACCTAGATGTCACGGTATCAGATAAACTAGGTTCACTGTCTTCATAAATCTGTCAAAAAGCAATTTTTGTGCTTAAGATTATCAGCTCCCTGGACTTTCCCATCACCAGTTACATATACTTTGTTGTTATTTCTTTGGCTTCCCCACTTGCCTGACAGCAGACTATCTACCCAGCATCCCTAGTAACCCCAGTACCTAGCATAGTGTCAGGGACATAGACGTTCAGCAGAAATCTGCTGAATGAATGTCTGAAAATAAGCATATGATTTAAGATAATTACTCAAGAGTAAAAGATGGGTTAGTGCTACAGAAACGTGCTACTCAAAACTGTGTTTTGTGCAGCACTGTAATACTGGGGAGCTTTTTAAAAATGCAAAATCTCAGACCTCACCAAAAATCTGGAACTTCATTTTAGCAAAATCCCCAAAGGAAAACTTGAGAAGCAGTGCTATACAACACAGTGCTTAATTACATTACAGTCACTAGTTTCATTCCTAATATGAACCAGGCCACTTTGCATGGGGAAAAAACAGCTCTGTAACTTGATCCTTACCCTAATCTTGAGCTTTCAAGATATAAAATAAAGACTTATTTTAACAACTTAACAATGGGGGGGGTACTCTGCTTGTTGTTGTTGTTGTTGTTTTTTATGAGGAAGTTTGCTGTCCTTGTTACTGTTCTTTTATTGAGGAAAGAGAGATATACTGTTACTTCCAAATAGGGCCAAACTGAGGGGGAATAGGAATATTGTTTAAATATTTTGCCTTTCCCAAAGGAATATGATCCAAAAAATCCATCCTAATTTAAATAGATTATAAAACGTGACAAATGGTTTTATGTTATCTGTCTACTTCTATGTCATATTAAAATTTATGTGTTCATGAAAATTTCAAATGGTCTTAAAATGTGATGGCAATATTTTGTGAGTTAACAAACTGATACTTTGTTTTGTCTTGTTTTACTGGAGAAAAGAGAAGGAAGTCAGCACTATTTCTTGCTCTCTATTTTTGAAACAGGCTAAAAAACCACTGCAACAATGACATGATCAGGCTAAACACAATCTTTAAAAAGGTAAGGTTGCTTTATGAATTTTGTAATTTAGGTACTATTATAATACTATCCCTCTTTTACAGAAAAGGAAACTGAAGCTCATGGAGAATTAAGTAATTTAAAGATCAAATAACAAGTAAATGGTGAGACTGGAATCTCTGCTCTTAATACTCTTAACTCAAGTCCTAAACTAATGAGAATTTGTGTTGTAAAAAACTCAGGGAGTACTTTAGACCAGGCACAGTGGCACACACCTGTAATCCCAGCACTTTGGGAGGCCAAGGCAGGTAGATTGTTTGAAGCCAGGAGTTCAAGACCAGCCTGGCCAACGTGGAGAAACCCCATCTCTACTAAAAATACAAAAATTAGGCTGGCTAATTAGACACCTGTAGTCCCAGCTACTCTGCAGATTGAAGTACAAGAATCGCTTGAACCTGGGAGGCAGAGGCTGCAGTGAGCAGAGATCGTGCCACTGCACTCTAACCTGAACAGAGTAAGACTCTGTCTCAAAAACAAAACAAAACAAAACAAAACTCAGTTAATACTTTTAATTATTGCACAAGTTTAACAATTTCAGTTTATCTCAACTCCAAATGTGTATTTTTCTCTTTTAATGACTCTACCAGCATCTACATTCTAATATACTACGGCAAATCGTTTGACCTCTATGAGCCTTCAACACAGACAATCTTCTTTAAAGAGTTGCTGTGATCTAAATATAATACCTAGCATATAATATGTATTCAAAATTATACAGGTTTTCAAATACAGGTACTACATAATGGGCACTTAAAAAGACTGACAAACCTATCAGTATCAAACCTGATACTGTATCAGGTTTGTAAAATACTGTACGTAAAAAGTTACACTGTGGTAAGGTTAACAGAAATTTATCAGGTCACTGCTTTCAAATCAGACCCAGCAAAAAAACCTAGATATTTCTAAAGCAACATAGTAACAGTTTAAAAAAAAAAATTTGATTACCTCTAAGAACTGTACATTTTTTTTGGAAAATCAGGGTTAAAACAGCCTAACAGTACAAATACAAATTAGATGTTGTCTTTGGTCATTAGGCTGGAAGAGCAAACTCCCCTGTGAGTGAAAGCATGTAGTCAAAAGTGGGTAACGATTTTTCACTTGTCAGACTGCCAAAAATAAAAAAATTTACAGTGTGTTGCAAAGGGTATAGGGAAGCAGTTACTCTCACATACTGGTGATGACTCTCTATGGAGAAAAATACAGGAATATCAAAATTATAACGCCATAACACTCTTTAACCCAATAATTCCACTTCTAGGGACTTATAAGTGAAATGATATACAAATGAGGTTATTAATGCAGCACTATTTGTCATCACAAAAAAAATTAGAAACAAATGTCCATTAACAAGGGGCTACATATAAAAATGTATAAATTATGATACACTCATACAATGAAACATTACTAAGCCTAATGTACTGATATGAAACATCCTTTAAGATACAGTCATGTGTCGCTTAATGATGGGGATTCATGCTGAGAAATATGTCATTAGACAATTTCATCATTGTGCAACATCATAAAGTGTACTTACACATACCTAGACTGTATAGCTTACTACACACCTAGGCTATATGGTATAGGCTACAGCTCCTAGCTACAAACCTGTACAACATGTTACTATACTGAATATTGAAGGCAATTGTAACACAATGGTAAGATTTTGAGTATCTAAACATAGAAAAGGAACAGTAAAAATACAATATATAAGATTTTTTTAAATTAGTACACCTGTATGGGGCACTTACCACAAATGGAGCTTGCAGGACTAGAAGTTGCCCCAAGAAAGTCAGTGAATGAGTGGTGAGTGAACACAAAAGCCTAGCACATTACTATACACTAATACAAACTTTATAAACACTGAACACCTAGGCTACACTAAATTTGGAAAAAAATTTCTATCTTCAATAATGTTAACCTTACCACAATGTAACTTTTTACATTATAAACTTTTTAATTTCTTTTACTTTAAAAATTCTTTTGTAATAACACTTCACTCAAAACACACATTGTACAGTACAGCTGTACAAATATATTTACTTTTTTTTTTAAGACAGGGTCACACTCTGTTGCCCAGGCTGGAGTGCAGTGGCATGATCTTGGCTCACTGCAGCCTCAACCTTCCAGGCTCAAGTGATCCTCCCACCTCAGCCTCCCAAGTAGCTGGGACTATAGGCGCGCGCCACCATGTCCAGCTAATTTTTGTATTTTTGTAAAGACGGGGTTTTGTCATGTTGCCCAAGTTGGTTGCAAACTCCTGGGCTCCAGTGATCCACCTGCCTTGGCCTCCCAAACTGCTGCGACTACAGGTGTGAGCCACCACGCCCAGCCTACTTACTTTATATCCTTATTCTACAAACTTTTCTCTATCCAAAAAAAAAAAAAAAAATTTTCTTTTACTTTTTGTTAAGCATTAAAAAACAAACATTAAACATTAGCCTAAGCCTACACAGGGTCAGGATCATCAATATCACTGTATTCCACTGTCCCCATCTTTCCCCACTGGAAAGTGGGGTGATACCACATATGGAGCTGTCATCTCCTGTGGTAACAATGCCTTCTTTTGGAATACTTCCTGAGGGACCTGTCTGGGACTGTTTTACCGTAAACTCTTTTTAATAAGAAGGAGTACACTCTAAAATAATGATAACAACTATAATAAATACATAAAGCAGTAACAGGTAGTTGCTTATAATCAAGTATTATGTAGTATACATAATAGTATGTGCTAAGCTCTCATAAGACTGGCAGCACAGGTTTACACCAATATCACCACAAACATGCTGAGTAGTGCACACTATGTACACTATAATGTCTATGACATCACTAGGTGTAGAAACTGTTCAGCGCCACTGTAATAATTTTTAATATATTCATAATTGTACATCTTTATGAGGTACACGTGATATTTTGATACCTGCATACAATGCGTAATGATCAAATCAGGGTATTTAGGATATCCATCACCTCAAACATTTATCATTTGTGTTGGTTAACACTTGAAATCTTCTAACTATTTTGAAATATGCAATATATTGCTGTTAACTACAGTTACCCCACTAAGCAATGAAATTAGAACTTATTCCTTCTAACTGTATGTTTGTACCCATTAACCTCTCTTCATCCACCCCACCCCTCGCCCATCTCAGACTTTGGTAACTATCATTCTATTCTCTACCTCCATGAGTCAACTGTTTTTACTCCCACATATAAGTGAGAACGTGACAGCTGTCATTCTGTGGCTGGCTTATATCATTTAAAATAATGGCTTTCAGTTCCATCCGTGTTGCTGCAAATGATAGAGTTTCATTCTTTTTTGATAGCTGAGTAGTATTCCATGGTGTGTATATATACATATACATTTATAAAATTTTCTTTATCCATTTAACAACTCATAGATACTTAGGTTGATTCCATATCTTGGCTATTGTGAATGGTGTTGCAATAAATATGGGGGTATAAGTATCCCTTTGATATGCTGATTCTCCTTCCTTTAGATAAACACCTAATAGTGGAACTGCTGGATCATATGGCAATTCTACTTTCAGTTTTTGAGAAATCTCCATACTGTTCTCCATAATGGCTGTACTAATTTACATTCTCACAACGATGTATAAGAGTTCCCTTTTCTCCCTATCCTCACCAGCACTTATTTTTTGTCTTTTTGACAACAGCCATTCTAACAAGGTAGAATGGTATCTTATTATAGTTTTGATTTGTATTTCCCAGATGATTAGTGATGCTGAGGTTTTTTTTTGTTTTGTTTTGTTTTTGAGATGGAGTTTCCCTCTTGTTGCCCAGGCTGGAGTGCAGTGGCATGATCTCGGCTCACTGCAACCTCCACCTCCCAGGTTCAAGTGATTCTCCAGCCTCAGCCTTCCGAGTAGCTGGGATTACAGGTGCCCACCACCATGCCTGGCTAATTTTTTGTATTTTTAGTAGAGACGGGGTTTCGCCATGTTGGGTAGGCTGGTCTCGAACTCCTACACCTCAGGTGATCCGCCCTCCTCAGCCTCCCAAAGTGCTGGGATTACAGGTGTGAGCCACTGCACTTTTGGCTGGGCATTTTTTTATACACCTGTTGGCCATTTGTATGTATTCTTTTGAGAAATGTCTATTCAGATCCTTTGCCAACTTGTTAATAGGATTATTTGGTTTTCTTGTCTTTGAGTTGAGTTCCTTGTACATTCTAGATATTAGTCCCTTGTTGGATGAATAGTTTGCAAATATTTTCTCCCAATCTACAGGTTGTCTCTTCATTCTGCTGATTGTTTTCTTTGTTGGGCAGTAGCTCCTTAGTTTAATATATTCCCATTTGTCTATTGTTTGTTTTTGTTATCCATGCTTTCGAGGTCTTAACCATAAAATCTTTGCCTGTATCAATGTCCTTAAGCTTTCTTGTTTTCTTGTAGCTTCTTGTCTTATGTTTTCTTCAAGTAGTTTTACAGTTTCAGACCTTACATTTAAGTCTTTAATCCATTCTGAGCTGACTTTTGCATAAAGTGAGAAATAGGGGTCTAGTTTCATTCTTCTGCTTATGGACATCCAGCTTTCCCAGCATCATTTATTAAAGAGATTGTCCTTTCACCAGTGTATGCTCTTGGCACCTTTACTGAAACAGTTGGCTGTAAATACATGGATTTATTTCTGAGTTCTCTATTCTGTCCCAGTGGTCTGTCTGTTTTTATACCAATACCTTGCTGAATTGGTTACTACAGCTTTGTAATATATTTTCAAGTCAAGTAGTGTGATGCCCCCAGCTTTGTTCTTTTTGATCAGGATTGCTTTGGCTACTCAGGGTCTTTTGTGGTTCCGTAAAAATTTTAGGATTGTTTTTTCTATTTCTGTGAACAATGTTGATGGTATTTTTATGGGGATTACATTTAATCTGTAGATTGCTTTGGGTAATATGGTCATTTCAACAACAGTAATTCTTCCAATCCATGAACAGGGGATGTCTTCCCATTTGTTTGTGTCCTCCAATTTTTTTTTAATCACTGTTACAGTTTCCCTTATAGAGGTCTTCCACCTCCTTGGTTAAATTTATAACTAGGTTTTGTGTGATTGTCTTGGTAGCTTTGTAAGTGGGATTGCTTTATTTTTCCATTCTTTTGTTATTGGTGTATGGAAACACTACTGATTTTTGTATGTTGATTTTGTATCCTGCAACTTTATTGAATTTGTGTTATCAGTTCTAAAAGTTTTTTTGTAGAGCCTTCATGTTTTTCTACATATGAGATCATGTTGTCTGCAAAGAGGGACAATCTGACTTCCTCTTTTCCAATCTGGATGCCTTTTTTTTCTTTCTCTTGCCTGAATGCTCCGGTTGGGATTTCCAGTACTACGCTGAATACGAGTTGTGAGAGTGGGTAACCTTGCCTTATTCCAATTCTTAGAGAAAAGGCTTTCAGCTTTTCCCCACTTAGTATAACGTTAGCTGTGGGTTTGTCATGGATGGCCCTTATTAATGTTGAAGTATGCTCCTTTTATGCCTAATTTGTTGAGAGGTTTTATCATGAAAAGATGTTGAATTTTATCAAATGCTTTTTCTGCATCTATTGAAATTATCAAGATATTTGTCCACTCTATTGATGCAATGTATCACATTTATTGATTTGCATAGGTTGAACATGAACATATTTGAATATGCATCCCTAGGATAAACCCCAATTAATCATGGTGTGTTATCTTTTTGATTGTTGCTGGATTGTTTGGATTGTCTATCAGTATTTTGTTGAGGATTTTTGCATGTATGTTCATCAGGACTATTGGCCTGTAGTTTTCTTTTGTTGTTGTTGTTGTATTCTTATCTGGATTTGGTATTGGGATAATGCTGGCCTTGTAGAGTGAGTTAGGAAGAATTCCCTCCTCTTTAATTTTTTGGAATAGTTTGAGAAAAACTGGTGTTAGTTCTTCTTCTTAAGTTTGGTAAAATTCAGCAGGTAGAATTGAGAGGAAAGCCATCTGGTCCTAGGCTTTTCTCTTTTTGGAAACTTTTTATTTCTGATTCAATTGTGTTACTCATTATTGGGTGTTCAGGTATTGTTTCTTCCTGATTCAATTTTGGTAGGTTGTACGTGTCCAGTAATGTATCCATTTCCTCTGGTTTTCCAATTTGTTAGCATACAGTTGTTCATAATAGTTGCTGACGATCCTTTGTACTTCTGTGGTATCAGTTGTAATGTCTCCTTTTTCATTTCTAATTTATTTGGGTCTTCTCTCTTTTTTCTTGGTTTGCCTCGCTAGCAGTTTATCAATTTTGTCTTTTTAAAAAACTTTTCATTTTGTTGATTCTTTGTATTTTTTCAGTTTCTATTTTATTTCTGCTCCTGCCTTTATTATTTCTTTCTTTCTACTAATTTGAGGATTTAGTTTGTTCTTAACTTTTCTAGTTCCCTGAGGTGCAGCATTAGGTAGTTTATGTGATATCTTTCTACTTTTTTAATGGAGGCACTTATTGGCTGTAAACTTCCCTCTTAACTCTGCTTTTGCTATATCCCATTTGTTGTAAGAAATTTTTTTTATTTCATTCTTAGTATCTTCATTGACCCAGTGATTGTTCGGGAGCATGCTGTTTAATTTCCTTGTATTTATATAGTTTCCAAAGTTCCTCTTCTTCTGGATATCTAGTTTTATTCCATTTTGGTCTAAGAAAATACATGATATGATTTTGGTTTTAAAAAATTTGTTGAGACTTGTTTGGTCTATCCTAGAGAATGATCCATGTGCTGATGAGAAGAATGTGTATTCTCTGGCTGCTGGATAAAATGTTCTGTAAATACCAGTCAGGTCCATTTGGTGTAAAGTGTGGTTTAAATCCACAGTTTTTGCTGATTTTCTGCACAGCTGACCTGCCCAATTCTGAGCGTGAAGTGTTGAAGTCCCCAACTATTACCATATTGGAGTTGTTCTCTCCCTTTAGATCTAATAACATTTGCTTTATGTATCTGGGTGCTCCTATATTGGGTGCGTATATATTTACCATTGTTATATCCTCTTGCTGTACTGATCCCTTTATCACTATGTAATGACCCATGTTATCTCTTTTTGCAGTTTTCGACTTAATGTCCACTTTATCTAATAGAAGTATAGTACTCCTAATCACTTTTGGTTTCCATTTGCATAAAATATCTTGTTCCATCCCTTCACTTTCGGTCTATATGTCTTCATAGGTGAAGTAAGTTTCTTGTAGGCAGTATATAATTGGGTCTTAAAAAAAATCAGTTTATCTACATATTTTAAGTGTGGAATTTAATCTGATTCAAGATTATTATTGACAGCTGAAGACTTATCCTGTATTTTGTTAACCTTCTGGTTGTTTTGTGTATCCTTGTTCCTTTCTTCCTCTCTCATTGGTTGTCACTGCAGTTTGGTAATTTCCTGTGGTAATATTTGGGTCCTTTCTCTTTTTCATTTGTATGTCTGCTCTTCTAGTGAGTTTTATGTATTTGCATGTTTTCATGGCGGTACATATTGCCCTTTCACTTTCAGATTTAGAACTCCCTTAAGCATTTCTTGTAGGGCCATCTAGTGTTGATAAATTCCCTTGATTTTTTTCTTATCTGGGAAAGAATTTATTTATCTTTCATTCTAAAAAGACAGCTTTGTTAGGTGTAGTATTCTTGGCCAGTAGTTTCATTCTTCCAGTATTTTGAATATATCATCCCATTCTCTCCTGGCCTATAAGATTTCTGCTGTTAGTCTGATGGGGCTTCCCTTATATTGTGATTCACTGCTTTCCTCCTGCTATTTTTAGAATTCTCTGTCTTTGTGACAGTTTGACTATAATGTGCCATGGAGAACACCTTATGGACTGAATCTATTTTGAAATCTTTTAGTTTTCTAAATCTGTATGTCTGTATCTTTTGTAAGATTCGAAAACTTTTCAGTTATTATTTCAGTAATAATTCTATGCCTTTGCCCCTCTATTCTTCTGGAATACCCAACACTCAAATATTTGGTCACATTATGGTGTCCCTCCCATATGTCACATATGCTTTCTTATTTTTTTGTATGACAATTATTTCAAAAGATCTGTCTTCAAATTCAGATGTCCTTTCTTCTGCTTGATCTAGTCTATAGTTAAAAGCACTCACAGTTGTAGTTTTTTTTTGTTTTTTTTTTTTTGAAACAGGTTCTCACTCTGTTGCCCAGACTGGAGTGCAGTGGCATGATCACAGTTCAAGAGACAGGGGTCTCACCATGTTGCCCAGGCTGATCTCAAACTCCTGGGTTCAAGCGATCCTCCCGCCTTGGTCTCCCAAAATGCTGGGATTGATTACAGGCATGAGCCACCATGACCACCTCAATTATAGCTTTTATTTCATTAGTTGAATTCTTCAGTTCTACAATTTCTGTTTCTTGTTTATGTTATCTGTTAAATTTCTCATTCAGATCATGAATTATTTTTCTGATTTCTTTACATTGTGTACCCTTGTATTTCACTGAGCTTCTTTAATATTATTTTGAACTGTTTCTCAGGCATTTTTCTTTTTTTCCACTGGACTCTTTCTGGAGAATTAATATGCTCTGCACTGCTGGGTCCAGCTGGCATTGTGATGCTGCAGCCCTCTGGATGGACACAGGAACATGTCATCAGAGCACTACGGATATGGAGATTCAAGGGCAATTGGGCGCCAGAGAAAGATGTGGTCTAATAGGGGCTGGACTGTCAAAATGGCACCCTGCTGCAGCTCATTGGGTCTCGGACAAGGGGGCTCCAGGCAGCTCCCTATTTTCCTATTCTAGTATCAGGGCCCATGAAGGCCAAGAAGCTCTCCTGAGGCCAGATTACAGGAGTCCATGGTGGGAACACAGATCACTGGGGATCTGTCTCTTACCTGTTCTCCACACTGGGGACTTTCTCCCGGCTCCAAGCCAATCCCAGCCAGGCCAGCTGTTCACTTCCCTCTCTTCCTGTGCCTCAGAGGTTCCTCATCCTTTCCGTGTTTAATTTCAGTGTTCTCTCTTAAATGCTGCATTCAAAATGTGATTATCTACTGGCTGTTTTGGTCCACCTTTGTGGAGAAGGTGAATGTTGGGGTCCTCTAGTCACCCATCTTTAAGCCTCCTTAATTTCACCTCTCTCCATTAAAATTTTATTTTATTTTATTATTATTTTTTTTTTGAGACACAGTTTTGTTCTGTCACCCAGGCTGGAGTGCAGTGGCGGGATCTTGGTTCACCGCAAACTCTGCCTCCCAGGTTCCAGTGATACTCGTGCCTCAGCTTCTCAAGGAGCTGGGATTACAGAAGCCTGCCACCACACCTGACAAATTTTTTGTTGTTGTTGTTGTATTTTTAGTAGAGACAGGGTTTCACCATGTTGGTCAGGCTGGACTTGAACTCCTGACCTCAAGTGATCTGCTTGCCTCAGTCTCACAAAGTGCTGGAATTACAGGGGTTAACCACTGTGCTCCGCCTCTCCGTTAAAATCTTATGGGACAACTTTTGTATATGTGGTCTACTGTTGACTGCAACATTGTTATGAAGTGCATGAGCATATATTGTTAAGTGGTGAGAAAAAAAAAGTAAGATGCAAAAGAGTATGTTAAGGTATGCTGCCAAATGCAAAAAAAAAAAAGGGGGGGGGGACAGGAGAAATGTATACATAAAGTGATCATTTGTATACACATACAATCATTTCAAAAGGTACAAAAGAAACATACAGCTCACCGGCTGCCTCCCAGAGGGGAGCCAAGTAGCTAGGGAATAAGACTTAGAATAATACTTTTCACAGAATTCTCGTTTTTGTACTTTTTGAATTTTACACAGTGATGAATACATTACCTATTCAGAAAAGTGTTTTTAACTTTTAAAAATATTATATGGGTAATACAAAACAAATACTATCTTGAAGGAAGTGGCAAATGGTACTTTTCAGCTGAGGTATCAAGCATTTCTAGAATACATCTGATACCCTATTTTCTCCTTTTCATCTAGAGGCTATAAATTTTGAGAGGATAAAGAGAGCTGAATAATTTTTTTAATCAACCTAATTTCTATCATCCCCCTTCTAGTTCAAACATGATGGTTTCAATTATAAAAACACTCTATGGGCATCGTTAGAAAGTGCTGCAAGCTGGATCCAAAGATGAATAATACCTATGATTTGATAAATGGTTTCACAGATCTATGAAATAAATATTGAAGGAGCATTCACTTTTTTTTTTTTTTTTTTTTTTTTTTTTTGGAGACGGAGTCTAGCTCTGTCGCCCAGGCTGAAGTGCAGTGGTGTGATCTTGGCTCACCGCAACCTCCACCTCCCGGGTTCAAGCAATTCTCCCTGCCTCAGCCTCCCAAGTAGCTGGGATTACAGACACCCATCATCACAACTGGCTAATTTTTGTATTTTTAGTAGAGATAGGGTTTTGTCATGTTGGCCAGGCTGGTCTTGAACTCCTGACCTCAGGTGATCCACCCACCTCAGCCTCCCAAAGTCCTAGGATTACAGGCGTGAGCCACCATGCCTGGTCGTACTTTTTTTTTTTTTGAGACGGAGTCTCACTCTATCGCCCAGGCTAGAATGCAGTGGCCCGATCTCAGCTCACTGCAAGCTTCACCTCCCGGGTTCACGCCGTTCTCCTGCCTCAGCCTCCCGAGTAGCTGGGACTACAGGCGCCTGCCACCATGCCTGGCTAATTTTCTGTATTTTTAGTAGAGACAGGGTTTTGCCGTGTTAGCCAGGAGTACTTGTTTTTTAATGCTTGTCATTTTCATGAACTGTAGTCTTGCACAACAGGCAGCTTGATGTGGCTCAAGGAGTACTAAGATTGAACAGACCTAGGCTCTAGTTCCATTTATTACCTTAACTATATAATTCTGACTAAGTAAAACTTGGCAATCATAGCACCTGGACTGCCTATCTTTTGTACCTATGTACAAAATTGTTATATCAAAAAATATATGTATGTGAAAGCAAAATTCTTCAATATCTGAAATATTTCAATATTACCATCCATATAAAGTTTTAGGGGAACAGATTTTATTTCCCTTTTTCCTTCTTCTCTAGGTTTGTCCCGATTGGCTAAAGTTATGAGAAACAAAACTGTATTTTTATCAGTCTTCTTTCAAAGTTAATAAATTATGAAGACAACCCATTTGCAAAGCAATCAAAGAGAGCAAAAGGTGAGTTTTTATTTTACTAAAAATTATATAAAGTCTCAAAAAGACAAAAGCAAATATTCAGTAGCAAATTAATAGTTGGAGCTTACACAGCACATTAACGAATGCCACGTTACTCTTACAATGGAGGGCTAATGAGAACAGGAAGTGGGATGGCATCAACAAGAGCAAAAAGAGCCAATACACAGTGAGGCTAAAAAAGTGACAACAGTTGTGGCTGGCACACTGGCTGCCTTCAGCCTTCCTAATGATATGCTTTCTCAATGGTCTAATGCTTATTTAAAACCTTGGCTTTTTTTTTTTTTTTTTTTTTTTTTGAGATGGAGTCTTGCTCTGTTGCCCAGGCTGGAGTGCAGTGGTGGTCATCTCAGCTCACGGCAAACTCTGCCTCCCAGGTTCAAGTGATTCTTCTGCCTCAGCCTCCAAGTAGCTGGGATTACAGGCACCTACCACCACACTCGGCTAATTTTTGTATTTTTAGTAGAGACGTTCACCATGTTGGCCAGGGTGGTCTCGAACTCCTGACCTCATGATCTGCCTGTCTCGGCCTCCCAAAGTGCTGGGATTACAGGCGTGAGCCACTGTGCCTGGCCAAACCTTGGCTATTCTTACTCAATAAGAGTAATGTGTTTACCTCTGTCACCACTGATGTGTTCCTGGCCCTGTGGAATAATTTTCAGACAAAACAAATCCTTTTTTCTGCTTTAAAAGGCAGTAAGTAAAAAGATGTATCCTGCTGGCTTGGAAGTTACCCTATCACACCATAACCATCTACTCAAAGTGTGATATCAAGTATGAAAACTGCTTTAAAAATACAGAAGCATATAAAATGCAATGTTTGCTGGGAAGGGTGATGTCTTCGAAACCGAGAGCTAAGTTAGACATGTGATTTTTAAAATTCATATCCAATTAAACAGTTACTATGTGCATACAATGTTTTGCTTCTAGGCCTTTGTACATGCTGTTCCCTTTTCAGGAACTACTCTCTTTCCCACCGCACCCATTTGCTTCCCCACTTCACTAACTTCACATGTGACTTCCTCTGAACAGACTTCCCTGACTTTTTCCACCCCCTCCTCTGTGTTTCCACAGTGCTCTATTTTACTTCATCAGAGCACTTATCACCATGTGTATTTATTACAGAGACGATGTCTGCTTTACCTACTCTGTCACTCCTAATCACTGTGCCGGCCCCTGGAAGATGCTTAATACATATGAAACAACCCAAACAAAACAGTTAAAAATTTTTTAATTAAAAAAATTAAAAATAAACAAAACAATCAGATACTGCCAGATAGATGGAAATACAAAGACGAAAAACAAGAACCTAAATTCACTAATAGGAGACAGGCTAAAAAAGTACTATGTAAAATGGTCTATGATGCAAGTGTGTACGGACATATGCAGCATGGAGATTAAGACAGGTCTTGAAGTCAGCCTGGGAGCAGGGTGGGTGATAAGGAGGAAGAAACAGAAAGAAACTTGACTAAACTAAGTCTGCAAGGTTGAAGAGCTAATTTATGAGGAAGAAAAAATGGATAACAATCATTCCAGACAGGAGAAAAATATAGGGGCAAGGGAAAACAAGATAGATCTGAGGAACTGCAGGGAGACTGATGCAGTACAATGGCTCTCGAACTCAAGCGTGCATCAGAATCGCCTGGAGGACTTACTAACATACGGGTTGCAAAGCCCCAAATTCAGTTTCTGATTGAATAGGCCTGAAATATGGCTCAAGAATCTGCATTTTAAACAAGTTTTTGGGGGATACTATTGCTGGTGCTGTCCTCTACATCCACACTTTGAGAACTGGTACAGTGGAACACAGAGGGCATTATGAAGAAGTGGCAATTGACAAGTTTGGAGCAACGCACGGGAATGGGTTACAACTCATATATACTATATCGCAGAATTTGGTACTGAAGGATTTTAAGCAGAGAAGTTTAATTTTAGAAAGATGGTAATAACAGTTAACATTTATGGAGCACTTATGTGCTAAACACTATTTCTAAGGACTTTACATATTCTGTACTGTCCATTATAGCAGCTACTAGCCACATGTGGCTATTTCAATTAAATTATAACTAAATAAAATTTAAAATTCAGCTCCTCACTCAACTGGCCATATTGCAAGAGCTCAATAGCTACACATGGCTCTGGCTATCACAGAGGGCAGTACAGATATAGAACATTTCCATCATTGCACAAAGTTCTGTCAGCCCAGATGTATATTAACTCATTAAATTCTCACAACTTCACTATGAGATAAGCACTGTATTATCCCCATTTTATAGAAGAAAATGTGGCAAAGAATGGTTAAGCAAATTACCCAAGGTCATAAAGCAAGTAGTCCCAGTGTGGGATAGAAAGCCCAGATGGTCTGGTCTTTGCGCTTGTGTTCTTAATCATTTCTTAGTAAGATCATTTTGGCAATAATGTGGACTAGACGAAGATGATACTGGAGGAAGGAAAATCAATGAAGAAACTACTAAGGTAATCAGGAGAGAAATGATGAGGACCTGCTCTAACAGAGGACCTCGAATACAGAAGAGGTTAAATAAGAGATGTTAAAAAGTGTAAGAGAGAAGACATGGGATGGAATAGAACTGAATCCAAAAGACAGACAAGTGAGGTATGGAAGATGACACCAAAGTTTCCATTTTAAGCATCAGAATCGATGGCAATGGCTCTTACCACTGTAAGAAATGACAGCCGGTTAAAGGAAGTTGATAAATTCCATCTGAGCCATTGTGAATCTGAAGAGACTGACATAAAATACTACACAATGGAATATACAAGTCCAGAGATCAGAAGAGAGCTCTCAAATTAAGATATGAAATTAGAGTCATCAGTAAAGAACACAGAGGTCTAGAAATAACTCAGGAAAGTTATCTCTAGATAACTCTCTAGAAAACAGTAAGAAATGAGTGAAGAACAGAACCTTAGGGAATCCAACATCTAGATACAGGCAAAAGATAAAACGCCAATAAACTGAAAAGGAATTACCAGAAAGATGGGAGGAAGGGGGAGACATCTAAGAATTATCCCAGAGGAAAGGGAAGAATGGTCAACAAATGCTAAATGCAGCTGAGAACTCAGGTAAAATAAGACTGAAAACTGTCCACAAGAGCAGTTTCAAATAGTGCTGCTCTAGGGCCAAAAGCCAGATTGCAGCAGACGTGGAATGAATATAGACTTTTTTCAAGAAGTTTAAAAATGAATGGAAACAGACAGGGTATACATAGAAAGAAGGATCTGCAGTGGTTTTTTGGTTGTTTTTACTCTAACGGGAGAGTCTTCTGCCTGCTAAGGACTAAAAAGTGAGCGAGAAAGATGATAGAGTCAAAAAATGGGACTATTTTTGATGGCACACGGCCCCTGAGGTAGCAGAGAATGGGGTCCTGAAAAAGAATGGAGAGATGAGCCTTTCACACTTCTTTCACTGTCCTATGACAAGGTAGCAAAGCGGGCAGAAATAAGCACAGATGTATTTAGGATGGCATGAGAGGGGTATAAACTCAATGAGCTCAATTGGACAGATTCCATTATCTCTATGATGTAGCATATGGGAGTATCTACTGAAAATGAGAAAAAAAGGTGGGAAGAAATACTGAATTTCTGCAGACAGAACAGACTATACACAGACATACATCTTCAAGCAGAGGGCAGAGCTCAGATTGGAGGCCACAAATTTGTAAGTGGCATCCCACCACATGGTCATGAGATTTTCCCCAAAGTTAAAGCAGAGAGGTTGGGCACGATGGCTCATGCCTGTAATCCCAGCACTTTGGGAGGCCAAGGTGGGCAGATCACCTGAGGTCAGGAGTTCAAGACCAGCCTAGCCAACATGATGAAACCCCGTCTCCACTAAAAAAATACAAAAATTAGCCAGGGGTGGTAGCAGGCACCTGTAATCCCAGCTGCTTGGGAGGCTGAGGCAGAAGAATCGCTTGAACCCAGGAGATGGAGGTTGCAGTGAGCAGAGATCGCACCACTGCACTCCAGCCTGGGTGACAGAGCAAGACTCCAACTCAAAAAAAAAAGGAGAAGGTGGTAAATGGCTGGAGTTTGCCAACATGATGCAGGAGTAGTGAGTGAGTGAGAATGTGCCATAAGGCCAAGCAATGAGAACAGCATTAGAGTGATGGCAGGGCACCTGTCGGAATCATGCAGGTAACTTTCTCGCAACTATATACCACACAAGATCTTCTTGAGATAAAGCAGTGAGGGTAAGGAGAAAGAAAGGTGGAAGATTAGAGTAGTTATAGCCAGGGAGGACAATAAAACAGAATGTACATTTCCAGAAGTACACTGTCCTGGGTCCAAAGTGTGTTCATGAGGGTGTGTGTGAAGCATGCTATTTCATCATTTGTTTGAATGTCAATTATGAGGTTAAAAAGTACCTGCTTCTTCTGTCTTCTGACTCTCTTAGCCAGTCCCCACTACAGAGATGTTGGTTCTAAGCATTAGAGCAATGGTTCTCAACCCCAGCTGCACATCAGATAAACATTCTTAAAAAAATAAAAAATAAAAAAAACTGAAACCTGGGCCTCACTACTAGTCAAATTTAATTAGTTTGGTATTTATTTTTTAAGCTTCCTCAGGTAATGCTAAAGTGAATTTAGTGCCAAGTACCACTGCTTTCCAAAGAATAAGGCTTTGGATTTATGTTACAGAATTAAAGAAAAACTGAGTGGCATGGAAAAAAGTAAGGCAGGAAAATGGTGAAAGAGGGTTTAAATAGTAAGTTAGATATTTAAAGATGCCCTGAATAGAAAAATTGGGAAACTATTAAAGTACAGAATCACACTCCACACACAAAAATAGTAATAATGTTTCTGAGAGTTCTGTTAAAGGTTCTAGAAAACTCAGGAGTTAAATGCTTCACTGTACCCAATGACTAAGAAAAAAGGAACCTAGACTTTACTAAGCTCAAAGAATTAAAAACCAACACTTAGCAGCTCTTCAGGTCAACTACAGTTCACAATTCCCTGGAGGAAAACGCAGCCCATAGTACAAGTCTGACAACACCTCTAGATCTGCGGAATCACCTATTCTACATAAAAGGTAAACGGCAAAAGAAGCAACTATCTTCTTTAACACATTGAAAGCTTTTTTTTTTTTTTTGGCTGCCAGATTTTATTTCCACACCAGTTATCTTCTTCTTAACAAGTTACACCTATAATCTTAAAATCGCCCAGTTATTTTACAAACATCTGTCCTCAATCTTAATCTTTATTTGCCACTATCCTAATGTACTTGCTAAGTTTTACAGCAAAGCAGAAGTGATGCAGAGATGAAGTGTTAGTCATAAAGACCAATAAAGACAAAAAATGATGTGCTGTCTGCGGTCTTCCCCACACGGTCTGTTTACAAGTAACATTACAAATCTCTCAAGCTCCTCCCAGACACTATGTTTA
This sequence comes from Homo sapiens, assembly GCF_000001405.40. NCBI lineage: Eukaryota > Metazoa > Chordata > Mammalia > Primates > Hominidae > Homo > Homo sapiens. The sequence goes on from NC_000008.11 coordinate 42,038,000, forward strand.
TAGAAGTGCTAGACTATACACTTTTGGTCCACCCATATTTAATGTCTTTGGTAAAAATTACTTCATTAATTAATAGAAAGGTTTGTACCTTGCTATCTCTAGCTCAGTCTCAAGAATTTTAAATTCTAACCAATGATCCAAGTCACTCAGAGGTCATTTGTGTTGCAGACCTACTGAAAATTAGACTTACCTTTAAATGGACTTTTTTTCCCAAAACTCAAGGAGTACTTTTTCTTCCAGCATTAAGGTAGCTCAACATGTTCCCCTTCTAATATTTAGCCAACAACATAAGAAAACCTTGATTCCTCTAACTTGGGCCATAAGAAAGCAGTCTTTTCCCAAAAAGTTGTTTCAAAACTCTAACAAGAGTGTATAGCTATTTTCACACACTGAAATAGCAGATTTATATATTTGTGGTTTACGATACCACCAATATTCTCTAGACAAGGTTTATTCTATGGTTTCCATTAAGGAAGAGAATTCTAACTAAATTATTTTAGGCTCACTGCTCTCTAATACTATAAAGCAGTACTACAGCATAATGAAAAAAGCACAAAATTGAGAAGGGCCTGACCAATTCTTCCAGATGGTATTAACTGGCTGTGTGGCACTGGACAAGACACTTCAACCTCTTTGGCTCTCAAATTTCCCTATTATTTGTGAAATCAGATTAGAATCACTGTGATCCAAGATTGCTACTGGCTGAACATTCTACACAATGCAGAAGATACAAGTCTTTTTTTCTAATAATCTATGTTTCGTAAGCATAATACAATTCAACCATAAAAGATACCTCAATCAACACTACAGCCAGACTTACTTTTCCTTAGCAGTCTTTTTTTTTCTTTAAATTGCTGACAGTTAAAAACTATTTTGACCCAGAATGGCATACTACTATAATCTCTATGCTTAATTTCAACTCCTAATAAAATAGTGCCACACTACAAATGGTTTCTTCACCTGTTCCCTAATGAAGTTGAAAATAATTCCTTGGCCTTGAATTTACAGATACATGTACAGGGCTGATGAAAGCCATCTGCTGGGAACTATGACTTTCATATGAAAGGAAAAAACCAGAAGGAACTGCTTTCATTTTCCTGGGAACCAGCTGCAGCTGAATGAGTCCTAATCCTGCTCCAGCTGGGACAAGCAGAAGGGTGAAGTTACTCCTGGTCTAATTCATTCGCTGCAGATCCTTTGTGAAATGACTCCACCCCTGAGTAGCCAAGTGGTAAATAACTTTATCAGAGTGAAGCTCTTAATAATTCCTATACATAAATCAGAGCATGAAAAGTATTCATTATTATAATTTTAAGAAACACTCTCCAGGTCACCAGAAAAAAATAAATTTTTAATTCTATTTAAACCAGCAAACTCCGCACCTAGATTTAGTCCTCTTACATAGCTAAGAACCAAGTCAGTATGACAAAGATATTTTCTCCAAAACTTTAAATGCAAAGAGAAAATAAATCTAATAGATGTTAAGGAGATTCTTACAGCTTCAGGAAGACTGAATGATATAAATTTTCTTTCCAGATTCATCACAGTTCCTGTTATGTATTTGCTCTCCTAGTATTAAACATAACAAAAAAGTATTGGCCCACAAGTCCAGGATGAACTAAAGAAAAAACAGGCAGCAAGGGTAAAAAGAAATTTAATGTATTTTGCATTTCCTTATATTCATTTTCCATTTGGTTTTCTATAAGACATAATGAAAACTTGTATTATTATTATTAATTTTTGTTTTTTTTTGAGACGGAGTCTCACTCTGTCACCCAGGCTGGAGTGCAGTAGCGCAATCTCGGCTCACTGCAAGCTCCACCTCCCGGGTTCACGCCATTCTCCTGCCTTAGCCTCCCAAGTAGCTGGGACTACAGGCGCCCACCACAATGCCTGGCTAATATTTTTTTTTTTTCTTTTGTATTTTTTAGTGGAGACGGGCTTTCACCACGTTAGCCAGGATGGTCTCGATCTCCTGACCTCGAGATCCGCCTGCCTCGGCTTCCCAAAGTGCTGGGATTATAGGCGTGAGCCACCGCGCCCTGCCGAAAATTTGTATGATTAAATACTATTAAATACCTATTATATAAATATATTATGCCTATAAAATTTAATCATATAGAATTCTTTTGAGACTTCAATAAGAAAGTACATGTTAAAACACTTAAAAAAAAAAGTCCCTAACACATCATCAGCCCTTAACAAATGTTAGCTATTAATAGGTTTCTATAAGCAACTCTTTACGTTCCCTTAGCCTATTGATACAGAGCAAAGAAAAAACGAGGTTAAGACCATTAGAACCTCTGGATTTCTATTCCTGAAGCCATTTGTGGTACCCGATGTCTTCATTAATTCCTTCCCTTTATTTCACCAATTGGAAGGTAGACCAAGAAAGAGTAAAGTACTTATTCGCTAGAAAAATGTCTAGGTTGTAAGCATAAGAAAAATTGGTGGCTGGGCATGGTGGCTCACACCTGTAATCCCAGCACTTTGGGAGGCCAAGGCGGGTGGATCACCTGAGGTCAGGAGTTCGAGACCAGCCTGGCCAACGTGGCAAAACCCTGTCTCTACTAAAAATACAAAAAATTAGCCAGGCGTGGTGGCGGGTGCATGTAAACCCAGCTACTCGGGAGGCTGAGGCAGGAGAATCGCCTGAACCCAGGAGGCGGAGGCTGCAGTGAGCCGAGATCGCACCATTGCACTCCAGCCTAAGTGACAAGAGCAAGACTCTGTCTCAAAAAAAAAAAAAAAAAAAAAAAAAGAAAGAAAGAAAGAAAAGAAAAATTGGTTTGGTATAGAACTTTGGATTAGTAATGGCTAACCCAAGCTTTAGTAGCTCAGTAGCTTTATTTCGAGGTATGTCATGCACTGAAAATTACCAAAAATCATTGTGCTCATAGGTGAACCAGAAGATCAAAAAAATCTGCACAGTTGGCCAGGTACAGTGGCTCACACCTATAATCCCAGCACTTTGGGAAGCCAATCAGGAGTTTGAGATTCGTCTGGCCAACACAGTGAAGCCCCATCTTTACTAAAAATACAAAAATTAGCCAGGCATGGTGGCGCATGCCTGTAATCCCAGCTATTTGGGAGACTGAGGCAGGAGAATCACTTGAACCTGGGAGGCAGAGGTTGCAGTGAGCCAAGGTTGCGCCACTGCACTCCAGTCTGGGCAAGAGTGAGATTCCGTCTCAAAAAAAAAAAAAAAAAAAAACTGTGCAGCTGATTGTACTTAAACAGATACTATTTTACAAACATATCTCTGAGTTATTTTTAAATTTCTGAATTTTTGAAGAATAAATCTGCTAAGACAAAATTAATTCCTAACCAGATTTACAATTAATCCACCTCAATGACTTGTTAGTAACAAATTTTTATTTCTAGGCCACTGCTCCTGGTACATTTGGAGTCACAAACAAATGGTATAAACAATGATGTCAGAAATGTACGGCATGGGCCGGGCATGGTGGCTGACGCCTGTAATCCTAGCACTTTGGGAGGCGGAGGTGGGCGGATCACCTGAGGTCAGGAGTTCGAGAACACAACTGGCCAACATGGTGAAACCCCATTTCTATTAAAAATACAAAAATTAGGTAGGTATGGTGGCACACGCCTGTAATCGCAGACAGCAGGAGGGGAGAGGCAGTAGAATTGCTTCAACCTGGAAGGCGGAGGTTGCAGTGAGCTGAAACTGGGCCACCGCACTCCAGCCTAAGCAACAGAGCAAGACTCCATCTCAAAAAAAAAAAAGAAAAGAAATGCATGTCATAAAAAATGTTTAAATTATTAAATATAACAATTACTGAGATCAATCCATTTCACACTTGATAATAGCTACATTTTCCACGTCACTGTATCCTCAATATTTTATCTTTTGCCTTCAGAAGATTTTTTGTTTTTTTTGTTTTTCCAAAGTGAACAATCATTCTGTCAAGCAGTCCACATAGCCCTGAATTTAATAGCATGGACAACTATTTATTGCCTTTTTATACAGTATCAACGCAACAGAGTAATTGAAATTGAAATTTCCAAGCTTATATTGGTTAACAATTTTCTTATAAAATACCACCATTCTAACATATAAAATGTGCAACTATTCTACTATAAAGGTCATTTCCAAATAGCTAAATCAAAACTTCATCACTCTTAACTTTCAGTAACTTAAAAACATATCCCTGGCCGGGCACGGTGGCTCACGCCTATAATCCCAGCACTCTGGGAGGCCGAGGCAGGCGGATCATGAGGTCAGGAGTTCGAGACCAGCCTGGCCAACCTGGTGAAACCCCATCTCTACTAAAAATATAAAAATTAGCCGGGCATGGTGGCATGCGCCTATAATCCCAGCTTACTCGGGAGGCTGAGGCAGGAGAATCGCTTGAACCCAGGAGGTGGAGGTTGCACCACTGCACTCCAGCCTGGGCAACAAAGCAAGACTCCATCTCTCAAAAAAAAAAAAAAAATCCCCATTTTAATCAGTATCTCTACATCGAAAATTTAAATTCTAAATTCCTGTCAAAGCTCTACTTCCTCTATAATTTAAAATATAAATTCCAATAAAACAAAATAATTTGGACTCTACTAAGAGTTGACCAAATTGAGATGTAACTTAGAGTAGAAGGCAAGAGATTTATCATTGGATCTTTCTGCTCCAGGTTACCCAGCTGGGAGTAACCTGAACAATAACATTAGTTGACAATACCTACTCTTCCCTGTCCAACTGAACGCTTTAGCAAATTATAATTCTGTTCCAAAATACTATGCCACCAAATAACAATACTTTTAATGATCTGGCTGATTACCATGAAAGAGAATATTTTTCTGGGCTAGTAATACAGAACACAAACTATATATATTCAAGTAAATTATGTCAGTGTGTAAAAATGAACTCAGAAGTTTGAAATCAAGGTGAAAACTATTCTTGAAAGGAAATTGAATCTTTCCAAGACTCACTATATAAAGATAATTTTTTAAATGGACCATCACAGTCTCAAATAATTGCCTTGCCCACTAAACATATTATTATTTCTGAGTCATGATACTTAATTGTTATGAAAAAATAATAATGTAAAAAAATTACAGTTCATAAACTAAAAAAGGCTTTCAAAAAATTTATTTTGTATCTCTATTCTGTCTGCTTTAATCCCCTCACAGGACCTAAATCTTAAATCCACTGTTCATGGCAGGCATTCAAATGTTTGCTAAATAAATAATGAATAACTGAAGTAAATGGAACAAATTACCTTACAGTAATATCTATATTTCAAAAAGAAATTTACAAAGAGGAAGATGCTATTTAAGCCAGTTACACACTCTTCTCCTCACCTATAATCCCATGATTCAAGGAAAACAGTATTTCTGTCCCAAATTAAAGCACTCTGGTATAGCAATACAACTGATCCCTACCTTGCCTATCAGAAAATGTTAGTGACAACTGAAATGAAAATTAGTTAGCACAGAAATTATCTTTAAGGGAAAAAAATGGCATGTAGGTGAAACTTTTTTTTAATGGACCTCAGATATACAAAACTAGATTACTCCTAATCTTTGGTTCCTAACACATTCTTATCACTGGTCCAAAGTGAATTTTCAAATCTGTTCTGCAAAAAAAGAAAAATGGACACAATGAAGACGGGCGGGAATTTGTCCTTTAACAATTAGGAAATGTGCTATGAAGTTAACACCAAGGACATTCACGATTCTGTACTTGAGTGCAGTGATAGCCATCATACATTACTGCTCCTAAGAGGTGGTCAGTATGGCTATTACAAAGACTCTGGAGCCAGACTGCCCAAATTCAAATCCCAGCTCTGCCACCTAATATTTGTGTGACTTCAGCAAGTTACTGAAATCTCTTTTATGCCTCAGTTTCTTCACCTGTAAAATAACAGTAGCTATTTCACTGCTGGTACTGTTATGTTATTAATAACTAACTAACCTAACAGTAGCTAGTTATGTTAGAGGATTAAATGAGTTAATATATATACAGCATTAAAATAACGCCTGGCACATAGTAAATAAACACTTTAATAAATAAACTCACCATTAACTACCACACTCTAAAGTTAGCTCAAAAATTTCCCTTATAACATGGGTAAAAACTTTTTTTTTTTTTTTTTTTTGAGATGGAGTCTTGCTCTGTTGCCCAGGCTGGAGTGCAGTGGCACAATCTAGGCTCGCTACAACCTCCGCCTCCTGGGTTCAAGCGATTATCCTGCCTCAGCCTACCGAGTAGCTGGGATTACAGGCACCCACCATCATGCCGGGCTGATTTTTGTATTCTGTAGAGATGGGGTTTCACCATATTGGCCAGGCTGGTCCTGAACTCCTGACCTCAGGTGATCCACCCCCCCCTCGGCATCCCAAAGTGCTGGGATTACAGGCCTGAGCCACCAGGCCTGGCCTAAAAACTTTTAATCACAGTATCCCATGGATTCTCCTCAGTACTTATCAATGTGAAAAGAACACACTAAAGTTCCAATGTCTTCACAAAAACTCCTCTTAAACGTATTCCAACACAGTTGATCTCCCAAAAGGATCAAAACCACTCAGCTGCCGAAAATCTAACATACAGTTCCTTCCAAAGGTTAATATCACCAAAAAAAAACAAAAAGTTAGAATTGATACCAGAAAAAGTAAAGAGGAACTTGCTCGGGTTACTCCACGCAGTCTTTGAATTTCATCTTCACCTTACAGTTGGCCAGGTCAATAGAAATACCTGCATTAGCATCCCAGAGAAGACAGAACTGTTTCTGTTCCAAGCAGAGTGCCTGGCCCACAGTAGGTGCTCAATGACTATATGCTGAACCAATTAATTCCTAAAAGTGAAACTACTCCTGACCTATACACCTTCCTTTCTCCATCACTGTCAAATAAACTCTGGATAATTCTTTTCTTTTTTTGAGAACATCTAGGTTCGTAACAGCAAACTATCAATTCTGCATAGCAACTGACTGCGTAGTTCGAAGGAGAGGAAAGAAAATAGTTAAAATACAATAAAAGGAGCAGACATAATCTGTTCAAAGGAATAATCTCTCATCCTAGAGTTCACTGTATTACGATTTTTAATGTAAACTTTTCATATCTTTGGGGGAAGTCACACAGGAAATTCACTACTGAAAATAAGACTCCATTTAAAAATATAGAACAGAGCTCACCAACTCTAATTGAATAGATACTATCATGAAATTAGTTTTCCAATGAGATTAGTACATATACAAGTCTACCTGAAGAAACAAACTCTATTTTCCAACATGTCTAAATTTAGTTACTTCAGTTAACACTATAGGCAGGGTGGCTCATGCCTGTAATGCCAGCACTTTGGGAGGCCAAGGTGGGCGGATCACCTGAGGTTGGGAGTTCGAGATGAGCCTGACCAACAGGGAGAAACCCCGTCTCTACTAAAAATACAAAATTAGCCAGGCATGGTGGTCAGCATGCCTGTAATCCCAGCTACATGGGAGGCTGAGAAGGAAGAATTGCTTGAACCTGGGCAGCGGAGGCTGCAGTAAGCCAAGATCGTGCCACTGCACTCCAGCCTGGGCAACAAGAGCGAAATTCCATCTCAAAAAAAAAAAAAAAACAAAAAAACACTATATATGAAAGCTATGTAAGCAAATGGGCATTTCTTTTTCATTTTTTCAATTATTAAATCACTTTTGTTTTTCTTGCTTTATTTCTCCAAAATCAAATGTGGCCAGGTGCGGTGGATCATTCCTATAATCTTGGCACTTTGAGAGACCGAGGTGGGCAGGTCGCTTGAGGTCAGGAGTTGAGACCAGCCTAGCCAACATGGTGAAACCCTGTCTCTACTAAAAATACAAAAAAAAAAAAAAAAAAGTAGCCACACGTGGTGGCGCAAACCTATAATCCCAGCTACTCAGGAGGTTGAGGCAGAAGAATCGCTTGAACCCGGGAGGCGAAGGTTGCAGTGAGCTGAGATCACACCACTGCACTCCAGTCAAAGCAAAACAGCACATCTCTACTGAATTAAACTTTTCTTAATGCAAAGGTGCTATGAAATGGTCTCAACAAAGGTCCTTAGCTCAGCTGCAAAATAAGGACTTGGATTAGACGGTTCTCAGGGTCCCTTCCAAAAGTAAAATCTCAGGGTTCTAGGACTTGGATTTGTCTTGCACTGTACTATATTTACTACCTTTTAAAAATATGCTCAAATGACATTTTTATATAGCTAATATTTTTTAAAATTATCTATTGATAATTCAAGCAAGTGTAATTACAATAAAAGCAAACAACAGGCCAGGCACGGTGGCTCAAGCCTGTAATCCCAACACTTTGGGAGGCAGAGGCGGGTGGATCACTCGAGGTCAGGAGTTCGAGACCAGCCTGGCCAACAAGGTGAAACCCCGTCTCTACTAAAAATACAAAAATTAGCCGGGCGTGGTGGTGCATGTCTGTAATCCCAGCTACTTGGGAGGCTGAGGCAAGAGAATCGCTTGAACCTGGGAGGCGGAGGTTGCAGTGAGACTGCACCACTGCACTCCAGCCTGGGTGACAGAACGAGATTCTGTCTCAAAAATAAATAAATAAAAGCAAACAGGTGGCCTAACAGGAACTTATAACATCCAATTCACAGGTATGGCACTGAACTGATCTAACTATAAATTATTTCCTGTTTCCAGGCAGTTAACCTGTTAGATCATTTAATAATTGTAGAAATCCGATAACTGTATTTAAATTCAGCCACATGTGATAAAGTTTCTACAGGTAAGAGTTCTTACAGCACTTAAATATAGAATAAAGCATTTTAATTACTTGTCTACCCTGAATTTTTAATATATACTTTTAATAAATGCTCAAATTACATAGAGCCATTTTATGAATGAGATTCTCTATCAATTCATGACTGTATGAGAATCATTTCAAGGGTAATAACAGTAAGATTATGTTTTATTTCAATGTTCACAGGGAAAATTGAACCCTGAAATAGATCTCTAAAAATTTCATCAAAGAAAAATACCGTTAATTTTCAATTGTTAAAGAAAAATCTACAGGTATTCAGTGGGCTGCTAATAATACAACAAATTGAGATCAAATCTCCAATTTTCAAAATACATTCAATGTTAACTTTACCATCTTTCCACCCTAGGAGTATCCTCCATCATCTTAAGCAAAATGAAGATCATTTTACTTATGTCTACCAAGGTGTGCAGCAACTTAAAGCATCACTGCTCTCCAAGGAACTATAATTCAGAGCACCTTAAGTAAATTTACAGCTAAGATACTAGGTCAATGTAAAAAACAGGTACTAACAAAATTCTCCTAATCTCCAAATATCTATTTAAGCACCAAAATTTACTGTTTAAGAAGTCATAATTTCAACTATATACAATAACATCCTAAAACACAACAGAGTAAAGTACACATCTGGGCATCAAAACTCCCAACTCTCCAGAACTTTACCTTTCTTTTTGTTTTTAGAACAGGGTCTCAGTTGTCCAGGCTGGAGTGCAGTGGTGACAGCATAGCTCACTGGAGCCTCAGACACCTGTACTCAAGCAATCCTCCCCGACACAGCCTCCCAAGTAGCTAGGACTACAGGCGCGCCCATACCTGGCTAATTTTTCTATTTTTGGTGGACGTGGGGTCTCGCTATATTGCTCAGGCTGGGCTCAAACTCCTAGGCTCAAGACATCCTCCTGTCCCAGCCTCCCAAAGCGCTGGGATTACAGGCATGAACTACTGTTCCAGACCCTCCAGAACTTTTCTAGTTTAGGATACTGTATTCCTGTCCCATGCAACTACAGCTGTCATAAATAGCATTTAGGACTTCATCATATGCAAAGCCATAATACATGACAGAAAGCTATAATACAAACAGCAGAAACAAGAATTGCTAAGTTTGCTTAGTTGCGCCTATGGGTCATGAGAATCTGTCTCATTTCTGTCTAACGAGTAATCTGCAACAAAATGGAAAACAGAAAAATGTTCTCAGAGTCATCTGCTTGTTTCAAATTCAAGTCTCCATGATTTGGCTGCTCATCAACTTCCAGTAGTAAGGTGTTCTAAGAACCTTTAGTTAAAGTTTTAAAGTCTCACGCTGGAGTACTCCTCAAGCAAAATAATAAAAAAAAATTTAAAAAAAAGTTTTAAACTCATATGTCACTTTTTCATTGTAATGTAAATAAGTTCTTTTAGTCAGATTAACATTCTACATTTTTAATCTTAGGCTTCAAATATTTCAAAGTACCAGAACAAATCTATGAAGCTCTCATAGCTACAACTCACCAATAAAAAACCAGAGGTGATCACTCCACAGAAGTCCCCAAACAAAAAACTTGAATATAACTTCCCAGAAATGTGAATTTGTAGCATCCTATATCATCAGCTCTATAAACCCCGAAGCATATGCCATTCTTACCTTATCCTTTTCATGTGGAAGAAGGGACACTGGAGGTAAACAGGAAAGAGACTCACAACTCTCTTTCCCATCCACGTTGGTTGCTTTAGTGTTGAGCCGATAAAGAGGTCCATCTTTAAGGAGTCTGCCGTGGCCAATGGCACGTTTGATAGCCAATCGTAACTGCTGGTGAAAGCCAGAGGCAGCACTGCCTCCGAATAATGCAGACACATCCTTCTGACCTTTCAAAAAACGTTCAATGCTTTTCAAAGTTGAGCCACCAGACTCTGCCAAGCCCTCAACTGCCCGCTTTATCAGTTTATTCCAATCCACATTTTGTTTATTATCCAATTTTCCATGGTTCCGAGGCTTAGGAAGTGCTATTCGCCCAGGATTATCAGGATCTTTATAGGAATTGAGTCCTTTATTTGAGACTTTTAAAATTGTTCCATCTTTAACACTCAACTCCAATTGTTCTAAAACAGTTTTACGATCCAAGCCATGGGATGAAGACACAGCATTGCATATCCTTTCTTCTGAAGGACGCTGTTTCTGCTTTTTCACTTTTTTGATGGCCTCCAAAATCCACTCAGTATAAAGCGGGTTTGCGAGTTTTACCATGGTGAAGGATTCTGTATATCCATAGAGTCGTTATCCCTTATCCTGATGCTGAGTAAGTTTTACACCATGGAAAACAAGATTCTCGGAGGCTGGGAACCAGTTAACCATAGCATATGAGTTTTCTGGCCTAAGTCCTTCCTCCTTTCACAAAACAGAATGCCACCCCAATTGTACTATAGAAACCAAAACAACCTGTTGATTGAAATGTCTTCCAACTTCCCAATGAATTTCTCAATAGCACCACACATGGGTCTCGTCATAAAGTTGTAAGAACTCAAGAATATTTCATTCCCGGCTCCAGAGCAGAAAAATGTGCATCTTATGCCTGAAAAGCAATGAAAATAAGGTCAGTTTTCTACCAAGACCTATTTCGAATGAAAATAAGCATCCTCATCATAAAGCAATCAAACAGCAAGTGTTTACTAGGCACCCTTAAGAATTTCCAAACTTATCTATTAATATTCCAAAACAATCATGTATGTAAACCATTGGGATAAAAAAGAAAAAAAAAGAAAAGAAAAAAAAAAGATGAGTAATTAGGATACAATGAGGAAACACGATGACATGTTCTAAGAATGACCTTTAAGCTACCACTAACCAGAGTGGGTGATGGCTATTCTGTACTCCGCAATCTCTGCTCACCAGTCTAGGAATTTCAACTCTTCCTTGACATCTTTCCCCAAGAAACTAGTCAGCACTTCAACAAGTATCTGGATTAGTAGAAAGAATCCTGCAATGAAAGTAAAAGTGAATCTTTCATCTTTCAAAATTCTAGACATTCAGAGTAGACAAAAACAGTCAATAAGGCAGAAAACGACTGAGAAAATTTTAGTTCTTACATGAAAAGAATGAATACAATATGCACACCCAGTTTATAATTTAAGTACAGTATTACCTTAATCTCTCCTAATGGAAACAAAAATACTATTGAAAATAGCCTAGAGTAAAAGTGCTTACTGAATTTAACAATAATCCACTTTCATTCAAATTTTAAGAATTACATGCTGATAGCTTCTCCTAACCCAAACTAAGATGTTTCTATTCATATGCTGAAGAGAGTCACAACTGTCAAACTGCGTGTAAGTAATTCAGACAGGAAAACTAGAAATGAGGAAGGCCCAGAATCACTGGGGTCAACGCACATACTACATATCAAACGGACGGTACAGAAAAAGAAATACACTGGCTACTTGTAGGACTAAAGAGAAGCCCAAATAATAAAGATATAAATTCAAGATTGCTGTCCTGAAACGAACATTAATAAAACATAAACAGAAATGTACTGTCTCTCTGAATCAAAGTCAGTATCCCTATAAAAGAATCTGGTAGATGCAATCTTGTTTAATCACTAAAGTACTGAATTCTGAATCTAACTCTTTTGCCTCCAAAAATAAGTTTAACTGAAGTGTTTTTTAGAACTTCTGCTCTCATTCTGGAGATCATTTGCATTACAATATAAACAATGCTAGACAAATGGCTCCCACAGCAACTATTCTTGGTAGTGACATTAAAATCAAACGGAAAACTAATACACACTAGGAAAGAGATATTACTATTAACTCTGATAGGAAAGAAAAGAGTGAAGCAAACATTCAAACCTGAGCCAAGATTTGTTTTTAAATCAGCTGCCTAAAAAGAAGCCCCCTGGGAGAATCATGCTTCAATTTGGTGAGGGTCTCAAGAGGATAGAAATCAGAGTATCATTACTCCAAGTAAGCTCATTATACAGATATTAAGTCTAAACTAAATGAGAAGCTACATCCTGAGTTTAACAAGCTGGGAACGAACGTCCTAATTGACTAAGCTTCGCAGGTAAAAGAATGAGTGACAGTCACTCATTGTCTTTCCAGTCGGGATTGTCATCAGTCTCCAGGTCTTCGGAAAGTCAAGCGCCTGCAGCCTCGGATCTTAACTCCCGGAAAGTACACGAGCGGCTAGAGCGAGCGCAACTCGCTTCCGACAGTCCTTCCCGTCCCCATTCCCCACCCCTAAACACGTCTTCGCGCTCTCTTTTCAAAGAGCGAGAAACTTTAAAAACTTGGATCTGCACAGCCCGGCAGCTCGCCGACGGGGCGCTGCACCGTTTCCACGCGATGGAAACAGACCCCGAGCACAAGTTAACAATGAAATCACGTGAAGGAGTTCAGAGCGGTGCATAGCCCCGGCCCAGCTCCGCACCCTAAGCTCTGGGGGCCGGCTCGAGGGCGGCGCGGGTTGCTGGGAGCCTGACAGTCGCGCACCGGGCCAAGCCGCGAGGTTGACAGGCGCCCGGCCTCCCCTCGGCGGCTGGGCTGACAGCCCGGCAGACACAACACCACACGTGCTGCGCCTCGCACCACAACACCCGCCGGCCTGTCAGCCCCGCTCGCCGCCTCAGCCCCGCTCGGATCCCCGCGCCCCCGGCCGGAGCCAAAGCCGGAGCCGGAACCCGAGCCCGAGCCCGAACCCGAGCGCCCGCGAGCGCGGGGAGAAGCGGCCCGGCCCGGCACAGCCGGCACGCGCGCGGCGGGCGGGTGGGCGCGCCCCGAGGGAGAGCGGGCTCGCCGGCTCCGCCAGCCCGAGGCTCCGCGGCCTGGGCCGCTCGCCGCCCGCCCACCCGCCGGCTCCCCCAGGGCGGGCCCGGCCGGCGGGATCGGGGGCGCGGGGCCCGCGAGCGCGGGGCCGGGCGGCGGCGCGCGGGCCGCGGGCCGGGGCAGCCGGGCGCCGAACAAGCGAGCAAGCGAGCGAGCGAGCGGGCGGGCGCGAGGGGGCGGCCACGGCGCCCCAGCCCGAGGCCTGGCGCAGAGCAGCGGGAGGCGGCGCAGGCCGCGGCGGGGCCTGCAGCGGCCCGCCGACCCCGCGAGGCAGCGGAGTGGGCCCTGGAGCGGCTCGGCCTCGGGCTGGGCGGCCGGGGGCGGCCGGGAACGGCCCCTCGGCTACTTACCGGGAGGAAGGACAGCCGAGATCCCGGGGCCCCGGGCCGGACCGCGGAGATGCCCCAAACTGACACGGCCGCCATCTTGGAGACAGTGAGCTCCAGCCGGGGGGAGGGGAGGCAAGGCGGCGGAACAGCCGCGGGGGGAGGGGAGCGTCGCGAGGGAACGGCGGCCTGGGGGAGGGAGCTGGAAGAGCCTGGGCGGGCGGCGAGGGGAGGCGGAGGCCCGGCAGCGCGGGTGGGGGGCGGCCGAGAGCGGGAAGAGCTGGGCCGAGAGCCGGGAAAGGCCGGAGGGCGGGGCGGGGCAGCAGGGAAGAGCCGGCCGGCGGGGTCACGTGGGGCCGGTACAAAAGGCCAAAGCCAGGGGAGGAGGAGGACTTGGTGGGGCTGGAGGCTGGGGAGCGGGGGTTCCTCCTCTCCCGTCTCACGCGTTTAAGTCAGACGGCGACCCGGGAGAGGAGGAGCTGGTGCACCCCATGCCACCGCTGGGGAAACTGAGGGCAGGAGTCTGGGTGGGGTGGCTTCAGTGTGGCACGGAAATCCGGCAGCCACGCAGGATGGGAACTCTCGGCGGCGTCTGTTTACAGTTAGTGAGCCCTCCCTCCCCACTCATTTGCCTGCACAGCGACTTTCCGGAGCCCGAGGGCGGGGCCTGGGGGGCGGAGAGGAGGCGGCTTCCCGTCCTCACCCCTGGCAGCTCGCCTCAGCCCCCGACGGCTCTCCTGTGTCGGTGGGAAGAGTTGGGGAGAGGGTGGAACCAGAAGCACCCGTCTTAACCCCTTTCAGCAGTGACTTCATTTCTTCCCTCCCCCAGCAGCTGAGAGGGTTCTTGGAGCTCACTAGAGCCATTTTATGGGAGACTCCACAGACCTGGGTCGTGTGACTTGGACAAGGTCACACAGCTAGTATGTGGCGCGCACCTGAGCCTGGGACTGAGATTTGTCTTATTCCAAAGCCGGTCTTCCCTTCTTGCCCTGTGCGGAACTCTTGTCCATACTTAGGGCGTTGGAACCACGAGCAGGCGGTTCTTCATGGCCTGCCTGTCCACTACTGGCTGTATGGACGTTTCTTTGTCTTGCCTTTCATCTACTTTAAACTCTTTGATGCAGAGACTGAGTCATACTTTTTTTTTTTTTTTTGAGACAGTGTCGCTCTGTTGCCCAGGCTGGAGTGCAAGTGGTGCGATCTTGGCTCACTGCAACCTCCGTCTCCTGGGTTCAAGCGATTCTCCTACCTCATCCTCCTGAGTAGCTGGGACTGCAGGCGCCCGCCACCACGCCTGGCTTATTTTTGTATTTTTAGTAGAGACGGGGTGTCACTATGTTGGCCAGGCCGCTGGTCTCGAACTCCTGACTTCAAGTGATCCGCCCTCTTCGGCCTCCCAAAGTGCTGGGATTACAGGCCTGAGACACTGCACCTGGCCAAGTCATGCATTTTTTTTTTTTCTGCATTCACTAGAAAGACAGTAGACATGAAAAAGACACTAAATGTTTAATCGTTGACATGGACGTGTATCCTGCTGCCTGACCTTTATCTGCCCTGTCCCCAACCCCATACGACACACCCCGCCTAGACTGTCGCCCGCAATACCTCATTTTATCTCAGCTTTAGCTTTTAAGGGCCTCCCTCTCACCCACTGCCTTAACTTCCATGCTGACTTCCTTTTCTGAACTTCTGTAGTAGTATCATTTGCTCTAGTCATTTTGCACTTACATGTGATATATATATATATATATATATATTCCGAATACATTCACTGGTAAATGCTCTCCTATAATGACTCTGCATCTCCAGCACCTAGAATAATGTTGTACAAGTACTGTAGTAGGCGGTTTAAAATAAAAAAATGTTGCTCGTGAATGAACAATTTTTTAAGCCGTTAAGAAAGCCGTTTGTGGCGGGGCGCTGCTGTAGCCCAGCTACTCGGGAGGCCTGCTTGAGCCCGGGAGTTCCAGGCTGCAGTGAACTATGATCGCCACTACACTCCAGCCTGAGAGACACAGCAAGAGGGAACCCAAACTTTTCTATCTATCCCGTCTCCACTCTAATCCATAGCCCTACCCTCCATACGGTAGACTCTGGACCATTCAGTAAGAATAACGTAACTTTTCAGATCATGGTCCAGCCTAATCAATATCCTGACACTGACAGAAACAGAAGTGTAATGTAGTGAGGTTGACTGAGTTGCCATTCATCGCCTACTTCCAAGCCCCATCTCCAAAGCAGTAGAGAAATTTGGAATACATGATAATCCAATAGAAAGGATCTCTTTCATCCTAGATGAATCAGATAGACACATTCTCAGGTAAAATGGTCCCTGTTTGTAATGAAATCACCTCCAGGAAAAAAAAAAAAAAAAAAAAAAAAAAAAATATATATATATATATATATATGTATTTTCTTTTAGTAGAATAGGCAGATTTTTATTTCCCAAAGAGGGCAGATAAAGTCATATTAATGCAAAGACAATGAGTTCTTCATGTGAGACTAGAGTGTGTGGCCTTCAGAAGAAAAATAATACAGAGATGAGTTGTGTTTACTTTTGGATAATTTGGAAGAAAACTAGCCACAGCCATCCTGTGAAAAGACCAAACTGGGGATTAAACAGTAGCAAGAATTTAAAACAATTTATAACAACAAAGCACAGTTGAGCTTTTCACACAGCTTCCATAAAGAGTCTCTGCTTTACATTTGCATAACTAAATGGCACATTCAGGAGGTCTTCTCAAAATAAAAATCTTGCAACAAAGACGGATTAAAGTCCTCATCATTTGCAAGTTAAAAAGCAATCTGCACTCTGAAAGGATAGTTTTTCTTAGCTCAAACTTTACTCACGATTCAGCCCTGTGGAGCTGGCAACTAAAGGTTATTTCCCCCTTGCATATTTTGCTCTAGGAATCCCTGCCTTTTCACTTGTACTTGGTACTTGTGTCTTATACAGAGTCCATGCCAGCCTGAAATTGGAAGTTTGCTCTGTCCTGGTTTCAACAGGAAACATTTTTAGTCCATTTACATTTAATATAATTACTGGTATATGTGGATGTATGCCTACCATCTTACCATTTATTTTGGATCACCTATTTCACATTCCTTGTTCTCTGCTTTTTGCCTTCTTTTGAATTAATTAAAATATTTTAACTATATCATTAACCCCCTCTATTAATTTTTAAATTATACATTACTAGTTTTAGAGATTACAACATTGCTTTTTGACTTATGATCTTATACAAAATAATTACTTTTACCACTTCCCCGGGAATGCTAAGACATTAAAATACTGTATCTCCACCTACCCATCTCCCTTTTGTGTTTATTGTCGTCAAGGATTTTAATTGTGTGTGTATTTTAAGCCACACAAGAATTTATACTTATTGTTCTGTACAATAAGTACTCATTTAGATTAACCTCCATATTTATCCTTATATTGCTCTTCATTCCAATATGCATTTCTGTGCTTCTGTCTGAAGGTTTTCCTTCTATTTGAATAATTCCCCTGTTTTACAGCAGGTCTGCTGATGACAAGTTCTCTCCAAGGTTGTTTGAGTTTTTGCTTTTTGTTTTTTGTGGGGTTTTATTGCCTAAAACTTTGCATTATCCTTCATATTTTTGCTGGGTATAGCATTCTGATTTGGCAAGTTTTTTTTGTTTTTTGGTTTTTTTTTCCCAGCACTTTGAAGATGTTCTTCCATTGTCTTCTGGTTTCTGTCACTCCCTTTTATTCCTTTGAAAGTAATGTCTTTTTTCCTTTGACTCCTTTTAGGATTTTTTCTTGTCTTTGGTTGTCAACAGCTTTACTATGACGTGTGTAGATGTGGTTTTCTTTGTATTTATCCTACTTGGGTTCATGAGTGCAATGGGTGTATGCGGAGTCCCTTGCATTTGTGGGTTTATATCTTTTAGGAAATTCTTGATCACTGTCTCTTCTCTCTCCTTTCCTTTTAGGGTTTAAATTATACATATGTCAGAATTTTTCATTGTTTACCATCTGTATTTCCTATCATCTTTTTTCCCCCATTTTTTTCTCTATGCATGAGTCGGTATATTTTCTATTTAATTGTGTACTTTTAAACCCATTTGTGAATTCTTTATTTTGTTTATTATATTTTTAAGTTCTAGAATTTTCATACGATTCTTAAAATCAAATTCATTTGGAGAAATTATTTATTTATATATGTATTTTCTCTGCTGTTGCCTTTATTTTCTTGAACATATCAATCCTAGATTTTTTTTTAACCCTAGATATTTTAAAGCTCTTTCCAATCATTACAATAGCTGAATCTTCTGTGGATCTATTTCTATTGTATATTCTTTCCATTGGTTTCGGTCATTTTTTTTCCTGGCTCTTAGCTTGCCTGAGAATTTTTAATAGGATGTCACACTTTCAAGTATGAAAAATTGCAGAGGCTCTGGATAGTATTATCATCATCCAGAGAAGGATTCCTACTGTCCTTTGCAAAGCATTTAGAGTGAGAGCTAACCACCTTAATCAACCAGAGACTGAGTTAACTTGGGGTTGGGTTTTGGCAAGATTTAATTCACCTCTTTTTTGCTGCTGCTCCAGTAGCATAAGCCTCCAGGGGTTCCAACTGAGAGTCGTGTGTGTTCCCTGGGACCCTTCATCCCAGTGGATACTGAACTCTAATTCTTGTTTCTGCAAAACCATGAGACGGTCAAAATCTCTTCACTCTGCTTTTCAGAGCCTTTCTGCTAAGCTTCTTAACCTTCTGTCTCATGCATCTTCAGAATTTGGAAAATGACTTGAGGGAGACTGACATTATTGGGCTCAATTATTTACCCCTCCCTTCTCACTGGGAATCTGGCCCCTCTTGTTCTTAAGTTTGTCTCTCCAACTCTGCTGAACTGACAGAATCATCCCTGGTGGTGTCTTTGCCTGTTAGGGCCTCTTTCTATACTCAGAACCAAAACTCAGACTCTGGCCTTATGCCCAGAATTTCCCCAAGGAATGAAGGTACTGCTGAATGTCAGCTCACCTCTATGTATAGTTTCCCCTTCTCTGAGATTGTGTCCTCATAAGTTCTGGTTGCCTCAGCAGCCTTCAAACAGATGTTTTATGTTTTAGCTGGCTCTCCTAATTGTTTTCAGCTGGATTATTGGTTGGCTATAAGTACCCCCATCGTACTCAGAACCAGGAAATGTTTTTCATATGAAATGATCTTGCCTTCCCCCTCAGTAAAAAAAAAAAAATGTCTGAACAAGGCTCTGCTTGAGGTATCAAGATATGGTTTACAACACTCTCAGTGTATCAGAATCATCTCAGTACTTTTTAATAAGTAAAAGAGTCCAGAATTCCACACCAGACCTACTAGATCCGAATTTCTGAGAGATTAATTTGGCTCTGTATTTTAAAATGCTTTCCAGGTATGAACATTTGCTCTGACAACAATTGAGTCATGGGGACTGGATTTATCCTTCCCTCTTAAACATCTGGAAAAAAAATAATAATGGTTTTCTGACAAAATATATGAAACAATGGTTTTTAGACATTGGACAATAGACAGTGTAGGACAGTGATTAAGGTAAGAGAAGTAAACAAGTTGAGCCATCTAATTGCCCCAGCCTACTGCCTTGCAACAGTTTCCAGACCATGGGACAGGCAGTGGCAGAGCCCAAAGCCCAGCAATACTGCTGACTTGAGGAGACAAATATCAGGCTTCAGGGAGGCCGACGTAGCTAAAGTTTGGAGGACAGAGAACCAGAAAGGGGAAAGCTACATATGTATATACAACTCCAAATATCTACAGAGGGGTCCTTTTGCTTCTTTGGATGAGCATTGATTTGCACATATTTAAGAAGAGACTAATTGGAAACTAATTGGGAAAACAAACCACCAAAAAAGGGCAGGAAAAACAATTCCCAGAGCTCCCATATGAATGGAAATTGTGCCTGTTTTCACCAGCCGAATGGAAAGACCTATCTGTACATTTTGTCCTTAGTCCTCAGGAGGGTGTCATCTTGGTACTGAAAATGAATTTGCCTATATTAAAAGGAGCGTGGGAGATTTGAAGAAATAATGGCTGAAATAGTCCCAAATTTAATAAAAACTATAAACCCACAAATTCAAGGCATTCAAAGAACACGAAGCAGAATAAAAAATTGTAACCACAACAAGGCACATTATAGTAAAATTGCTGAAACCAGGCGAAAGTCTTAATATCAGCCAGAAAAAAAAGATAATACACAGGAAAGAACAAAGATAGGAATTACATTAGACTTGTTATTAGAAACTATTCAACCAAGAAAAAAAGTCTTCAGATTGCTGAAAGATTTTTAAAAATCAACCTAGAGTTCTTTACTCAGCAAAAATGTCTTTCAGAAATGGAAGAGAAAAATGTTTCAGACAAAAAAAAAAAAAAGCGGCTGGGCGCAGTGGCTCACACCTGTAATCCCAACACTTTGGGAGGCTGAGGCAGGCGGATCGCCTGAAGTCAGGGGTTCAAGACCAGCCTCTCCAACATGGTGAAACCCTGTTTCTACTAAAAATAGAAAACATTAGCCGAGCAGGATGGCGCACACCTGTAGTCCTAGCTACTTGGGAGGCTGAGGCAAGAGAACCGCTTGAACCTGGGAGGCAGAGGTTGTAGTGAGCCAAGATCACCCCGTTGCATTCCAGCCTGGGTAACAGTGTGAGATTCTGTCTCAAAAAAAAAAAAAAGAAAGAAAGAAAGAAAAAAGCAACTGGGTGCGGTGGCTCACACCTGTAATCCCAGCACGATAAGAGCCCAAGGGAGGAGGATCGCTTGAACCAGGAGTTCAAGACCAGCCTAGGCAACGTAGTGAGACCCCCATCTCTATCAAAAAAAAAAAAATTGAAAAATAGCTGGGTGTGGTGGCGCATGCCTGTAATTCCAGCTACTTGAGAGGCTGAGGTGGGAGGTTTGCTTGAGCCTAGGTCAAGGCTTCAGTGAGCCATGATTGTGCCACTGCACTCCAGCCTGAGTGACAGAGCAAGAACTTGTCTCAAAAAAAAAAAAAAAAAAAAAGGAAAAAAGAAAGGAAGGGAGGGAGGGAGGGAGGGGGAGAGGGGAGAGCAGGAAAGAATAAAGCTAAGATAGTTTATCATGAGAAAACATGAACTTCCAGAGCAAGACCTTGTCAGAAAGAAAGAGAAGAGAGAGAAAGAGAGAGAGAAAGAAAGAAAGAAAAGAAAGAAAGAGCTAAGATAGTTTATCACTAGCAAACATGAACTTCCAGAAATATTGAAGATACTTCTTCAAAAATAATGGGAAAGGATACTAGACTGAAATTTTGATTTGTAGATAAATGTTAAGAACTCTGTAATTGTGAAATGTGTGGATAAGTACAATTTTTTTATTTATAAGATTATTGTGTAAGGCAAATTAATAACAATGTATTATGGGGTTTAAAACTTATGTAATAGTAAAATGGATAATAGGGAGAATATGGAGAAATGGGAATAGTGGTTACAAAGTTTTACACTGTATGTATAGTGGCAAATTATCATTTGAAGGTAGACTGTAGTAAGCTAAAGATGCATATTGTAAACCTTGCAACAACCACTAAAAGTAATAATAAAACTAAAGTAGAGCTACTAGGCCAATCGTGGAAATAAAAGAGTCACAAAAATACTCAATTTAGAAGAAAACAGGAAAAGAAGAAAAAAAAGGAGTAAAAACCAGATTAGACAAATAGAAAACTATAGCAAGATGATACACTTAAACTCAACTATATTGATAATTGTATTAAATATAAGTGGTCTAAACATCAAACTAAGAGGCAGAGATTATCAGATTGTATATAAAAGCAAGAGCAAAATATGTGCTGTTTGTAGGAACACATTTTAGATAAACACAAATATGTTAAATGCAAAAGAATGAAAAATACATGCCAGGCAAACACGAACCAAAAGAATGATGGAGTGACAGTATTACTATCAAACAGACAGATTTCAGAACAGGGAATATTACCAGGAATAAAGATTAATATTTCAGAATGATAAGAGAGTCAATTTATCAAATAGACACAATAATCCAAAATGCTTATGGAACAAATAACAGGCCTACAAAATGCTGAATCAAAAACTGAGAGCCACCAGGGCACGGTGGCTCACGCCTGTAATCCCAGCACTTTGGGAGGCCAAGGTGGGCTGATCACGAGGTCAGGTGTTTGAGACCAACCTGACCAACATGGTGAAACCCCATCTCTACTAAAAATACAAAAATTAGCCAGGCGTGGTGGTGCATGCCTATAATCCCAGCTACTCAGGAGGCTGAGGCAGGAGAATCGCTTGAACCCAGGAGGCAGAGGTTGCAGTAAGCCGAGATTGCACTACTGCACTCAAGCCTGGGTGACAGAGGGAGACTCTGTCTCAATAAATAAATAAATAAATAAATAAATAAATAAATAATAAAAATACTGAGCGCCTAAAGGAAAAATAGAGAAATCCACAATTAAAGTTTAAGATTTCAACACTATGCTAATAATTGAGGTTTTTAAGTAGAAAGAAAAGGAGTAATGCTTGAGCAATATTGTCGATTAACTTGAGCTACTTGTTTATAGGACATTGTACCCAACAGCAAAAGAATCCATGTACTCTGCCAGTGTGCAGAAAATATTCACCAAGATAGACTATGTTCTGTGTTGTAAAATAAATTTTGATAAATTTAAGAGATTAGAATTATATTAAGTGTGATTGCTGATCAAAATGAAATTAGTCTGGAAAACCAAATATTTGCAAATCAAACAACATGAGTCAAACAGAAAATGACAAGAGAAGTTAGAAAACTTCTAAAACAGATGTTCAAGAAATTTGAACAGATGTTTCATTGAATGCACATAAAAAGAAACATATCAAAACTATGGAATACAGCTAAATCTATACCTAGAGAGAAATTTAAATGGTCATATTAGAAGAGATGTCTCAAATCCATTAACTAAGCATCTACTCAAAAAAACTGGAGAAAAAAAGAACAAGCCACATAATAAGTAGAAAGGAGGAAATAATGAAGAGCACCAATCAATGAAATGGAAAGCAGAAAAGCAATAGAGAAAATCAATGAAACCAAAAGACTTCTTTGAAAAGCTTAATAAAATTGATAAAGTTCTAAGAAGATTGACTAGGAAAACAGAAAATATAAATTAACAATATGAGGAATGAAAAAACATAACTATAGACTCTAAGTGCATTAAAAAAACAAGGAATATTGTGAACAACTTTATGGCAATATGTTTAAGAACTTAGATTGAATGAAAAAAATTCCTTGGAAGACAATGTACTAAAAGTCACATAAGAATAAGTAGACGATTTGAATAATCCTGTATCTATAAGAATGACAAAATTTATAGTTAAAAGTCAGGCACAGATTATTTCACTGACAAATTCTACCAAACAGTAAATAAATAAAACGAATTTTACACAAATTCTTCTAGAAATTTGAAGAGAAGGGAATATTCCCCAATTCACTTTATGAAGTTAGCATTACTCTCATTCCAAAAGCAGACAAAGGCATTCCAAGAAAACGGATGTCCTTCATGAACATGACCAGCTGGCTTTGTCCTAGGAATGCAAGGCTGCTTTAACATTTGAAAATCAATCAATGTAATTCATCACATTGACAAACTAAAAAGGGAAACTCATATGATTATCTCGATGAAGAGAGAAGCATTTGACAAAATCCATCTATTCCTGATAAAAATATGAGCAAATTAGAAATAGGAAGGAACTTCCTCAAAATGATAAAAGAAATCTCAAAAAACCTGCAATTAACATGGTACTTAATGATGAAAGACAAATACTTTCCCTCTAAGACATGATCATAGCAAAGATATCTGTTGTCACCACTTCTCTAGTCAACATGGTACTATAGTTTCTAGGCAGAACAGTAAGGAAAGAAAATAAAAAGGCATCCAAATTGGAAAGAAAGAAAGCTATCTTTGTTCACAGATGACATGATCGAATATCTAAAATATCCTACAAACAACTGCTAGAATTAATAGGTTTATCAAGGTTGCAGGATATAAGATCAATATACGGCCAGGCATCGTGGCTCATGCCTGTAATCCCAGCACTTTGGGAGCCGGAGGCGGGCGGATCACGAGGTCAGGAGATCGAGACCATCCTGGCCAACATGATGAAACCCCGTCTCTACTAAGAGAAAAAACTAGTTGGGCGTGGTGGTGCACACCTGTAGTCCCAGCTACTTGGGAGTCTGAGGCTGGGGAATCGCTTGAACCCAGGAGGTGGAGATTGCAGTGTGCCGAGGTCACACCACTGCACTCCAGCCTCCAGCCTGGCAACAGAGTGAGACTCCGTCTCAAAACAAACAAACAAACAAACAAAAAACAAGAAGTGGGCTGGACGCGGTGGCTCACGCCTGTAATCCCAGCACTTTGGGAGGCCGAGGCGGGTGGATCATGAGGTCAGGAGATCGAGACCATCCTGGCTAACACGGTGAAACCCCATCTCTACTAAAGATACAAAAAAATTAGCCAGGAGTGGTGGTGGGCGCCTGTGGTCCCAGCTGCTCGGGAGGCTGAGGCAGGAGAATGGCATGAACCCGGGCAGCGGAGCTTGTAGTGAGCCGAGATCATGCCACTGCACTCCAGCTTGGGTGACAGAGCAAGACTCTGTCTCAAAAAAAAAAAAAACAAGAAGTGTTGGTAAGCATGTGGAAAAATTGGAGTCCTTGTGTAGTGTTGTTAAGAATATAAAATGGTGCAGCCACTGTGGAAAACAGTATAAAGCTTCCTCAAAAGTGAAAAATAGAATTACCATAAGATCTAGCAATCTCACTTCTGGATATATATACAAAAGAATTGAAAACAGGCCAGGCGCGGTGGCTCACACCTATAATCCCAGACTTTGGGAGGCCAAAGCGGGCGGATCACCTGAGGTCAGGAGTTGGAGACCAGCCTGGCCAACATGGCGAAACCCTGTCTCTACTAAAAATGCAAAAATTAGCTGGGCGTGGTGGCGCAAGCCTGTAATGCCAGCTACTTGGGAGCCTGAGGCAGGAGAATTTCTTGAACCTGGAGGGCAGAGGTTACAGTGAGCCGAGATTGCACCACTACACTCCAGCCTGGGCAACAAAGAGTGAGACTCCGTCTCAAAAAAAAAAAAATTGAAAACAGAATCTTGAAGAGATGTTTGTATACCCATGTTCAGAGTAGCAGTATTCACAGTAGCCAAGAAGTGGCAGCAACTCAAATGTTCATCAACAGATGAATGGATAAACAAAATGTGGTATATACATACAGTGGAATATTATTTGGCCTTAAAAAGGGAAGGAAATTCTGACATACGCTACAACATTGATGAAACTTGAGGACATTGTGTCAAGCGAAATAGGCCAGTCACAAAAATATAAATATTGTATGATTTCCCTTACATAAAGTAGTCAAATTTACAGAAACGGAAAGTTGTATAGTAGTTGCCAGGTCCTGGAGGAAAAGAAAAATGAGGAGTTATTATTGAATAGGTACAGATATTTGGTTTTACAAGATGAAAAGAGTTCTGGAGATGAATAGTGGTGATGGTTGTACAATATCAATGTATTTTTAACACCCATCAAGTGAACACCTAGAAATTGTTAAGATGGTAAATTTTATGTTTTGTGTATTTTACCAGAATTTTTTTAAAAAAATAAAGTGTATTTCTGTATACTAACAACAAACAATTGGCGATTAAAAAAAAACTAGCTTTGTACAGTTGCTTAAAAGTATGAAAGCTTTGGGGATAAATCTGACAAAATAAGTGCGAGATCTGTTCATTGAATGCTGCAAAATATTGCCAAGAGCTAAGAACTAAGAAAATGGGGCCGGGCGTAGTGGCTCACGCCTGTAATCCCAGCACTTTGGGAGGCCGAGGCGGGTGGATCACCTGAGGTCAGGAGTTCAACCAGCATAGTGAAACCCTGTCTCTACTAAAAATACAAAAAAAAAAAAATTAGCTGGACCTGGTGGCGGGCACCTGTAATCCCAGCTACTCGGGAGGCTGAGGCAGGAGAATCACTTGAACCTGGGAGGCAGAGGTTGCAGTGAGCAGAGATCACCCCACTGCACTCCAGCCTGGGCAACAAAAGCAAAACTTTGTCTCAAAAAAAAAAAAAAAGAACTAAGAAAATGGAAAGATACACCTTGTTTTGTGGTTGGAAACCTCAATGGTGTTAAGATATCAATTATTCCCAAATTCAGCTATGGATTCAATTGTAATCATAATCCCAGCAGGCTTTGTTTATAGAAACTGACAAGCAGGCCGGGCGTTGTGGCTCACGCCTGTAATCCCAGCACTTTGGGAGACCAAGGCAGGCAGAATACCTGCAGTCAGGAGTTCGAGATCAGCCTGGCCAACATGGTGAAACCTTGTCTCTACTAAAAATACAAAAGTTAGCTGGGCGTGGTGGTGCACGCCTGTTATCCCAGCTACTGGGGAGGCTGAGGCAGGAGAATCGCCTGAACCCAGAAGGCAGATGTTGCAGTGAACTGAGATCATGCCACTGTACTCCAGCCTGGGTGACAAGAGTGAAACTCCATCTCAAAAAAAAAAAAAAGGAAAAGAAACTGACAAGCAAATTCTAAAGTCTTATGAAATACAAAGTACAGGATTGTCATAAACTTTGAAAAAGGACAAAGTTTGCTGGATTTATACTACATGATTTTAAGGATTCTTATGTTTTCTCATGCAAGGTTTATTAGTGAATAGCACTAATACCTACCATACTATGACATAGGATTGTTGTGAGAATTTTTAAAGTTACTACATATAGTTGTGGCACTAAACCAATCTAAGTTATATAGAGACCACAATGTAAGTGTTAACTCTTATTAGAGTTGTTATTATTTGTAGTATTTTAATTTGCATTTCCTTGATTACTAGTGAGATTGACCTTTGTTTATTGGCCATTTGAGTTTTCTTTTCTGGGAAGCTCTTCTTCAAGTCTTTTGTCTATTTTTCTATTGGATTGCTTATATTTTTCATAGTTCTTCATATATTCAAGGTACTGATACATGTCAGTTCATGTATGTTGCATATTATGTCCCCTAGTTTTAAGCTTTTCCTTTCAGTCTTTTTAAGCGTGTCTTTTGTCGAGTGGAAGCTCCTATTATTCGTTTACATAAAGGTATCCTTTCCCTTTTTTGTCATTTGTGCGATGATAATTGGTACCCTTATCTTGCTTCTAATCTTAGAAGGAATGCTTTCAAATTAAGGGTGATGTTTGCTATAGGTATTTTGAGGATCCTCTTTATGAGGATGAAGAACTTCCCTTCTATTTCCACATTGCTAAGAGTTGTTTTGTTTTTTGTTTTGAGACAGAGTCTTGCTCTGTCACCCAGGCTGGAATGCAGTGGCACAATCTTGGCTCACTGCAACCTCCTGGGTTCAAGCGATTCTCCTGCCTCAGGCTCCCTAGTAGTTGGGATTACAGGCACGCCTCACCACACCTGGCTAATTTTTGTATTTTTGGTAGAGACAGGGTTTCACCATGTTGGCTGGTCTTGAACTCTTGACCTCAGGTGATCCTCCCGCCTTGGCCCCTCAAAGTTCTGGGATTATAGGCATGAGCCACCACGCCCGGCCTCTTGCTTGGTTTTGTATCAAAGTTATGCTTGCTTCATGAAATGAGAAAGGAGCGTTCCTTCTTTTTCTATACTCTAGAACGTTTTATAGAACATAATTATTTTTTCTTTAAACATTTGGGAAAATTCATCAATAAAAGCATCCAGATGTAGTATTTTCTTCATAGAAAAATGTTTGCATCCTGATTCAGTTTCTTAATGGTCATAAGATTATTACGGTTTTCTATCTTCTGTAACCAGTTTTGATAACATATTTTTCTAAGAATGTATCCATTTCATTTTAGTTTTCAGTAAGTTGTTTATATCCTTCTGTAAGCCATGTGATTTCTGTTGTATCTATAAATAACGTTTTCTTTATTTTAATTTTTTATTTTTTTTTTGAGACAGAGTCTTGCTCTGTTGCCCAGGCTGGAGTACAGTGGCGCGATCTCAACTCACTGCAAGCTCCACCTCCTGGGTTCACGCCATTCTCCTGCCTCAGCCTCCCAAGTAGCTTGCAGAGGGGAGGAGGTTATGAGGCTTTCCTCCAAAATGTAAACTGTCCTGGTCCCTGTCGCTCTTACAGCAACCATCTTTGGCTTCCTATCACCTGTAGGGGAAAGCCCAGGTTGTGTGCCACCACGCCCAGCTAATTTTTGTATTTTTAGTGGAGACAGAGTTTCACCATGTTAGCCAGGCTGGTCTCGAACTCCTGACCTCAAATGATCCACCCACCTCACCCTTCCAAAGTGTTGGGATTACAGTGGGACCCACAAAGCTCACCTGCCTGCCCCATTTTCTGCCCTTCTCAACTACCTGCAGTGCCTCAGATATGCGGCTTTTTCGTATCCACATGATTCTGCATGTCCAGTTCCACTCGGATGGGAAAGTTTTCTCCTGCTTCATCTCTCTGTAGCAGCTGGCGATTACGTTATTGTTCCCACTTGACTACAATGGTCCATGCTACCCCTGTAAATGAGCAGCTAGCTGCTGTTAGGTGATTGAGTACACGGTAAGATCAATGAATCCTGAGAAGATAAACCCCAGCCCTTTTCTTTTTTCAGTGTGGACTGATTTTTTAGGTTACAGGTAATATTATTCAGGAGTCCTATGACAAGTATAACTTTCTGTAAGTCTGTGGATGGTGGTGCTACAAATACAACAGGCAATGAAAACAAATGCAAAGTAAGCATACGTGCCCCTCCTTGTGAGGATGTACTGTTGCCCCCTATGTCTCCTTCCGTGTGAGGATGGATTGTTAGCCCCTTCAGGACTGAAGAGGTCCTTTGGTTTGTAATCAGCCTACTACCACATAACAACTGATTCCCGGAAGTGATACCATATGGGGACTCAGGACTGGTGGCTGCTGCTGGCATGCTAGGCCAAAGCAATGGCCATGAGCCCATGATACCCAAGGCTGGCTTTGGTGAAGGGAAGTTCACGTTGATGAGGTTTTGCACAGCTCCTGCCTTGCCACCACTGCCACTTTATTCATGAGTCATTGAGCAAGCACTGAAGTGGTGGGAGAAGGAGGCAGGTAGCTCCAGTCATCTTGCCAACCTGGTTATTAGGGCTGTTGGTGAACATCTATCTGGGCACAGAGAGTTGCATACTCCTGGCCCATTCTGAGAGGTCTGTCCTCAAACCTCCTCCCTAAAGCTGCCACCCTCCAAATCAAGATCATTCCAAGTCACTGATCATCCAGTCCAGCCACCAGCCTTTACTCGTGAATTGAGGTAGGTTCTCATTTCAGGCTATTCTCTTCTTGATGAGCTGGACAAGGAGATGTGCTGCTTAATGTTCTATCTGGCTGGAGGATTTTTCTGCTTCACTGTCTTCAGGACAACTTCTTCTTCTTCTTCTTCTTCTTTTTTTTTTTTTTTTTTTGAGATGGAGTTTTGCTCCTGTTGCCCAGGCTGGAGTGCAATGGTGCCATCTCCAATCACTGCAACCTCCACCTCCTGGGTTGAAGCGATTCTCCTGCCTCAGCCTCCCAAGTAGCTAGGATTACAGGCACACAGCACCACTCCTGGCTAATTTTGTATTTTTGTAGAGACAAGGTTTCACCATGTTGGCCAGGCTGGTCTCCAACTCCTGACCTCAGGTGATCCGCCCGCCCCGGCCTCCCAAAGTGCTGGGATTACAGGCATGAGCCACTGCGCCCAGCCCCAGGACGACTTCTTAGTGAGACTACAGCACCACAAATTCCACTGGTAAGCCAGGCTCAAAATAGTTTTTCCTCATTCAGTTGGATTTAGTGAAGAATTCTCCATAAGGACACAGTAGTGTCCACAGTTAAGCGGGGGCCAGAGTGCACCATGAGTAGACATACTGCAAATATCATCCACCTGTTCTTTTTTTTTTTTTTGGTGGGGGCAGGATGGAGTCTCACTCTGTCGCCCAGACTGGAGTACAGTGGCGTGGTCTCAGCTCACTGCAACCTCCACCTCCCGGGTTCAAGTAATTCTCCTGCCACAGCCTCCCAAGTAGCTGGGATTATAGGCACGTACCACCAAGCCTAGCTAATTTTTGTATTTTTAGTAGAGACAGGGTATCACCATGTTGGCCAGGCTGGTCTCAAACTCCTGATCCCAGGTGATCCGTCTGCCTCGGCCTTGCAAAGCTTTGGTAATACAGGCGTGAGCCACCGCGCAGAGTCATTGATCCATCTGTTCTTGAAGCAGTCATCTTCCAGGACCTGTTCTGGCCTAATCCTTGTTACATGTACCCGTTTCTTTGGAAGATGTAGTACCAATGAGCAGTAGCAGTACAGTGGCTGATTGGATCCGCTGACACCTGGTCCATGTAAGGCAGCTCAGCTTACCTGTTGCCGTGGTGTCTAATGGCTAGATGTTCAACTCCTACCAAAGACCAGCGGCAAGGCAAGAGCTGTTTCTCAAAAAACTGCTGACCTGATTTTAGAAGCTATGGCATTTCCTGTGAGCTCCCATATTACGTGTTACTAGAGTTCCACAGTGTGTCCTCATCTACCCAACATGCACTGATGAAGCAAGACTGGGGGTGGAGGTCATTGGCAGCACATACCTGGTCTTTGTCCAGGATTAGCTGGAGACCTCCCTGCAACACAGAATGATTTCAGCACACAAGGCTCTTCATGACCTGGCATTGTCTGCCTCTAGAGATTCACCTCCTGCGTTCAGTCACATTCACCCTTCCTCTAACCATACAGATTACTTGAGCACTTAAAAATGGATTGTAAGAGGATCATTGAAATTTCTTGAGGAAAAAATTGTTTTAAATTAGTCTGCCCTTTTTTCTTCCCTGGCCGTCTAAGGATTGACCACCATCATGAATGGTACAGTAACTATCTGAATTAGAAAGTTCATGACCAGCCAGGCGTGGTGGCTCACACCTGTAATCATAGCTACTCAGGAGCCTGAGGCAGGAGAATCACCTGAACCTGAGAGGCGGAGGTTGCAGTGAGCCGAGATTGTGCCACTGCACTCCAGCCTGGGTGACAGAGCGAGACTCCGTCCCAAAAAAAAGGAAGTTCATGACCAACCGACTACTTCAGAGGAAATAAATGGTCATTGACGTCCTTCACCCCAGGAAGGCAACAGTACCTAATACAGATATTCAGGGCTGGGTGCAGTGGCTCAAGCCTATAATCCCAGCACTTTGGGAGGCCGAGGCAGGTGGATCACTTGAGGTCAGGAGTTCCAAACAGCCTGGCCAACATGGCAAAACCCTGTCTCTCCTAAAGATACAAAAATTAGCCAGGTGTCGTGGCAGGCACCTATAATCCCAGCTGCTCGGAAGGCTGAGGCATAAGAATCACTTGAACCCAGGAGGCGGATATTTCAGTGAGCCGAGATCATACCACTGCACTCCAGCCTGGGCAACAGAGGAAGACTCTGTCTCAAAAAAAAAAAAAAAAACCACACACACAAACACACACACACACACACACACCCCTATACATACTCATGCTGATAAATAAAACATTACTAGTACCTTTAATGTTCTCCCTTCAGCTGCATTTCCCTCCATTTCCCTCTCCCCAACTATAGGTAATCACTATCCTGTGTTGATAATTTCTTGCTTTTCTTTAGTTTTCCATCTTAATTTGTATTCCTAAATAATAGGTTGTTTATTTTTAAAAAGTACATAACAAATAAAAATCTAGTTCTGTAGAGAAAAGACTACTGTTATGTGAGGGTCTGTGGGTAAAATCATGAGTGAGGTGGGGTATCACAGGGCTCAGCATGGCTGGGCCATCAGGTTTGGCTGGAGCGTACATAGACTTGGTGGTGGATACATGACAGAAATGTGTGAGAGTGAGTTGCTTTGTATTTTATGCCCCGTTTTCTTTTCTTTTCTTTAAGATGCAGGATCTTATTCTGTCTTCCAGGCTGGAGTGCAGTGGCCCAACCACAGCTCACTGTAGCCTTGAACTTCTGGGCTCAACCAATCCTCCCGCCTCAGCCTCCTAAGTAGCTGAAACTACAAATGTGTGCCACCACACTCAGCTAAGTTTGTTTTCTTAATATTTTGTAGACATGGGGTCTTGCTATGTTGCCCAGGCTGGTCTCAAACTCCAGGCCTCACATAATCCTCCTGCCTCAGCCTCTTAAAGTATGTAGTATGTATTTTATGCTTCTATGCTTATGATCTATTTCTTTTTTTTTTTTTTTTTTTGAGACAGAGCCTCCCTCTGTCACCCTGGCTGGAGTCCAGTGGCATAACCTTGTCCCACTGCAATCTGCACCTCTTGGGTTCAAGCGATTCTTCTGCCTCAGCCTCCCATGTAGCTGGGATGACAGGCACATGCCACCACGCCCGGCTAATTTTTTTATTTTTAGTAGAGACAGGGTTTCACCACATTGGCCAGGCTGGTCTCGAACTCCTGACATCATGATTCGCTGGCCTCAGCCTCCCAAAGTGCTGAGATTACAGGCGTGAGCCACCGCACCCGGCCGCTTATAACCTACTTCTAGTGCTCATGAGTAAATCAAAACAGACCATTTCTGTGGGGTGAAGTAAATGTCTTCAGTTGATTTAGGCAGCAGGACGTAGAAAGAAGAGCAGAAATTCATTCTCATATGGCTTTAAGCCAAGCCACATTAGATAAGAATCAGTGCCAGGCCCTGGTGGCTCACACCTGTAATCCCAGCACTTTGGGAGGCCAAAGCGGGGGCAGGGGGTGGGGTGGATCATGAGGTCAGGAGTTCGAGACCAGCCTGGCCAACACAGTGAAACCCCGTCTCTACTAAAAATAAAGAAAAAATTAGCCAGGACTGATGGTGAGCTACTTGGGAGGCTGAGGCAGGAGAATCGCTTGAACCCAGGAGGTGGAGGTTGCAATGAGCCAAGATTGTGCCACTGCACTCCAGCTTGGGCGACAGTGGGAGACTCCATCTAAAAAAAAAAAAAAAGAATCAGTGCCAGGCTCACTGTGTCCTCAAGTTGAAAAGATGGCTCAGCTGGGCACGGTGGCTCACACCTTAATCCCAACACTTTGGGAGGCTAAGGCGGGCAGATCACCTGAGGTCGGGAGTTCGAGACAAGCCTGAGCAACATGGAGAAACCCCATCTCTACTAAAAAAAATACGAAATTAGCGGGGCATGGTTGTGCATGCCTGTAATCCCAGCTACTTGGGAGGCTAAAGCAGGAGAATCGCTTGAACCCTGGAGGCGGAGGTTGCGGTGAGCCGAGATTGCACCATTGCACTCCAGCCTAGGCAACAAGAGTGTAACTCCATCTCAAAAAAAAAAAAAAAAAGAAAAGAAAAGAAAAAGAAAAGATGGTTCAATGGCAACAGGGATCTTGGAAATTATAATCTTCAGTATGTTGGTAGTTTGAATGTGCTCAATATGTTGCCCTGTACATCTGCTGTGTAACTATGGTCCTAGAATGTCTTTTCATGGTTCTGCTTGTATTTGCTTTGCCCCTCTCCTGTCTAGAATCTTCTTTTTACTGATATATTTCCTGGTTCTTGACTAAGTTTTGTTTGTTTGTTTGTTTGAGAGCATCTTGAGTCAAGAGTAGATGGGAGGCAAATTTGGGGAAGAGATTTTTGAAAATCTGAAAATGTTTGTGATCCATCTATATCTCTATCTATCTATCTATCTATCTATCTATCTATCTATCTATATGTGTGTGTGTGTGTGTATATATATATATTTATATTTTTTTTAATTTTTATTTTTTTGAGACAGGGTCTTGCTCTGTCATCCAGGCTGTAATGCAGCGGCACAATCACAGCTCACTGCAGCCTCGACCTACCAGGCTCAAGCAATCTTCCTGCCTCTTGCTCCTGAATAGCTGAGACTACAGGCATGCACCACCATGCCCAGTTAATTTTTAAGATTATTTTTTGTAGCGACAGGGTCTTACTATGTTGCCCAGGCTATTCTCAAACTCCTGGGCTCAAGCAATCCTCCCACCTCAGCCTCCCAAAGTGCTGGGATTATAAGGCAAGAGCTACCACACCCAACTCTAATCTATCTTCATACATAAATGATAACTGACCTGGGTATAAAAATAAAATTATATATGAAAATAATTTTTTTTTTGAGACAGAGTCTTGCTCTGTTGCCCATGTTGGAGTGTAGTGACGTGATCTTGGCTCAGTGCAGCCTCCGCCTCCTGGGGTTTAAATGATTCTCCTGCCTCAGCCTCCCAAGTAGCTGGAACTATGGGCATGTGCCACCACACCCAGCTAATTTTTGTATTTTTAATAGAGATGGAGTTTTGATATGTCGGCTAGGCTGGTCTCAAACTCCTGATTTCAGGTAATGCATCTGCCTTGGCCTCCCAAAGTGCTGGGATTACAGGTGTGAGCCACCACACCTGGCCTGAAAATAATTTTCCTTCACAATCTTATAGTCTCTGTAGTCTTTTTGCTTCTAGAGTTTCTAAGAAGAAATCCAAAACCATGTAGATTCCAGATTTTACCCCCTCTCTTTTCATAATTTGTTTTTATCCCCTGTCGCTAGAGGCTTGTAGAATTTTCTCTGTTCCAAATGTTCTGAAAATTCACAGTGATTTATCTTGGTGTAAGTCTTTTAATCTATTGTGTCAGACACTCAATGGGGCTTTCAATTTGACAATTTGTTATTCATCCTGATAAGTTTTATTGAATTATTTCATTGCTGATATCTTCTTCTCATTTTCCCTTTTTCTAGATCTCCTATTGTTTGGGTTTTGGTTCCACTGGATAGATCCTCTTATTTTATCCCCTTTTCTCTTTAATTTTCTGTCTCTTTGTCTTTTTTCTCTACTTTTGGGGAAATCCTAAAATTTTATTTTTCTAATTTTTTATGGATTTCTTCATTTTTACTAACATTTAAAAAATTTCTTTTTTTTTTTTTTTTTTGAGACGGAGTCTCGCTCTGTCGCCCAGGCTGGAGTGCAGTGGCGGGATCTCGGCTCACTGCAAGCTCCGCCTCCCGGGTTCACGCCATTCTCCTGCCTCAGCCTCCCAAGTAGCTGGGACTACAGGCGCCCGCCACTACGCCCGGCTAATTTTTTGTATTTTTAGTAGAGACGGGGTTTCACCGTTTTAGCCAGGATGGTCTCGATCTCCTGACCTCGTGATCCGCCCGCCTCGGCCTCCCAAAGTGCTGGGATTACAGGCGTGAGCCACCGCGCCCGGCCACATTTAAAAAATTTCTAAGAGCTATTTTGTATTCTCTGAATGTTCCTTTTAATAGAAGGGGATCTTCTTATTTCATGAATGTAATGCCTTATCTCTCTGAGAATATTAATGATAGTTTCCCCCCCAGGTTTTTCCCCTTGCATAATTTCTAATTCTCTAAGTGGGGCTTTTTCTGTTTGCTTTGGTATCTATCTTGCCTCTCTGCTGTCTGTTTATGCTTAAGTGTGGAGTACTAAAGAGGTGATTGGAAGATCTGACCATGTGTGTGGGGCATAGAGTGCTATAGGAGTCATTTTCAGTGGGCTGTTGGGGAGAGAATTCCCCCAATTAAGTAACTTTAAGTCCTTCCTCTTGAGCTGCTCAAACTCCATAGAGAGAGATATTATTCTGTAGGGTAAGGATCTGGCCATAGGGCTTTCGATAGTCAATGGGTAGAGGCAGAAATGATCTGGTGTTCTTTGCATTCAGCATTCAGTATGCATATTGTCTCTCTTTAAAAAAAAAAAAAAAAAAAAAGCTTTTTATTTCAAATTTACATAAAAGTTGCAAGAAAAGTCCTGAGAATGCCCATATATTCTTTATCCGGATTTACCAGTTTTTAGCATTTTGCCACATTTAATATTTTGCCCCCCAACACACACACAAAAATTAGTATTTTTTTTTTTCTGAACCATTTGGGAGTAGAGATTGCTACATAATGTCCATTAACCTCTTCATACTTCAATGTATATTTCCTGAGAACAAATATATTCTCAGAAACTGTTTCTTAATCTTCTGGCTTTTGGATATGTTACCTAGACCCTCAAATGTGCTTGGCTTCCGCCAATCCAGAGACTTTCTGTTTTATCTTCTCTAGAGGATAAACCTAATTTATTGATCATATGTAGATGAGAAACAGTTGCCCAGTGGTGTACACCTGGAGAGGAAGATCTAGATATTTCACCTTCATACATGGCTTTACCCAGTCCTCCTTATTTTAGCCATTCCCTTACTCCCAAATTCCAGAGGTACCTAGTGCTGACGATTTTCCTTTGTTTTCAAGATTCTTCAATGTAATTTTAATTACTTCTGAGCTTGGCCAATTACTGTATTTTCTTGATACTATGATGCACTTTGGGAGGATTTGTAAATTCATCGTGGTGGTCTTTTTTTCATTTTCTTCTTTTTCTTTCTTCCCCACTCCCCCTTTCCTTCCTTTTTCAAAAAGCTGAAAGCGTTAAATAAATGATGAATCTTAAAATTGTTAGGTTCTTTAAATCTGATTTCCAATTGTCAGTAACTTCCCTCAAAGAATGTTATGTCATAACAAAATGACGGGTGAATCCTATTCCCTACTTTAAAGAGAGAGAAAAAAAAAAGAATGTTTAAGTGTATAGCCAATGATCCACAAGGCTAGCAACTGATCCATGATTAATAGCTCAAGGTCATAAAAGTAGTCAGGTATAAAAGCCCAGAAAAACATGATTGTCAGCCACACACTTTGACAAATCATCTTCATCCATGACTCTAGAAAGTTGTTTATTATAATTATTTTTTGAGATAGATTCTCAGTCTGTCGCCCAGGCTAGAGTGCGGTGGCGCCATCTCGGCTCACTGCAACCTCCGCCTCCCGGTTCAAGCAATTCTGCTGCCTCAGCCTCCTGAGTAGCTGGGATTACAGGCACCCACCACCACACCCAGTTAATTTTTGTATTTTTAGTAGAGACACAGTTTCACCATCTTGGCCAGGCTGGTCTCGAACTCCTGACCTCGTGATCCACCTGCCTCGGCCTCCCAAAGTGCTGGGATTACAGGTGTGAGCCACCGCACCCGGCCTAGAAAGTTTTTTTAAAAGGCAGACTCAAGCATGCACTTTTAAATTTAATATAATTTAACTTGCAGGAAAAATCCTAGAAATGTAGAGAATTTAACAAACATCTATTGACCCTCCATCCAGAATTAATATTTATTTTTTAAATTTAATAGGCAGATTTTAACAAGTTATCTTTAATAGGGAAAATTCATCAAAAACATAACATTGAGTGAAATAAGCAAGTCATAGAAAAAAAAACCCATTACAATAAGATCCATTTATATAAAGTTCAAAACAGGCAGAGCTGAACAGTGTATTGTTTAGGGAAATATATGTTGGGGATCAAGACCAGGAAGAGAAGCAAAGGCATGGTTATCGCAAAAGTCAGGAGCAGAGGGGGAAGGAAGGGATGCTTTGGGGCAGAGAGAGGGGGATACTATTCTATTTCGTAGCCTGATGGATGGAACACAGGTGTTTATATTATTGTTATCCTCAAAAATGAACATATCTTTTAAAATACTCTTGTGTGTGTTACATTTTATAGTTTAAAAAATCACTTGACTAAATATAAAGTCCTACACCATAGTCCAAAAAAAGCCAAACCAGAATAGCCTTATCCACCAGATATGGGGTTGTAAAGGGGTGAATCAGGTGATGGAGGCTCCATTTGGAGAAGAGTGACCTCTGATTTTCTCTGTGCGGCCGGCTAGGGTCAAGGCCAGAAACCATGCAGAGCCCAGGGAACTGCCCTTTTCCCGGAAGTAAGGCAAACAAGGAGAGTTGGGGGAACTTGGCCCATGTGATGTGAGAAACCCTCTTTGATCTTCAGGAACCTGCATCTTCCACTGTGTTACATGAGATCGTAAAGACAGAATTCATACCTATTGGGCCGGGCATGGTGGCTCATGCCTGTAATCCCAGCTACTTGGGAGGCTGAGGCAGGAGAATTGCTTGAACCTGGGAGGCGGAGTTTGCGGTGAGCTGAGATCGCACCATTGCACTCCAGCCTGGGCAACAGAGTGAGACTCCATCTCAGAAAAACAAAACAAAACAAAACAACAACAACAAAGACTTAATACCTATTAACCTCTTGTAATATTTGTTGTAAAAGTGTTTTTTCTTGTTGTTGTTTTTTAAATAAAAGGGTAAACTCTTTAAAGTTGGACTCAGGCTTTTTGAGGGCTTGCCCTGTCACTTAGGCTGGACTGCAGTGGTGTGATCATAGCTAATTGCAGCTCACCCCTGGACTCAAGGGATCCTCCTGCCTCAGCCTCCGGAGTAGCTGGGACCACAGGTGTACACCACCACACCTAGCTAATTTTTAAGGTTTTGTTTGTTTTTTGTTTTTTGTTTTTTTTGAGACAGAGTCTCACTCTGTCACCCAGGCTGGAGTGCAATGGTGCGATCTCAGCTCACCGCAAACTCCGCCTCCTGGATTCAAGTGATTCTCCTGCCTCAGCCTCCCAAGTAGCTGGGATTACAGATGTCCGCCACCAGGCTCGGCTAATTTTTGTATTTTTAGTAGAGACGGGGGTTTCACCATGTTGGCCAGGCTGGTCTCAAACTCCTGACCTTGTGATCCCCCCAACCCCCTGCCTCGACCTCCCAAAGTGCTGGGATTACAGGCGTTAGCCACTGTGCCCAGCCAATTTTTAAAGTTTTACAGAGACAGGGTCTTGCTATATTTCCCAGGCTGGTCTCAAACTCCTGGGCTCAAGCAATCCTCCCCCTCAGCCTCCCTAAATACTGGGAATACAGATGTGAGCCACCACACCTGGCCCCCATAGACTTATATTATAAATCCTTTTTATTTTGTAATGACTTCAAACATGTGGGAAAGTTACAAGAATAATTTAGAGAAATTTTTGTGTATCTTTTATCCAAAGATTTTTTAAAGTTTGTCTATTTGTCATAATTCTCTCTCTCTCTCTGTGTATACATATATATGTATGTGTATGTATATTATATTCAGTTACATGTTTTTATATTGTTTTATGTACATATATACACATGTTTATGTGTATGTATATTAATATATACTAATTTGATGTAAACATGTATATATTCCCTTTGTGTTGATTTTTACTCTGTCTGTGGTAGAGTAGATTGCACACATCATGCCTCTCACTTTAGGGTTTCTTCTTTATAACAAAGATATTGGCCAGGCACAGTGGCTCACTCCTATAATCCCAACGTTTTAGGAGCTGAGGCAGGAGGATCGCTTGAGACTTGAAGTTCAAGACAGCTTGGGAAACATAGGAGACACCATCTCTACAAAAAATAAAAATTAGCCAGGCATGATGGTGCACACCTGTCATCCTAGCTACTTGGGAGGCTGAGACAGGAGGATCACTTGTGCCCAGGAGGTCGCATGATCTCCAGTGAGCAGTGAGCTGAGTTTGAGCCACTGAACTCCAGCCTGGGTAACAGAGTGAGACCCCATCTCAAAAAAAGAAAAGAAAAGAAAAGATATTTTCTTACCTAACCATAGTACAGTTATGAAATTCAGAAATTTTAACATTGACACAATAGTTTAATCTCATCTATAATCCACATTCTAATTTTGTTGATTGTCCCAAATATATCCTTGAAGACATTTTTCTCTCCAGGATCCAGTCCAGGATCATATGTGGCATGTTCCTAATCCAGCAGATTTCCCCAACCATTGTTTGTCCTTCATGATGCTGGCATTTTTGAAGGATACAGACCATTTATGTTACAGAAAAGTTTGCAGTTTATTTTCTGTGTCCTCTGGAGGTATGTGACTTCTACTTGCCCCTCATTGATGAAGTTATTTTTTTAAAAAACAACTTTCTGAGTTATAAGTCACATACCGTAAAACTTACTCATTTAAAACCTACAACTCAATTCTTTTTACTAAGTTCACAGGGCTGTGCAACTATCACCCCAATCTAACTTTAGAATATTTTCGTCCTCCCTAAAAAAAAAAACAAAAAAAACATGCCCATCAACTATTACTCCCTATCTCCCTTTTACCACTCCAACCCCCATACCCAGCTCTTAACAACCATTCATCTAACTTCACCTCTCTAGATTTGCCTATTCTGGACATTTCATATAAATTGCATCATACAATGTGTGTTTTATGTGACTCAGTTCTTTCACTTAGCATAATGGTTTCAAAGTTCATTTGTGTTGTAGCATGTAGCAGGTATCAGTACTTTATTTCCTTTTTTCTTTCTTTCTTTTTTTGGAGATGGGGTCTCACTCTGTTGCCCAGGCTGGAGTACAGTGGTGCAATCACAGCTCACTGCAGCCTCGACCTCCTGGGCTTACGTAATCCTCCCACTTCAGCCTTCCAAGTAGCTGTACCACCACACCTGGCTAATTTTTTAATATTTTGAAAAGACTAGTCCTCACTATGTTGCCCAGGCTGGACTTGAACTCCTGGGCTCAAGCGATCCTCCCACCCCAGACTCCTAAAGTCCTGGGATTACTGGCATAAGCTACTAGACCCAGCCAGTATTTTATTTCTTTTTACAGCTGAATAATATTCCATTGTATGGTTATACTACATTTTATTTAGCCATCAACACA
The DNA here is from genome assembly GCF_000001405.40 of Homo sapiens. Classification (NCBI taxonomy): domain Eukaryota; kingdom Metazoa; phylum Chordata; class Mammalia; order Primates; family Hominidae; genus Homo; species Homo sapiens. The sequence continues at coordinate 42,078,397 of NC_000008.11, forward strand.
TGTTAATGGACATTTATGTTGTTTCCAGTTTGGGGCAATCATGAATAATGCTGCTACAGACATTCATCCGTATACAAGTTTATATGTGGATGTATGTTTTCATTTCTCTTGGGTATATACCTAGGAGTGAAATTACTGGGTTATGTGTAACTCTATGTTTAAATTTTTAAGGAATTACCAAATTGTTTTTCAAAGAGTCTATGCCATTTTACACTCCCAGCAGCAAGCTATGAGGATTGCTATTTCTCCATGACATCTTTAAAACGTGTTCATCTTTTTGATTATAGCCATCCTAGTGAGTATAAAGCAGACTCTTCTTGCAGTGTTGATTTTGCTAATGATTAGTGAGGCTGAGCATCTTTTCATGTGCTCATTTGACCATTACGTATCTTCTTTAGAGAAAAGTCTAGTCAAATCATTTGCCCATTTTAAATTGGGTGTCTTTTTATTGCTGAGATTTTTTTTTTTTTTTTTTTTTTGAGACGGAGTCTTGCTGTCACCCAGGCTGGAGTGCAATGGCGCGATCTCAGCTCACTGCAACCTTCACCTCCTGGGTTCAAGCAATTCTCCTGCCTCAGCCTCCCAAGTAGCTGGGATTACAGGCGCCCACCACCACGCCCAGCTAATTTTTGTATTTTTAGTAGAGACGGGGTTTCACCATGTTGGCCAGGCTGGTTCCGAACTCCTGACCTCAGATGATCTGCCCCCCTTGGCCTCCCAAAGTGCTGGGATTACAGGTGTGAGCCACTGCACCCGGCCACTGAGTTTTTAATATATTCTGGATACAAGTCCATTATCAGATTTGTAATTTGCAATTTTTTTTTCCTATTCCATGGGTTGTCTTTGTGCTTGCTTTTTTTTTTTTTTTTTTTTTTGAGACAGAGTCTCACTCTGTCACCCAGGCTGGAGTGCAGTGGGGTGAACTCGGCTCACTGCAATCTCTGCCTCTCAGGTTCAACTGATTCTCCTGCCTCAGCCTCCTGAGTAGCTGGGATTGCAGGCACACGCCACCACACCCAACTAATTTTTGTATTTTTAGTAGACGGGGTTTCACCATGTTGGCCAGGCTGGTCTCGAACTGCAGACCTCACGATCTGCCCGCCTCGGCCTCCCAAAGTGCTGGGATTACAGGTGTGAGCCACCACACCCGGCATCTTTTTGCTTTCTTGATGGAATCATTTGCAACACAAGTTTTTAGTTCTCGTGACATCTAAATTTTTTTTCTTGTATTGCTTGTGTTTTTGAAGTCATAGCTAAGAAACCATTTCCTAACTGAAGGTCATGAAGATTTATTCCTATGTTTTCTTATAACAGTGTTTTTGTTGTTTGTTTTGTTTTTGTTCATTTGTTTTTTGAGACAGAGTCTTGCTCTGTCGCCCAGGCTGGAGTGCAGTGGCATGATCTCAACTCACTGCAACCTCCTTCTCCTGGGTTCAAGAGATTCTTCTGCCTCAGCTTCCCGAGTAGCTGGGACTACAGGTGCACGCCACCATGCCTAGCTAAATTTTTGTAATCTTAGTAGAGACGGGGTTTCCCCATATTGGTCAGGCTGGTCTCAAACTTTTGACCACCTGCCTCGGCCTCCCAAAGTGCTGGGATTACAGGTGTGAGCCACTGCACCCGGCCTCTTATAACAGTTTTATAGTAAGCTCTCATTTATGTCTTTGATCCATTTTGAGTTATGTTTTGTGTATAGCATGAAATAGAGATCCAGCTTCATTCTTTTGCATGAGGATACCTAGTTTTTCTGGTACAATTTGTTGAATACACTATTATTTCCCTGTTAAATAGTTTTGAGACCCTTTTCCAAAATCAATTTACCATAAATGTAAGGGTTTATTTTTGTTTCATAGATCTACATGCCTGCCTGTGTGCCAATACCTCACCATCTTGATTATTGAACCCTTATAACACGTTTTGAATTTGTAAATTGTGTCTTATTTTTCTTTCTTTCTCTCTTTCTTCATCTCTCCTTCCTTCCTTCTTCCCCTCCCTCCCTTCCTTCCTTCCTTCCTTCTTTTGTAAAGACACAGCTGGCCTCAAACTCCTAGTCTCAAGCAGTCCCCCAGCCTCAGCCTCCCAAATAGCTGAGACTATAGATGTGAACCGCGCCTGGCTCCTTTGTTCTTTTTACAAATTGTCTTGGCTCTTCTGGGTTCCTTGAATTCCATGAGAATTTTAGGGTCAGTTTGTAAATTTCTGCAAAAAAGCCAGCTGGAATTTTTCAGTGTAGGGATTGCACTGAATCAGTAGATCAGTTTGGGGAGTATTGCCATCTTAACAATATTAAATTTTCCCATCTATGAACATGTGAGGACTTCTCGTTTATTGCAATCTTTTTTTTCTTTCTTTCTTTCTTTTCTTTTTTTTCCTTTCTTTTTTTTTTTTTTTTTGAGACAGTCTCACTCTGTCGCCAGGCTGGAGTGCAGTGACGTGATCTCAGCTCACTGCAACCTCTGCTTCCCAGGTTCAAACGATTCTCCTGCCTCAGCCTCCTGAGTAGCTGGGATTACAGGCGCCCGCCACCACGCCCAGCTAATTGTTTGTACTTTGAGTAGAGATGGGGTTTCACCGTGTTAGCCAGGCTGGTCTCAAACTCCTCACCTCAAGTGATCCGCCCACCTTGGCCTCCTGAAGTGCTAGAATTACAGGCATGAGCCACATGCCCGGCCTATTGAGATCTTATTAAATTTCTTTCAACATTTTATAGTTCTGCATGTACAAGTCTTGCACCTCTGTTGTTAAATTTATACCTAAGGATTTTATTCTTTCTGATGCTATTGTAAATGGAATTGACCTTTTTTTTTTTTTTTTGACGGAGTCTTGCTCTGTCACTAGGCTGGAGTGCAGTGGCCGATCTTGGCTCACTGCAAGCTCCGCCTCCTGGGTTCAAGCAATTCTCCTGCCTCAGCCTCCCGAATAGCTGGGATTACAGACGCATGCCACCAGTCCCGGCTAATTTTTATATTTTTAGTAGAGATGGGGTTTCACCATGTTGGCCAGGATGGTCTCGATCTCTTGACCTTGTGATCCGCCGGCCTTGGCCTCCCAAAGTGCTGGGATTATAGGCATGAGCCACCGAGCCCAGCTGGAATTGACTTCTTAATTACATATTTAGAATGTTAATTGCTAATGTATAAAAATAGTTGATTTTTGTGTATTGATCTTGTATCCTGCAAACTTGCTGAACTCGGTTATTAGGGCTAATGATTTTTTTGTGGACTCCTTAGAATTTTCTCTATACGAGATCATGTCATCTGTAAATAGAAATAGTTTTACTTTTCTTTTCCAACTTAGATGCATTTTATTTCCTTATCTTGCCTAATTTCCATGGCTAGAACCTCTAGAACAATGTTAAAGAGTAGTGGCTAGAGCGGACATCCTTGTCTTCTTGCCAGTCTTAGGGGAAAACGTTTGGTTTTTTACCACTGGGTTTTTGTTTTGTTTTGTTTTGTTTTGTTTTGTTTTGTTTTTTTAGACGAAAACTCGCTCTTGTCTCCCAGGCTGGAGTGCAATGGTGCAATCTCGGCTCACTGCAACCTCTGCCTCCCGGGCTCAAGCGATTCTCCTGCCTCAGCCTCCCAAGTAGCTGGGATTACAGGTGCCTGCCACCATGCCCAGCTAATTTTTGTGTTTTTAGTAGAGATGGGGTTTCACCATGTTGGCCAGGCTGGTCTTGAACTCCTGACCTCGTGATCTGCCTGCCTCGGCCTCCCAAAGTGCTGGGATTACAGGCGTGAGCCACCGCACCTGGCCGTTTTTGTTTTGTGAGACTCAGTCTCACTCTACCGCCCAGGCTGGAGTGCAGTGGTGTGATCTCGGCTCACTGCAACCTCCACCTCCCTGGTTCAAGCAATTCTCTTGCTTCAGCCTCCCGAGTAGCAGTAGCTGGGATTACAGGCACATGCCACCACACCTGGCTAATTTTTGTATTTTTAGTAGAGACAGGGTTTCACCAGGTTGGCCAGGCTGGTCTCCAACTCCTGACCTCAGGTAATCCACCCGCCTCGGCCTCCCAACCTGCTGTGATTACAGGCATGAGCCATTGCGCCCGGCTACCATTGGGTTTTTTATAGCTTCCTTCTATCCATTATCAGGTTGAGGAAGACTTTTCTATCCCATTTTTGTTGAGCATTTTTATCATGAAAAGGTGTCAGATTTTGTCACTTGCTTTGTCTGCATTTATTGAGATGATCAAATTTTTTTTGCCCTTGGTTCTATTAATTTGTAATATTCCATTAATTGACTATCAGATCTTAAATCAACCTAGCATTCCCAGGATCGTTCCCACGTGGTCATGGTGTATAATCCTTTTTATATGTTCCTGCGCTAAGCTTGCTTGTGTTTTGTTGAGGATTTTTACGTCTATATTCGTAAAAGCTATTGGTCTGTAGGGTTTTTTTTTCCTTGTATATCTCATCTGGTTTTGGAATCAGAGTAGTACTGTCCTCAGTGAATGAACTGGGAAGCTACTTCCTCTTCTGCTTTTTGGAAGAGTTTATAAATAATTAGTATGATTCTTATTTAAGTGTTTGGTAGAATTCACCAATGCGGTGACCCGCGCCTGAGTTTTTCTTTGTGAGAAGTTTTAAAGTTACTAATTCAATCCTTTAACTTGTTATATGCCTATTCAGATCTTCTGGTTTTTCTTGATTCAGTTTTTGTACATTGTGTCTTTCTAGAAATTTGTCCATTTCATCCAAATTGTCTAATTTGTTGACATACAGTTGTTCATGGTATTCCCTTTTAATCCTTTTTTTTCCTCCTGTGAATTGGAATCATGTCCCCTTTTTCAGTTCTAATTTTAGTAATTTGAGACTGGGCGCAGTGGCTCGCGCCTGTAATCCCAGCACTTTGGGAGGCCGAGGCAGGCAGATCACCTGAGTTCAGGAGTTCGATACCAGCCTGGCTGACACGGTGAACTCCCATCTCTATTAAAAATACAAAAATTAGCCGGGCATGGTGATGTGCGCCTGTAATCCCAACTAATCGGGAGGCTGAGGTGGGAGAATCACTTGAACCTGGGAGATGGAGGTTGCAGTGAGCCGAGATAGTGCCACTGCACTCCAGCCTGGGCGACAAGAGCAAAACTCCGTCTCAAAAAAATTAAAAATAAAAATAAATTTAAAAATTAAAAAAATAATTTAATAGTTTAAGTTTTCTCTCTCTTTAATTCCTTGGTCTAGCTGAAGGCTTATCAATTTTGCTGATCTTTTGAAGAGAAACAACTTTTGGTTTGGTTTATTTTTCGTTTTTCTTTTCTTTTCTCTTTCCTTCCTTCCTTCTTTTTTTTTTTTTTTTTTGTTTGTTTGTTTGTTTTAGATGGAGTTTTGCTTTTGTTGCCCAAGCTGCTGGAGTGCAATGGCATGATCTCGGCTCACTGCAACCTCCGCCTCCCGGGTTCAAGCAATTCTCCTGCCTTAGCCCCCCGAGTAGCTAGGATTACAGTCACGCACCACCACACCCAGCTAATTTTTTGTGTTTTTAGTAGAAATGGGGTTTCATTATGTTAGCCAGGCTGGTCTCCAACTCCTGACCTAAGGTGATCCCGCCTGCCTCAGCCTCCCAAAGTGCTGGGATTACAGGCGTGAGCCACCTCGCCCGGCCTCTTTCTTTCTTTTTTTTAAGATGGTGTCTCACTTTGTCACCCAGGCTGAAGTGCAGAGATACAGTCTTGCTCACTGCAGGCTCTACCTCCTGGGTTCAAGCGATGCTCCCGCCTCAGCCTCCCAAGTAGCTGGGACTACAGGTATGTGCTACCAAGCCCAGCTGATTTTTTTAGAGATGGGGTCTCACCACGTTACCCAGGCTGTATTTTCTGTTATTTTTCTATCCTTTATTTCATTTATTCCCACTCTAGCCTTCATTTTTTCCTTCCTTTTGCTTGCTTTGGGTTTAGTTTGTTCTTTTTTTTTCCCCCTAGTTTATTAAGCTGGAAAGTGATGTTATTGATTTAAGATCATTCTTTTTCTTTTCATTTTCAAAAAATTAAAATTAAAAATAAAAAAATACATAAATAAAAGTTTCCATTTGCTTTTACATCTAGTGTTGGAGATCATAAGGCACCTCATCTTGGGAGTAAATTTTTTTTCTGAGACAACCATTCGAGTGGTTCTTTTTTTTTTTTTTTTTTTTTTTTCAGATAGTCTTGCTCTGTCACCCAGGCTGGAGTGCAGTGGCAAAAATCTCAGCTCACTGCAACCTCTGCCTCCTGGGTTCAAGCGATTCTTGTGGCTTAGCCTCCCGAGTAGGTGGGATTACTGGTGTGCGCCACCATGCCTGGCTAATTGTTTATTTTTATTTTTAGTAGAGACAGGGTCTCAAACTCCTGACCTCAAGTGATCCACCCGCCTTGGCCACCCAAAGTGCTGGGATTACATGTGTGAGCTACCCGCTCAGGGCCTTGAGCGGTGCTTCTTAATTAACCCCTTATTACCCTGGAATAAGGATGTAGCGTGACCATTTTTAAATGATTGGATAGAGGCTGCCATTCCCAATACTCCTTGCTATGCTGTGAAGTGGAAAGGAAATTTTGCATATGGTCCCGGTTTCTCCAAGGCATTACAGGATTGAGACCCTCATGCACACATTCCTCCTGTCTTGAGGTACAATGTTATTAGATTATTCCAGCCACGTTGAGTCAGGCCTGCCTGGGGTCCTCTATCGGGAAATGATCTCAAGTGTCTGCAGGCAGTTGCTTGTTATGAGGGAATGGGAATCTGAACCAAAACCCAGGCTGGATGATGAGGGTAGTGGGGTAAACAGGAATGTTGTCATGCAGGGGAGGCTGGCCACGCCTCCTGATGCAGGCATCCAGGCCATGTGGGAGAATGTAACTAGCAGAGGCAGGGTGCCTGGAGAAGAAATAAAGAGCCTGTACCTGAGGAACCCCAGGATAGGGAGTGGGCTCTGCAGCAGTGGAAATGGGGATCACTAGTGGATTGATCAGGGTCTCCAGTTCTCTCTCCGGTAAGGTAGATTACTTTGAATGTTAAAGGGATGTGACTTTGTGTGTGTGACTGAGCTGGTGAAGCTGGTCATTCCAGTTGCACTGTCTTGGTTGGTTTTTTGTTTCTTTTTATTGTGGCTACTTTAACTGATTTACTTTTCTACCATGTGGCACACCCAGAAAAAAGATTAGCTTCTCAAGGTAAGATAGAATTGTGAAAGGAATTCTGCTTATTTTTTCTTACAGATGTTAACAATCAGATAGGGTCTGCCTGGATAGATCTCCATATTTAACACCTCCGGAAGCAACTCTTTATAAAATCAAAAGACCATTTGATGAATAAAAAACACAGGTTGCCAGCAATAAGGCTAACCAGAGGGTCTACAAAAGATCTAAAAATCCCACCAAAATCTTAAAATCTCTCATTTAAATAAATGGATGCATCTGAAAAATGCAGCTGGAATTTCTCTGATGCCAGGAGCAAAGCAGCACAGAAGTCCATGGAGGGCAGGGAGTAAACACTGAAGTTGCTCCACAGCGACCCACAGCCTCTGCCCTCACAGAGTGGTACTGCCCCACAGCAGTACCAGCAGACCTCAGAGATACTGTAGGTTCAGTTCCAGATTGCCTCAATAAACCAAATATCACAATACAACAAGTCACAAAAAAATTATTTTGGTTTCCCAGTCCATATAAAAGCTATGTTTACACTATACTGTAGTCTCAGTGTGCAATAGCATTATGTCTAAAAAAAAAATAATAGTTTAATTAATTAATTTATTTATTTAATTTGAGACAAAGTCTCACTCTGTTGCCCAGGCTGGAGTGCAGTGGCGCAATCTCGGCTCACTGCAACCTCTGCCTCCCAGGTTCAAACAATTCTCCTGCCTCAGCCTCTTGAGTAGCTGGGATTACAGGTGCCCGCCACCAGTCCCAGCTAATTTTTGTATTTTTAGTAGAGATGAGATTTTACCATGTTGGCCAGGCTGGTCTCAAACTCCTGACCTCAGGTGACCCGCCCACCTCAGCATCCCAAAGTACTGGGAATACAAGTGTGAGCCACTGCACCCGGCCCATACTTTAATTTAAAAATATTTTATTGCTTAAAAATTTGACAATCATCTGAGCCTTCAGTGGGCTGTAATCATTTTGCTGGTGGAGTGTCTGGCCTCCATGTTGATGGCTGCTGACTGATCGTGGTGGTGGGTGCTGAAGGTTGAGGTGGCTGTGGCAATTTCTTAGAATAAGACAACAGTGGAGTTTGCCACATAGATTGACTCCTCTTGAGCTAAAGATTTCTCTGTAGCATGTGATGCTGTCTGATAGCCTTTTACCCACAGGAGAACTTTCAAAATTAGAGCCGATCCTCTCAAAGCCTGCTGCTGCTTTAATTATTAATTTATGTAATATACTAAATCCTTTGTTGTCATTTCAACAATGTTCACAGCATATTCACCAGGAGTAGATTCTATCTCCAGAAATCACTTTCGTTCCTCATCCATAAGAAGCAACTCTTCATCTGTTCAAGTTTGATCACGCGGTTGCAGTAATTCAGTCCCATCTGTAGGCTCCACTTCTAATTCTAGTTCTCTTGCTATTTCCACCACATCAACAGTTACTTCCTCTGTTGAAGTCATGAACCACTCAAAGTCATCCATGAGGATTGACTTCTTCCAAATTCCTGTTAATGTTGATATTTTGATCTCTTCTCATGAATCACAAATGTTCTTAATGGCATCTAGAATGGTGAATTCTTTCCAGAAGGTCTTCAGTTTGCTTTGCCCATATCCATCTGAGGAATCACTATCTATGGCAGCTATAGCCTAATGAAGTGTATTTCTTAAATAATGAAATTTGAGAGCCAGAATTACTCCTCAGGCCGGGTGTGTGGCTCACACCTGTAATCCCAGCACTTTGGGAGGCTGAGGCGGGTGGATCACTTGAGGTCAGGAGTTCAAGACCAGCCTGGCCAACATGGTGAAACCCCATCTCTACAAAAAATACAAAAATTAGCTGGGTGTGGTGGTGCATGCCTGTAGTCCCAGCTACTCGGGAGGCTGAGACATGAGAATCACTTGAACCCAGGAGGCAGAGGTTGCAGTGAGCTGAGATCACACCACTGTACTCCAACCTGAGTGACAGAGCAAGACTCTGTCTCAAAAAAAAAAAAAAAGAAAGAAAGAAAGAATGAGAGGTCAGGTGCTGTGGCTCACGCCTGTAATCCCAGCACTTTGTGAGGCTGAGGTGGGCGAATCGCTTGAGCTCAAGAATTTGAGACCCTCCTGGGCAACATGGTGAAACCTGTCTCTACTAAAAATACAAAAATTAACTGGGTTTGGTGGCGTGTGCCTGTAGTCCTAGCTACTCTGGGGGCTGAGGTGGGAGGATCACTGGAGCCTGGGAGGTTGAGGCTATAGTGAGCCATGATCGCACCACGGCACTCTAGCCTGGGTAACAGAGTGAGACTCTGTCTCGAAAAAAAAAAAAAATGTGGATCAGATCTGCAATGCCCCAGACACCTGGAAGAAGCAGATGTAGCTCCCTGGAGGAATGTACCTTCTACCTAGGCATGAAAGAGGTGTGAAAGAGAAAGATTCAGCAATACAAACCAATCAGCCCTATAGAGACTTCAGATATGGGAGTTAACAGATAATATCTAGATAAAATATGGGGTTCCCAGCTAACTTGGAATTTCAGATAAGCAATGAATAAATCTTTAGTATAAGTATGTCCCACGCAATATTTTGGAGAAATTTATACTAAAACATTATTTGTTAATTACCTGAAATTCAAATTTAATTTGGTATTTTGTATTTGTGTTTTTATTATTTTTTTAAAAATTATATATTTTTTGAGACAGGATCTTACTCTGTTGCCCAGGCTGGAGTGCAGTGGTGGGACCATGGCTCACTGCAAACTTGACCTCCCAGGCTGAAGTGATCCTCCCACTCCAGCCTCTGAAAGCATTGGGATTACAGCCCTGCGCCACCACACCTGGCCTACATTCTGTATTTTTATTTTTTTTTCATTTTATTTATTTATTTTTTTTGAGACAGGATCTCTGTCTGTCACCCAGGCTGGAGTGCAGTGACCCAGTCTCGGCTCACTGCAGTCTCCACCTCCCCAGTTCAAGCAATTCTCATGCCTTAGCCTCTTGAGTAGGGATTACAGGCATACACCACCATACTCGACTAATTTTTGTATTCTTAGTAGAGACCAGGGAGACCAGGTTTCACCATGTTGGCCAGGGTAGTCTCAAACTCCTGACCTCAAGAGATCCACCCGCCTCGGCTTCCCAAAAGTGCTGGGAATACAGACATGAGCCACCATGCCTGGCCCATTCTGTATTTTTAATTGCTAAATCTGAGAACTTTAGATATAGACTGTAAAGTAAATATATCTAAGATATTTGAGAAATGAAAGGAATTGGAAAGAGAAGTGATGAGCAAGAAATGACTGGGTATATGTGAAAGAGGAGTAAATGGACCTTTTAGAAATGGAAATAATGTAAATCTAAAATGAAAACTAAATGGAAGATTCAGGAGTAAACATACTGATGCTGCAACTTACTTTGGTGTGCAAAATGTTGAGATTATGCATAGAGGGGTCAACAGTGGAAAGATATGTGATAAAACAAGGATAGTAAAATACTAATTGTAAAATATAGATGGTGGGTATATGGGAGTTTAATGTAATATTCTTTCAATTTATCCTTATTTTGAAAATTATCATAGTAGAATGTTGAAAAAAAGGCAGAAAAGTTAAACAGCATACTGGAAAAGTTTAAATACCGAACTAGAGGGTAAATTTGTAGCAATTTCAAAGACTGTAGCCCAGAAACAAGAAACAGAGACTACGAGAGACTGCTCACTATGGTGTGCATGTTCATGTTCCCCAGAAATTCGTACGTTGAAATCTCAGCCCCTAAGGTGATGGTGTTAGGAGGTGGAGACTTTGGGAGGTGATTAAGTCTTAAGGGCATACGATGAGATTAGTGCCTTTTAAAAAGAGGTCCCAGAGAGAGCCCATCCCACTTCTTCCCCTGTGAAACAGCAAGAAGACAGCCATGTATGAACCAAGAAACGGGCCCTCACCAGAACCTGACCATGCTGGCACCTCGATCTTGGACTTCCCAGCCTTCAGACCTGTGAGAAATAAATTTCTGCTGTTCATAAGCCACCCAGTCTATGCTGTTTTTGTTATAGCAGCCTTAACAAACCTAGACACTCATTAAGGTAAGTGCTTGTAGGCCAGTGTGGTGGCTTACCCCTGTAATCCCAGAATTTTGGGTGGCCAAGATAGTGGATCACTTGAGGATCACTTGAGGTCAGGAACTCGAGACCAGTCTAGACAACATGGTGAAACTCCGTCTCTACTAAAAATACAAAAATTAGCCAGGTGTGCTGTCGGTCACCTGTAATTGCAGCTGCTTGGGAAGCTGAGGCAGGAGAATCACTTGAACCTGGGAGGTGGAGTTTGCAGTGAGCTGAGATTGCGCCGCTGAACTCTAGCCTGGGCGACAGAGCAAAACTCCAACTCAAAAAAAAAAAAAAAAAAAGATACGTGCCTGCAAAGTGAGAAGTTGACATACATGTCCTACAAGTTCTCGGAGAAGGTAACAAAATGAGGAAGAGGCAATACTAAAGTAATAGTTGCTGAGAATTTTTCATAACTGATGAAAGACAGTAATTCACAGATTCAGAAATTCTTATAAATGCCAAGAAGGATAAATAAAAAGCAATTTGCTTTCTACTAGGAATTTACAAAGGATATATTTCACAAGGAAAAAAAGTGTTCCTGGAAAAAAGATCTGAAGTGTGGGTCATTCTAAACAAACATTGGTGGTTAGAAAGCAGTAATAATGTCTAATTTGTGGGGCTAAAAAGAACAGCAAGAGCACCTTTCATAGTTGAACAGATAAACTGTGGCACATCCAAACAATGGAATCTTGTTCAGCAGTAAAAATAAATGAGCTATCACGTCATGAAAAGACATGGAGAAACCTTAAATTCAGATTGCTAAGTGAAATAAACCAATCTGAAAAGTTTACATATTGCATTATCCCAACTATACAACATCCTGGAAGAGGCAAAATTATGGTGACAATAAAAAGATCAGTGGATGTCAGGGGTTAGCAGAGAGGGAAGGATGACTACGTGGAACACAAAAGATTTCTAGGGCAGTGAAAAATACCCTGTATGATACTACAATGGTGGACACATGTCATTATACATTTATCCAAACCTATAGAATATACAATACCAAGAGTAAACCCTGATGTAAACTATGGACTTTGGGTGAAAATGGTGTGTCAATGTAGGTTCATGGGTTACAGCACAGGTACTGCTCTGGTGGGGGATGTTTATAATGGGGGAGGCTGTGCACATGTAGGGGCAGGGAGTGTATGGAGAACCTCTGTACTTTCCTCTTTTTTTTTTTGAGACAGAGTCTCGCTCTGTCACCCAGGCTGGAGTGCAGTGGCGTGATCTCAGCTCACTGCAACCTCTGCCTCCTGGGTTCACGCCATTCTCCTGCCTCAGCCTCCCGAGTAGCTGGGACTACAGGCGCCCGCCACCATGCCCGGCTAATTTTTTGTATTTTTAGTAGAGACGGGGTTTCACCGTGTTAACCAGGATGGTCTCAATCTCCTGACCTCGTGATCCACCTGCCTCGGCCTCCCAAAGTGCTGGGATTACAGGCGTCAGCCACCGTGCCCGGCTCCTCTTTTTTTTTTTCTTTTTCTTTTTTTGAGACATGGTCTCATTCTGTTGCCCAGGCTGGAGTGCAGTGGTGTGATCTTGGTGCACTACAACCTCCGCCTCCTGGGTTCAAGCGATTCTCCTGCCTCAGCCTCCTGAGTAGCTGGGACTACAGGTGTCCGCCACCATGCCTGGCTAATTTTTGTATTTTTAGTAGAGGTGGGGTTTCACCATGTTGGCCAGGCTGGTCTCGAACTCCTGACCTCAAGTGATCCGCCCTCCTCGGCCTCCCAAAGTGCCGGGACTAGAGGCATGAGCCACCACACCTGGCCTGTACTTTCCTCTTAATTTTACTGTGAAACTAAACCTACTCTAAAAAAAAAAATGAAGTCTTTAAAATTAAAAAGAAAAGGAAAGACCTGGTTAGACCCAATGGCAGTGTAACCCTAGAAGGTGGTGGCTGGAATTAAAGGATTATTTGGTGTAAAGCTAAAGACATGAATTATCATTAGGTTTTGTTAAGGTAGGTGGTGCAAATTTCAAGGGTAACTACTACAAGAAAAAAGTTTTAGTGCATATCTTTAAAACTAGTAAAGGGCAAAATATGGAAAGGTTTTATGTTTAAAAACTAAATTTATGTTCTTTTTGCAGATAAAGAAATAAATTCCAGTATATCAGTAATAATAAATGTAAATAGAGTGAAAAATACAGTTAGTGATAATAGATTTTCACACTGGATGTATCTGCCCAGTTCCTTATCTGCAACTGACCATTTAGATAACCTACTCCCACTCCCATAGAAGAAAGGTAGAGTCAGGTAGAGGGAAAGGGAGATTTCTGCTCTATCAGAAGCCCTCTACAATGGAAACCAGAAGCTACAGAAACCTAATAACTTTTCCTGCTCTTAGGTTCTAGATATAGTTCTTTCTGTCTTTAGATTCTTTCACGAAGTTCAGTAAAAGGTGAATCCAAAAGTATTTAAAAACCTATAAAGGATGTAGGAATCAACCACATATTTTAAAATTTTTCTTAGAAAAGTATCAATATGCCCATATAGGGAAAAATGAAACTCTTGCTAAACACAACAGTAAGGCTGTGAATTTATGTAGCCTTACTATCTATTTCCATTTCTTTCCATTTTCTCATTTGTATTTGACAAATTCCATTTTTACCATTTTTAAGATACTCCCATCCATGAGCAATAAATAATATTTTCAACCATTTGTCAACAACATTAGGCTGGGCGAGGTGGCTCATGCCTATGATCCCAGCACTTTGGGAGGCCAAAGCAGGCAGATCACACCTGAAGTCAGGAGTTCAAGACCAGCCTGGCCAACGTGGTGAAATCCTGTCTCTAGTAAAAATACAAAAATTAGCCGGGCATGGTTGTGTGCACCTGTAATCCCAGCTACCAGGGAGGCAGAGGTAGGAGTATCACTGGAACCCAGGAGGTGGAGGTTGCAGTGAGCTGAGATCACACCATTGCACTCCAGCCTGGGCAACAGAGCCAGACTTCATCTAAAAAAAAAAAAGAAAAGAAAAAGAAAACAAACAAACAACAAAAAAAATCGAGAACATTGTAATACGTTATATTTCATGATGAGAACACAGGAATATGAAAATGTCTTCTACTATGTTTGGGGGGCGGAAAATGCTATAGATAACATTGTCCTTCACCTCTCTCTAGCAGCAATGTGGTTGGGGAAACTGAAACGACCTAAAGGGGGGTGGCCCTATTAGTCTACAGGTGTTCTTATCTTTCCTACCATGCCTTGTTTAAGAAGGGGCATCTTATTAGCTGAGTGTGGTGCCTGTGTTCCCAGCTACTCAGGAGGCTGAAATAGGAGGATCACTTGAGACAAGGAGTTCAAGGCTGCAGTGAGCTGTGATCACAACATTGTACTCCAGCCTTGGCGACAGAGTGAGACCCTGTAGCTAAGTAAAATAACATTTAATGTAATTTAAAAAGAAGGGGCTCATGTGACTGATGAAAAGTTGCACCGAAGGTTTGCTGGGAAGTTTCTTCCTTGCACTTAAGGGAGATCACTGGAAAAACAGACTTATTCTCTTTCTGTGGATGTGGCGAAGAAACATGTGGCCTCAACTTTTTTTTGAGATGGAGTCTGGGTCTGTCGCCCAGGCTGGAGTGCAATGGCATGATCTTGGCTCACTGCAACCTCCACCTCCTGCGTTCAAGCAATTCTCCTGCCTCAGCCTCCTGAGTAGCTGGGATTACAGGAATGTGCCATCATGCCCGGCTAATTTTTGTATTTTTAGTAGAGACAGGGTTTTGCCATGTTGGCCAGGCTGGTCTCAAACTCCTGACCTCAAGTGATCCTCCCGCCTCAGCCTCCCAAAGTGCTGGAATTACAGGCATGAGCCACTGTGCCCGGCCTAGCTCCAACTTTTATCAGGAGTCATTCTGCCCAAAACACCTCCAAGGCCCACTGGACTTCACCAGCTAGCCTAATCAAGGTTTAAGCCAGTTTGTTTTAAAGTTAAGCCAATTTGTGTTCGATCTTCTCTCACTAGGAGTTAAAATGTCTCTAATTTATGTAATAATTACGCCTTCACATTAAGACATTATTGAAGCATTCTACTATGAATCTACTACTGAGAAAGCACACCTGCTTCTATTTATTTATTTATTTTGAGATGGAGTTTCGCTCTTGTTGTCCAGGCTGGAGTGCAATGGTGCAATCTTGGCTCACTGCAACCTCGGCCTCCCAGGTTCAAGCAATTCTCCTGTCTGAGCCTCCTGAGTAGCTGGGATTACAAGCATGCACCACTATGCCTGGCTAATTTTGTACTTTTAATTGAGACGGGGTTTCTCCATGTTGGTCAGGCTGGTCTCGAACTCCCAACTTCAGGTGATCTGCCCGCCTCGGCCTCCCAAAGTGCTGGGATTACAGGTGTGAGCCACGGTGCCCGGCCGAGCATGCCTGCTTCTTAGTGAGTTTGGAAAGTTTCGCAAGAACTGCTTGGCTTGCATATTAATGAAATGAGAATTAGCAGATTTCCCCCTATGGTTTCAAGTATATGTGAGACTCATTGTATGGCAAATACTGCTAGTTGCCCACCCAATATCTGCTTTCTCCTTCTTCCTTACTAACAAAACTCAATTATGTTATGGATAGCAAAATGTGCCCTTGAGATGACATACTCCCGTTTCTCCTGTATCTATGGAGAAGATCTTACATCAGTGAGATGTACGCAGAAGTAATTGGGTAGGACTTGCAGGGAAATTCTTCAAAAGGAGGGCAGACCCTGATAGGCCCCCTTTCGCTTCTTGTACCTTCTTGCTTTCTGGAATGTGGATGTAAGGTTTGGAACTCCAGGAGCATTTGGACAATGAAGCAACCTTGTGAATGGAAGTCACATGTTAAAGATGTGGACCAGAAAGATAGAAAAGGCCTGGGAACTTGATGATTGTGGAGCTGCCACCCCAGTTGTGAGCTCCCTGCCTCTGAGTTTCCATTACATGAAAAAGAACAAACCTGGCCAGGCACAGTGGCTTACGCCTGTAATCCCAGCCCTTTAGGAGGCCGAAGCAGGTGGATCACCTGAGGTCAGGAGTTTGAGACCAGCCTGGCCAACATGGTATAACCCTGTCTCTACTAAAAATACAAAAATTAGCCAAGTGCCTGTAGTCCCATCTACTCGGGAGGCTGAGGCAGGGGAGTCACTTAAACCCTGGAGACAGAGGTTACAGTGAGGCGAGATCACACCACTGCACTTCAGTCTGGGCAACAGAGTGAAACTCAGTCTCAAAAAAAAAAAAAAAAAAAAAGAAAAAGAAAAAGAATAAACCTGTATCTTGTCTGATCCACGTTTTGATTTTCCATTATGTGTGCCAACAAAATCTAATCCCAATTAATGTGTGGTGTGCCACAGTTAAGAATAAAAACTCTGGAGTCAGATCTGAAATAGAGATCTTACTGTGCAACTGCTTAACTGTGTAACCTTGGGCAAATTAATGAACTTCTCTAAGCCTCAGCTCATCATCTATAACAGGGATCGTGGATGGTACCGACATGGTGGGACCGTTGTAAGGATTAAGTGAGATAACACATGAAAAATGCTTAGTGCAGTGCCTGGCACAGACATTCAGCACTTACCAGTGGTATATCTGTTGTTTCCAAACAAATATAGAGGCTAGCTAAAGGCAGCACAGATATTATAGGGAGAAGCAAAGAAGAAGTTGGTGGTCTCTAATCTAAACTAAGCCCTTGGCACCCATGTTACCCTATCTGTGTATCTTTTGTCATCCAGCTCTATCATTCCTCACACTCCCAACACTTTCTCTCCAGACCTTGCCTACACTCAAGATTCCTACTCCTCTTGGTATATGACACTGCCTCCCACTTCACAGAAAAAAATTGAATTATCAGGAGCGAAACCCCTGAATGTCCTGCCCCCACACCAACTAACTTCCTCCCAAGGCATTTCTTCTGCCCAAAGCTAATCCTTCCATCTGTGCTTTCGTGGCAGTTCCTCCCATCAACTCAGAGATGTGGACTCATCGTACCCTACCTTGCCCTTGTGTCCCAGCTTACAGATGTGCTCGCATCTCTGCTATCTTACAAAAACCAAGACAAGACAAAATACTGTCCCTCTTTGAGACGTAGTACTGTAAGGATTGACCCTTCTTTCTCCTGCCCCTCCTAGCCAACCTCTTTATTGAGAGAAAGTCTATATTCATTCTATCCACTGTCAGTAGCACAGGCCGCTATTTACTAAATATTTACTCTGCGCCAGATTATATATATACTCTTCAATCTTCAAATCAATAATACAAAGACTATCACTGTTTTGTATGTGAATGAGGTACTTGAAGCTCAAAGAGATTGAAGTGTCTCATTCTGGTTCAAACAGCAAAAATGTGACAGAATCAAGATTGCAACTCTAGTCTCTCTGAATGCAGTTCATGTTATTTGCATTCTCTCAGTAGTTCCCAAACCTGCCAGGGCATCAAAATCATCTAGAGGTCGGATAAGGAAAAAAAACCAACAGATTCTTGGGTCTCACCCCAGAGCTACCAAATTATAGTCCCTTCACGAAGAGCCCAGGAATCTTAACCTTTGCAGCTTGTGGGTGGATCTGATACAGCCCCACTGACATAGGGCTTCCCCATGCTGCCTCTCACCCTTGCACTCCTCACTTCATCCCAGTTTGGCTTCTAGTTTCACTCTTCAAACCAGATTACCTTCCCGAGACCTCCTCATGGCCAGATCCACCAGGCATTCTCCAATCTTTGTCTTGCTTGACTTGTTAACAGTGTTTAACAAGCTGACTAATTTCTACCTTTCTTTGGTTTCCAGAATACCATGCTCTACTCTTGGATTTCCTCCTTTCTTTTTGATCTTTCCTACTCTTTGTCTTTCAGCCACCTTCTAAATGTTGGCACCCCCACCTTGGTTTCTAACTTCACTCTCTTCTCACTTCAAACACCATGCTTGGGTGATCTCATCCACTCCCATGGATCTAATTACTATTTGTATATTAATGACTCCCAAACTGGTATTTCTAGCTTCTCTCATGGCCACTGGATCTATTAGTTTGTATATGAGGAATTGCCAGTTGAGTGTCACTTAGATCCCCTAACTCAACAGGTTCATAATGGAATTCATGATCTTTCTGCTCGCAGGTCTGGCTCCACAGGTGCATTAGATGGCTCAGGCTGCCAGAACAAAATGCCATAGACTCAGTGGCTTAAATAACAGAAATTTATTTTCTCACAATTCTGGAGCCTGGAAGTCTGAGATCAGGGCATCTGCGTGTTCTGGTGAGGGCTCTCTTCCTGGCTTGCAGACAGCTGCCTTCTCATGTATGCTCACATGGCCTTTCCTCGATGCATGCTCATTGAGAAAGTGTAGTTTACTGTCTCTCCCTCTCTTCATTTTTTTTTTTTGAGATGGAGACTCACTCTGTCATCCAAGCTGGAGTGCAGTGGCGTGATCTCAGCTCACTGCAACCTCTGCCTCCTGTGTTCAAGCAATTCTCTCCTGCCTCAGCCTCCTCAGTAGCTAGGATTACAAGCGTGTGCCACCATGCCTGGCTAATTTTTGTATTTTTAGTAGAGATGGGGTTTCACCATGTTGGCCAGGCTGGTCTCGAACTCCTGACCTCAAGTGATCCACCTGCCTCAGCCTCCCAACGTGCTGGGATTACAGGTGTGAGCCACTGAGCCCGGTCTCTCTCTCTTCTGATAGGGACACAAGTCTTATCGGATTAGGATCTGCCCTTATGACCTCATTTCACCTTAATTACCTCCTAAAAGCCCTATCTCCAAACATAGTCACATGGAGAATTAGGGTTTCAACATATGAATTCTAGGGGAACACAAATATTCAGAACACAGCAACAGCTGTGCAACAGTGTAGCCACACTGCACGGTTGTTGGGTCACACCCTGTGCTCAGAAAGTCCCCATGCCTGACGTTTGATGCCCTTTGATAGCTGTTTTGAAATGCTTCATAATGTTATCTTTGAGTGTGTGTTTTGTCAGTGAAGTCCTATGGCACAATGGAGAGTGTGCTGGGTGCTTGGAGCTTCAGTTGACATACCATCCCTGTACCTCTGGGACAGGCTCTCAGCCCACTGCTCCTGCCCCCTGGCACCACACGGCTCCCCTCCCCATCCCCTGTGACTGCTGCCACCTTCTGCACCCCCTGGGGTGGAGTCCTGGGCATGGGTTGGGCACACGTACACTGTGGTATCTCAGGGCAAGGCATAGCAGTGGCCATCCAGTCCCAGGCTGGAGGTGCCATGGCACATTCAGGGTGCAGTTAAGCAAGGGAAAGCCTGTTGCCCACCACTATCCAGGTGCCTCGCATCGGCCTGGCACAGAAGTAGCAATACTCTTGACAGCCACCCATCTTCTGTGGGTTGGGACTACAGGCGACGGGGAAGGAGAGATGCCTGGCTTGACTTATAGGAACGTTGGTCCCTGGCTGGCAGAAGCTGGGAACCTACTAGCCCTGTGCTCAATCGTGAGGTATGGGCCTCAGGAGTCTGTGAGGGTCTGACTCACCCTACGAATATCTGTGTCCAAGGGAGGACAACCTTAAATAGGAAGTGAAGACCACCATGACAAGCCAAAAGACAGCGGTCATGGAAGAAACGGAAAAGAGTTTTTCCTGCATTTTCAGCAAGGGGTCTTTTAAAGAAAAACCTAAAAAAAATTTTTTTTAACAGACACAGGGTCTCACTATGTTGCCCAGGCTGGTCTTGAACTCCTGGGCTCAAGTGATCTTCCTACCTTGGCCTCACAAAGTACTGGGATTACAGGCATAAGCCACCATGCCTGGCCTCAACAAGATCTTGCATTTTTATTTCGCATTGGACCATGTAAATTTATGGTGGTGGCCCTGATCCTCCTCTTCTTTTTTCCTTCTCAATGATGCTACCCATCCAATCACTAACACCAAATCCACCAAAATGATCCTCCACATTCTCATGTCTCCTATCCCCCTCCCTGCACCCAGAACTCTATAGTCTATTTTCTAGATATTTCTAACATCTTCATTTCCAAATGCCATGGGCTTAGTTCAGATAACAAAAAGAAATTTGGAATTATCCTGTTTTTGATTAAACCACCCAAAAGACTCCCCCCAACATCATATAGAAAAGAAAGAAAGAAACAACCGTTCATGCTTAGTTTGTCATTTGGGGTGACTGGTTGTGGAAATGACCTCAGATGGATGACTGTGGAAGATATTGTCTAAGAAGACTGAATTCATAAGACCAGGGAGCACTTAGGACCCGTAAAGATCTGGCTCAGACATTAAAAAAATATCAGCCAAGGGACACCAATAATTTTTTACCTAAAATATAATTTATAGAACAACTATGGTATTTTTAAGACCATCATTTATTAAAATTAATTACTAACTAAATCCCAAACTTTCCTTCCGCTGCTTGGGCCACTGAAGCTGTCTTGGGCAGGACAGAAGGTTTAAAGTGGAGAAAGGCCATATGGCTGCCATGAACATTTGTGGGTGTTAAAGCGTCCTTTTATGGGCCAACTGGCAACTGGCTTGTGGGTGTGTCTGGTTGGCATGAAGGTGTGGGAGTACACCCAAAAAGTCCCCTCAGGCAGTCTTCCTAAAACATCACTGTCTCCACATCCCTTGCCTGCTGAACACCCTTCAGTAGCGTCTCAATTTTATTTACTTATTTTTTTGAGACAGAGTCTCACTCTGTTGCTCAGGCTGGAGTGCAGAGGCACGATCTTGATTCACTGCAACCTCCACCTCCCGGGTTCAAGCAATTCTTGTGCCTCAGCCTCCCAAGTAGCTGAGATTACAGGCATGCACCACGCCTGGCTACTTTTTTGTATTTTTAGTGGAGATGGAGTTTTGCCATGTTGGCCAGGCAGGTCTCGAACTCCTGACCTCAGGTGATCTGCCTGCCTTGGCCTCCCAAAGTGCTGAGATTACAGGCATGAGCCACAGCGCACAGCCGCATCTCAATTTTTTGCAGGTTACAGCCCAGCCTATTTAGGAAGCTGTTCAAGACCCTCCACCCTTACCCTTCCCTTACTCTGCTGATATTTGATGTCACCATCTCTCGATACCAGCTTGCACAGAACTGGAGCCAGTTTCCTTCCTGTGTTCCAGCCTTGCTATTCTTTTACCTACCTCGAAAGTCTCTTCACTCATTTGATAATGTGCATTCTATCCAACTGAAGTTCTGACTCCATTTTTATTTGATTTAATATACTTTTTAGGCCGGGCGCGGTGGCTCATGCCTGTAATCCCAGCACTTTGGGAGGCCGAGGCAGGCGGATCACGAGATCAGGAGATCAAGACCATCCTGGCTAACATGGTGAAACCCCATCTCTACTAAAAATACAAAAAATTAGCCCGGAGTGGTGGCGGGCGCCTGTAGTCCCAGCTATTCGGGAGGCTGAGGCAGGAGAATGGCATGAACCTGGGAGGCGGAGCTTGCAGTGAGCCGAGATTGGGCCACTGCACTCCAGCCTGGGTGGCAGAGGGAGACTCTGTCTCAAAATAAAAAAAAAAAAAAAAAAAAATATATATATATATATATATGTATATATATGCCTTTTAAAAGCATTACTGCTGGATGCGGTGGCTCACACCTGTAATCCCAGCACTTTGGGAGGCCAAGGGGGAGGATCACTTGAGATAAGGAGTTCGAGACAAGCTTGGTCAACATGGTGAAACCCCGTCTCTACTAAAAATACAAAAATTAGCTGGGCATGGTGGTGCACGCCTGTAATCCCAGCTACTCAGGAGGCTGAGACATGAGAATCACTTGAACCGGGAGGCGGAGGTTGCAGTGAACAGAGATTGTGCCACTGCATTCCAGCCTGCACAACAGAGCAAGACACTGTCTCAAAAAAAAAAAATACAGAAAATTAGCTGGGCATGGTGGCACATGCCTGTGAGGAGGCTGAGATGGGAGAATCACCTGAGCCCAGGAAGTGGAGGCTGCGGTGAGTCGTGATTGCATCACTGCATTCTAGCCTGGGTGACAGTGAAAACCCCGTCAAAAAAAAAAAAAAGGTATTATTATGCATCAAGCAGCATTTGCATGCTTTACATATATGGATTACTTGTCCCTATGACATAGAGACTATTATCAATTGCCAACTTATAGATGAAGTTAATCAACTTCCCCAGGACACAGAGCCAGCGTTCTAACCCAAACAGCTGCTCTTGACCAGTGTCCTTGCTCTCCCCGCCTGCCCAGTGCTGCCTCCAGCAAGCCTTCATGCCCACTCCAGGCCTTCGTGCATTCTTGTTTGTCTGTTTGTTTATATTTGAAAATGTCAGGAATTTCTTTCCTGACACATCGTTAAAGGTCCCTTGCATCTTCTTGCTTTCTGGGTATCTTTGCTTTGTGCTATCTTAAAAACCTTGGAGCAAGCGTATTACACATAATTCTACATACAGATTGACAGATGCCTCCATGAGTTAAAGGAGAGAGACAAAAAAATAAACAAGAGCTTAACACTTCTCATGGTTCGTTAGCACAAAATTACATTTTGTGCATTTTTTCAATGGCGAGATCATAGGGGATCAGTTCCTGCAGTGGCATGTGCGTCAGGCTTCAATCACAGATTAGAAACTGCTCTGGGTATCTTAAACAGAAAAGGAATTTAATCCAAGGAATTAGATGCTTACAGAAATGTTTGCAGTTGGAAAAGCAGGCTTTAGGCTGGACCTCTAGGAATGAGTCTCAGAATGACAGGGCCCAAGTGACCCTCTGCTTTTCCCGTAAGTGGCCTAAGTTAATCTCTGAAAATGGTGCATTACTCACTTGACCCAGAAAACTCCACAAGATTGCACAAATCCAATCTTTGTGTTCACTTCAGGAATACCAGTGAAACTGCCCAAGCCACCAAGGCTTTACCTATACCAAAAGCTACCCAGTATCTGAAAGATGCCGCAATATAGAAGCAATGTGTGCCATGCTGCCTTACCATGGTGGAGTTGACAGCAGTGCCCAGGCCAGACCGTGGGGGTAATGCAGGGTCAGTGGCCCAAAAAGAGTGATGAATTATTGCTGTCCCAAGATGCAGAGAGTAATGCTGACCTTAAGAATTTGTATGTAGATTCTCTAGTCATTGAGCACATGAAGGCGAACAAAGCCCCCAAGATGCCTATCAAACTGAGAGAGCTCACGGTCAGATGAGCCTCTTGACATTCTGAGATGACCCTTCCTGAAAAAGAACAAATTGTTCCTAAACTGGAAGAGGAGGTAGCACAGAAGAAAAAGATATGCCAAAAGAAACCAAAGAAACAAAAAGTTATGGCTCAGGAATAAATCCAGTAACATAAATGCAAATAAAAGTAAACTGCCTGGCCGGGCACGGTGGCTTACACCTGTAATCCCAGCACTTTGGGAGGCCAAGGTGAGAGGATTACCTGAGGTCAGGAGTTCGAGACCAGCCTGACCAACATGGTGACCCGTCTCTACTAAAAATACAGAATTAGCTGGGCGTGGTGGCACATGCCTGTAATCCCAGCTACTTGGGAGGCTGAGGCAGGAGAATTGCTTGAACCCGGGAGGCGGGGGTTGCAGTGAGCCGAGATCACGCCATTGCACTCCAGCCTGGGCAACAAGAGTGAAACTCCATCTCAAAAAAAAAGGAAACCACCTGGCTACTTCATCATTACTGGAAACTTTTGGAATCAGGACACCACCATGCAAAACGCAGGCTCTAGGACAGACATGGTTGACATTTGGGACAGGATAATTCTTTGTAGAGGGGGCTGTCCTGTGCATTATAGGATGTCTCACAACATCACTGGCTTCTACCCACTAGATACAGATAGCACACCCTCAGTCACAACAATAAGAAATGTCTCCAGGCCAGGCACTGCGGCTCATGCCTGTAATCCCAGCAATTTGGGAGGCTGAAGCCGGAGGATCACTTGAGCCCAGGAATTCAAAACCAGCCTAGGCAACATAGGGAGACTCCATCTCTACAAAAAAGTTTTAAAAGTTAGCCAGGCATGGTGGCACGCACCTGTAGTCCTAGCTGCTCAGGAGGCTAAGACGGGGAGGATTGCTTGAGCTGGGGAGTTTGAGGTTGCAGTGAGCTATGATTGTACCACTGCACTCCAGCCTGGGTGACAGAGGAAGACCCTATCTCAAAAAAAGAAAGAAATGTGTCCAGACTTTGCTAAATGCCCCCACTGGGAGCAAAATAGCCCCTGGTGGAGGATCTCTTGTATAGAGCATCATAAGCTTAGCCTGTCGGGAGTCCCGGGGGGCTGCTACCATATTGCTTTCACAGATTTTGAAGATCAGGAACACACTGCCTTGGCTGTGTCCTGTAGATCAGCAACACCACTGCAACAGTCAGCTCCAAAGCCGTGCTGCACCTGCTGCAATTCACACCCACGAAACCAATGCCTGCTGCCTTTCTTCCCACTTGACTCAGTTGCATATCCACTTCTGAAAAAAGAGGCATCTGATTGGTGGAAACTGAATCCCATCCAGACCCCCAGCTGCAAGGGAGTCTGGGAAGAATCATGTTTTAGCTTTCCTGTTTTTGCAGTGCAAGAAGGTACCCTAGAAGAGAGGTTGAAATAAGTATTGAGAGAACCAATCTACCGTATCGGCTATGGCATGTCAACTTTTTGTTCTTGTCAAATGAAGCGGGTAACGTGGGAATGTTAATCTATTTGAATGGAAGTGTTTTGAAAAGAAAGGTGGGCGGGGTAGAACAGCCTACCAGTGTCTATCATCAGGAACAAGATACTTTCTAGCATATCGTATTTTATACTCACTGTCTTAATCAGTCGTCTAAACATTAGCAATTCTACCCTGTGATTTCATTTTACATGTGTAAATGTCTTGTCTCCCTAAAAATTTGCAAGTTCTTTAAGGTTAGGACTACTCCCTTCTTTTATTATTATTATTATTATTATTTTAAGACGGAGTCTCACTCTGTCACCCACACTAGAGTGCAGTGGTACAATATTGGCTCACTGCAACCTCCGCCTCCCAGGTTCAAGTGATTCTCCTGCCTTAGCCTCCTGAGTAGCTGGGATTACAGGCACCTGCCACCATGCCAGCCTAATTTTTTGTATTTTTTTTTTAGTAGAGATGGGGTTTCACCATGTTGGCCAGGCTGGTCTCGAACTCCTGACCTCTAGCAATTCACCCACCTCGGCCTCCAAAAGTGCTGGGATTACAGGCTTGAGCCACTGGGCCCGGCACTCCCTTAATTCTTGAGCATAGTTATAGGCATATTGCCGATATTCTGTAAGAATTATTAAACATTCTTTAAGTTGCACTAACCATCAGAAACAGAGTCAGGAATACTTCTAGCCACCACTCTTTAAACAGGATTTGAGAGTCCCTTTCCTATCTGTTAGGATCATTTTTAACTCTCATAACTTGGAATCTTTATGGGATCTTTAAAATACCAGTTGTTGTCATAGAATCTGAATTGAGAAATATGTTGGGGGTTAAGAGTTTAAGAATTTTTAAAAATACATTTATCTTAAATATGTATTGCTATTTCTCCATTTCCAGTCACCATGGAGCAACCAGGGCCGCATTTACCCTTCCACCTGAAACAACAGCAACCACAAAAAACAGACATAATATACAAAACATTGGTTTTCAAGATGCTGGACATCAGGTAATGAAGGACAGTGACTCCTGTGAGATAGGAGGGAAATGAGCTGACCCTACAATTGCCTCAGCCTGTGAGGGTTCCCAGGCCAGGGCACAGGCAAGAGAGACTGAGGCAGAGCCCAGGGGATTCCCTGGGTCAGGGAGACGGAGCTGAGAATGGAGAAAGGCCACAGGGACTAAAGTTCTTGGGGCAAAGTCCCAAAGAAGAGAGAGCTGCGTGGAGAGAGGGAGAGAGCTCAGAGATCTGCAGAGGGTCTTCCTGAGCCTTCACTGAGTGCTGAGCAGTGCGGATGTGCCAGGGAACGATCAGACGCTGGGGACAGAACCACCCAACAGAATTCAAGATAAGAGTGCTCAGTGCTGACACGGGACCAGGACCAGGGTCTGTTTCCACCAGCCAGAGCAGAAGCCTGAAGAGTCCCAGACACCAGGGAGGCTTCCCAGAAGAAACTAGCCTCAGCAGTGAGGAATAATTAGCCTAGACTGAGCACAGCGCCAGAATCCCCCACCAAATCATGACAGCAACCCGAAGGGATTGAACTGTTTCCAACAAACTTAACTGCATCGCAGAACAAAGCACACAATTATTTATAGGAACACAAACATATCCAGCACCCAGCGAAGTAAAATTCATGGTGTCTGACATCCAATAAAAAATAACCAGTCATGCAAAGAAGGAAAATATGACCCATAGTAAGGAGATAAATACATCAATCAAAACTGACATAGAACTGACACAGAAGCCAGGATTAGCAGACAAGGACATTAAAACAGTTATTATAACTGTGTTCCATATGTTCAAAAAGTCAAGGAGAGACATATTTGCCTTTTTGCTTTTTTTCTCTGCTGAATAATTCTGTCCAAAAACTAAGATCACGGAGGCTCAAGTCGATCTGCCTGGTTCAATTTCCAGCTCTGAGACTTACAGGCTCTCATACAGTGTAGCCGGGGCTGGGGCTGGACACAGTGTCTGAGCTCTGGCAGGGTGAGGAGGTGCAGGTATTAGGAGACAGAGCACACACCCAAGCGTGGCCTGATTCAAAAGTAAATATGCATATTCATGGCTGGGCGCCGTGGCTCACGCCTGTAATCCCAACACTTTGGGAGGACGAGGCGGGTGGATCACTTGAGGTCAGGAGTTTGAGACCAGCCTGACCAATGTAGCGAAACCCCATCTCTATGTGGTTTGTAAAAATACAAAATTTAGCCAGGCGTGGTAGCGAATGCCTGTAATCCCAGCTACTTGGGAGGCTGAGGCAGGAGAATCGCTTGAACGCGGGAGGCGGAGGTTGCTGTGAGCCAAGGTCACACCACTGCACTCCAGCCTGAACAATAAGAGCAAAAATCCTTCTCAAAAATAAAAAAATACAAAAGTAAATATACATATTCAGAAAAATAGGAGCAGCTTTCTAGGGATCAGAAAAGGGAGATACAAAATGAGAAGGGAGAAATTAGACTGAATTAGAGATATTGGGCTTTGCATGGTGGCTCACCCTTATAATCCCAGTGCTTTGGGATGCTGAAGTGGGAGAATTCCTTGAGCCTAGGAGTTTGAGACCAGTTTGGGCAACATAGTGAGACCCGGTGTCTACAAAAAATGTAAAAAATTAGTTGGATGTGGTGGCGTGTGCCTGTAGTCCCCGCTACTTGGGAGGCTAAGGTGGAAGGATCGCTTGAGCCCAGGAGGTTGAGGCTGCAATGAGCTGAGCTCATACTACTGTACTCCAGCCTGGGCATCAGAGTGAGACCCTGTCTTAAGAAAAAAAATTAGAGATATTGGTGTGAGCTCATGGTTTTCAGTATATACAGATGGATAATAAAATAAATATAGATGTTGATGTGTGCACACGCACACACAGAGACACACACATTCCCCGGCTCTGTCCACCAAGCAGATCTAGGGGCAGCCTCACCGTCACCCTGACATGGAGACACTTCTGATTAGAGGTCAAAGAAGAGATGTGTCCAAAGAGGAGAAACCTCAGATCCAGTTATAACTTGGTAGTTTCGGGCAGCTTTTCTTCAAAGAATGTTTTTAATCTTTATAAGTCATAAAAACAAATCAAGTATGTCAATAAACACTACATTTCTACATTCGAAAAATTATTTTTATATACAGTAGCTTATTTATTGCATAGACAAATCATAGAAAAGTAATTACAGGCTTTGGGTTAGTCTTGGGATCCTATTTCAGCTCTAACATTCACTCACTTTGTAACTCTTGGGAACCACGTGATCTCTCTGAGCCTCAGTTTCCTCAAACATAAAACAAATATATTTACCTTCATAAGGTTTTATATTTTTAATTAGATTGTACAGATCCCCACCATGCATGGCATAAAGTAAATGCTCAGCAAATGATAGTTATCAGCACATTTGCACATGGTGTAAATTGGGCAGGTTTTTTTTGTTGTTGTTGCTTTTTTTTTTTCTTTTTTGAGATGGAGTCTGGCTCTGTCACCCAGGCTGGAGTGCAGTGGCACAATCTTGGCTCACTGCAACCTCCACCTCCCAGGTTCAAGCAATTCTCCTGCCTCAGCCTCCTGAGTAGCTGGGATTACAGGCACCTGCCACCATGCCTGGCTTTTTTTTTTTTTTTTTTTTTTTGTATTTTTAGTAGAGATGGGGTTTCACCATGTTGACCATGCTGGTCTCTAACTCCTGACCTCAAGTGATCCACCCTCCTCGGCCTCTAAAGTGCTGGGAATATAGGCATGAGCCACCACACCAGGCCAAATTGGGCAGTTTTTTCTGATTTTAGTTTAACGGGAGAAAAAAGACAAAGGTTGGCAAAGACGTCAGAGCAGAACATATGAATTCAGTTAACTATTTATTTATTTATATTGAGATGAAGTCTCACTCTGTCGCCCAGGCTGGAGTGCAGTGGCTTGATCTCAGCTCACTGCAACCTCCACCTCCTGGGTTCAAGCCATGCTCCTGCCTCAGCCTCCTGAGTAGCTGGGACTACAGGCACCCACCACCATCCTCCCAAAGTGCTGGGATTACAAGTGTGAGCCACCATGCCCAGCCACAAATTATTTATAAATAGAATATGCATGGAGGGAGGAAGACCTTCCAGAGGCAGGGAGAACAGGAGCAAATCCCCGGCGTGGGCAGTAGCAGGAGATATACAGGCTATACTGGCTGGGGCTGATGGTGGCAGAGGTGCAAGGAGGCACGAAGGAAGTGAGGATCCAGAGGATCTGTGCCAGGTTATGTGGGCTAAACTAATACAGGCTGAACTAAGCCAAAGAACTTTGGCCCGGCCAGGCACGATGGCTAACACCTGTAATCCCAGCACTTTGGGAGGCTGAGGCAGATGGATTGCTTGAGTCCAGGAGTTTGAGACCAGCCTGGACAACATGGCAAAAGCCTGTCTCTACGAAATTTTTTTTTTTTAAAAGCCATGCACCTGTAGTCCCAGCTACTCGGGAGGCTGAGGCAGGAGGATCACTTGAGTCCCGGAGGTCAAGACTGCAGTGAGCCAAGATCACATCACTGTACTCCAGCCCGGGCAACAGAGTGAAGCCCTATCTCAAGAAAACAAAACAAAACAAAACGAAACTTTAGCCATTATTGTGTTGCATGGACTCTCGTATTCATGATTTATAGCCCACTAGACCACACTTTGTCTAGATATCTCTTCATAGAGAGCAGCCTCTGATTTAGGGCAGTTATTCATTAGATTGTGCTGTGTCCAAGTCAGGAGCCCCCAGCTGCCCTTGGTTTCACGAATGAACACGACTTTTTGTTGTTGCTTGATGAGGCGTATTTAAGAGTGGGGAGCTATTGCTAACATGAGTAGAAGTTCTGTACATGTAAACTCCCTGGGGTGTTTCCCCAAGATTCACCGGCTGGGAAGATCCTGATGGGCAGCCTCTCCATAGGGGGACACATGCACATCTCAAGCACTCAAGAGGAATTCAGGCTCAGGGGACGCAACGCATGTCAAGAAAAGTATATGGTTCCAAAAAGGCTAAAGGAACTGGAAGTATTTAAAGATGGAATGATTTCAGGCAATAAACTCCCTCCCACCCAAACAACTAAGCAAGTAAAGGAATAATGTAAAGAGGGTGCTTGCACACCTCTTGCCCAAAATCTCAGAGATTCAAGATTTTGACATTTCTCCTTTTTTTTTTTTTTTTTTTTGAGACAGAGTCTTGCTCTATTGCTCAGGCTGGAGTGTAGTGGCACGATCTTGGCTCACTTCAGCCTCTGCCTCCCAGGTTAAAGTGATTCTCCTGCTTCAGCCTCCCAAGTAGCTGGGACTACAGGCACATTCCACCACACCCGGCTAATTTTAGTATTTTTAGTAGAGATGGGGTTTTGTCATATTGGCCAGGCTGGTCTCAAACTCCTGGCCTCAAGTGATTCACCTGCCTCAGCCTCCCAAAGTGCTGGGATTTCAGGGGTGGGCCACTGCACCCTGACATTTCCTCTTTGACTCTAATCAGAAGTGTTTCCATGATGGCGCGTGTGCAGTAGGACTTAAAGGACACTGCAGCTCCAGAGACTCCACCCTCAACTCAACAAAGACTTAGAATTAGCTTTACTGGTCATCGTAAAGGGTGGAACTTGGTCCTCCTTCCAGAGGGAGGGGTGGAGCTGGGCACTGTTTCTCCATCAATGTGTCTTGGCAGTTGGGATATTTAGAGATATTTAGAATGTATTATGATTTGGGGTCTGTATACTCCACTTTGAAAAATTCTGCACAGGGGGAGGAAGTACAGATAGGGGTAACTATTGTGGAGAGGAAAAAGAGGATATATAGCTCTAACAAGGAAGAAAGGCCTAAGGAGAAGGTGTTAGAGACTGGAATCAATGAAAGAAAGGCATGAGAAATCATTGAAAAATTAATAAGGGCTTGGCATGGTGGCTCACACCTGTAATCTCAACATTTTGGGGGCCGAAGAGGGCAGATTACTTGAGGTCAGGAGTTCAAGACAAGCCTGGCCAACATGGCAAAACCCTATCTTTACTAAAAGTACAAAAATTAGCCAGGCGTGGTGGCGGGTGCCTGTAACCCCAGCTACTCAGGAGGTTGAGGCCAGAGAATGGCTTGAGCCCGAGAGGCGGAGGTTGCAGTGAGCTGAGACACACCACTGCAATTCCAACCTGGGCAACAGAGTGAGACTCTATCTCAAAAAAAAAAAAAAAAGAAAAGAAAAGGAAAAAGGACAAGAAAAACACAATAAATATTCATTTTTAAAAACTGATGAGTTTTTACATCCATAAGGCTGTGCCTGAAAAAAATAATAATAAAAACAATTGATGAGTTTCTTAACATGAGTTACTCAGTGTTATGGGAGGCACCAGGGATACAGTAAATAACACAAAGCTGCCCTTGAGGAGCTCACATTTCCATGGGAAGTCAGACATCCATGCCATGAACTCTAATGCCATGGGTGGTCCTCCAGCATAGCTTTATGGGAATGTGAGTGGGGAGGAAGAAGCATCCACCTGCCTAGAGAGGTCAGGGAAGGCCTGAGAGCACCAAACACCTGGACTGAGGCCAAGATGGGCCCAGTGAGCCAGGTCCACCTGTCAATACAGAGTGCGGGTCCAGCTGTCAATATAGAGGGCAGGTCCAGCTGTCAATATGAAGGGTGGGTCCAGCTGTCAATACAGACGGTTGATCCAGCTGTCAATACAGAGTGAGGGTCCAGCTATTAATATATAGGGCAGTTCCAGCTGTCAATACAGAGGGTGGATCCACGTGTGAATACAGAGGGTGGGTCCAGCGGTCAATACAGAGGGTGGGTCCAGCTGTCAATACAGAGGGTGGGTCCACCTGTCAATACAGAGGGTGGGTCCAACTGTCAATACAGAGGGCGGATCCACCTGTCAATACAAAGGGCGGGTCCAACTGTCAATAGAGAGGGTGAGTCCACCTGTCAATAGAGAAAGAAGATTCACCCGTCAATACGAAGGGATCCACCTGTCAATACAGAGGGCGGGTCCACCTGTCAATACAGAGGGCGGGTCCACCTGTCAATACAGAGAGAAGATCCACCTGTCAATACGGAGGGAGAGTTCACCTGTCAATACAGAGGGCGGGTCCACCTGTCAATACAGAGGGCAGGTCCAGCTGTCAATACAGAGCAAGGATCCACCTGTGAGTACAGAGACAGGATCCACCTGTCAATACAGAGAGAGGATTCACCTGTCAATACAGAGGGCAGGTCCAGCTGTCAGTATAGAGGGAGGATCCATCCGTCAGTACAGAGAGAGGATCCACTTGTCAATACAGAGGGTGGATCCAGCTGTCAGTACAGAGGGAAGATCCAACTGTCAATACAGAGGGTGGGTCCAGCTGTCAGTATAGAGGGAGGATCCACCAGTCAGTACAGAGGAGGGATCCACTTGTCCATATAGAGGGCGGGTCCAGCTGTCAGTATAGAGGGAGGATCCACCTATCAGTACAGAGGAAAGATCTACTTGTCAATACAGAGGGCGGGTCCAACTGTCAATACAGAGGGCAAGTTCAGCTGTCAGTATAGGGGGAGGATCCACCTGTACAGAGGACGGGTCTAGCTGTCAGTACAGAGGGAGGATCCAACTGTCAATACAGAGGGCGTGTGTATTAGTTCATTTTCGCACTGCTGATAAAAGACATACCTGAGACTGGGTAATTTATAAACAAAAAAGAGGCTTAATAGACTTACAGTTCCACATGGCTGAGGAGGCCTCACAATCATGGTGGAAGGCAAAAGGCACGTCTTACATGAGGGCAAACAAGAGAATGAAAGCCAAGCAAAAGGGGTTTCCCCTTATAAAAACATCAGCTCGCATGAGACTTATTCACTACCAAGAAAACAGTATGGGGGAGACTGTCCCCATAATTCAATTATCTCCCACTGGGTCCCTCCCACAACACGAGGGAATTACGGGAGCTACAACTCAAGATGAGATTTGGGTGGGGACATAGCCAAACCATATCAGTGTATTGACCATTTCAGCTGTCAATACAGAGGGTGGGTCCACCTGTCAATACAGAGGGCAGGTCCAGCTGTCAATACAGAGGGTGTGTCCATCTGTCAATACAGAGGGCAGGTCCAGCTGTCAGTACAGAGAACGGGTTCACCTGTCAATAGAGAGGGCAAATTCAC
This sequence comes from Homo sapiens, assembly GCF_000001405.40. Classification (NCBI taxonomy): domain Eukaryota; kingdom Metazoa; phylum Chordata; class Mammalia; order Primates; family Hominidae; genus Homo; species Homo sapiens. Next base: position 42,111,278 of record NC_000008.11, read on the forward strand.
CTGTCAATACCGAGGGCCTTGTCTCAAAAAAAAAGTTTTTTTAGTGAAGAGCAAAAGTTTGGATTTTATTGTACTGTAGATACCCAATGGGGTTTTTGTTGAGGGGCAATGGTTTGAGATAAAGTCTCACTCTGTTGTCCAGGCTGGAGTGCAGTGGTGAGATCATAGCTCACTACAGCCTCAGACTCCTAGGCTCAAGTGATCCTCCGGTCTCAGCCTGGTGAGTAGCTGGGACTACAGGCATGCACCACCACACCCAGCTAATTTTTTAATTTTTTGTTGAGACAAGGTCTGACCATGTTGCCCAGGCTGGACTTGAACTCCTGGCCTCAAGTGATGCTCCCACCTCAACCTCCCAAAGTGCTAGAATTACAAACATGGGCCACCACCCAGCCCCAGTGGGGTTTTATTGAAGGATTTCCAGTAATGGAGTAAATCAGTCAATGCTTAGGGGAATGTGAAGGATTAACTCAAGTTGGGTAGGAATGCAGGCAGAGAGATCAGTTGAGGTGATGTTTGCAATAGAGCAGAAGAGAAATGACTAATGCTTTGGTGATGGGAATGGAGAGAAAAGAGCAAATAAAAGAAATATATAGGAGTTAGTTAGCCTGCCTGGGACATATGATGTGGGATAGGAGGCCAGGGAAAAGGGAGGAATGACTCCTGCAGAACATTCTCTCTGGCCTCATGGGGGCCTTTGTGGCCATTCCCCTGCTGCTTTCTGGATAGTGGATACACTTGATTTTCACTGATAGGGCTCTGATTCCATCATTTGGCACCAGATGCAATTTTGATCTACAAACTGCGCTCATTTTTTAGCAAGGTTACAGATGAGTTTGCAGCAACTGTCTCTACTCTACTGGCAGATAATTAATTCCTCTATATGGTCAGAAAATTAAGCCATGTAAGAACCTTTCAAATGGTCTCTCTGTCTTCATCATGTCTCTACACTGCCTTCTTGATTTTCCATTGTAGTGATTGAGGATCCCATGAAATTTAGGTTTTCTCAGAGAAGCAATAATCTTCATGAAGGATGAATTCCCTCAGATGCAATTCAAGTTATGTTCCTTAGCAACTGAGTGTAGCACAAGAAGACGACTGGGTCTGCATGTATGTGCAAGGCCAAATACTCTGCTGGCATAGTATAAGATGTGTCTAAGTGAACCACAGCAAGCTCCAGGGGACTCCACAAAACCTACTCAACCTGTGAGACCAGGTTGGAAGAGGTGTGGTTTCTTCTCATCCTGAGAAAACCAGCATTCCAGATGTGGATGCATTTGCAGCTCCATGGAGTGGTGCATGGTGACTGCAGCCGATTGGACCTCCCTGGTTTGCCTTCAGCCTTGTTGGATACCCTCTAAAAGTCTCTTTGGAAGAACCTGAACTTCTCCCCCAAGTGAATTTATTGCAGCAGTTATGTAGCACTTTAATCCATGCCATCTTTCATGAAATCCCACATGTAATTAGTTCCACAGATAATGGGACCAAGTGGCCACAAATAGTTTTAATTCATGGAAAGTATTTTATGAACACATACACCTCATGTTAAGTGGCTAGACTTGGACATAGACAACCTCCATTTGAAAAAAACCTCATTGATTCTATTTCTTTGCCTAGATGGGTATGTGAAACATTAAGTGGCTCTCAATTCCATGTTCCCACATTCAGACAATACCAGGATTTCATTCTATGCATTAACTTCTGGAAGCTTCTGGGAATTCTCTTAATTCCACCTGGTCAAAAGTCCTCTCTTCTCCCACAGGCTTTTCTTCAGATGGATTTGGCAGAGTTCTTCAGCTCCTATCTTCAGGGAATCCAGCTGAGCCCTAGACAATTTCTGGCCTCCTCTCTACCAGAAGCCCTGAGGTCATAGGAGGGGAGATTTGCTGGAATTCCCTCTCACTCACTCAGTTGCATTTCTTTTCTTGGCCAAAGGGTTTCTTCCCATGGCTTCTCTGGAGACCCCTTGCCCTGGTCTTCCACCGCACTTCTTCAGTATGAGTTCCATTTACAGTTGGGTTTCAAATATCTATTGTGTCAAGATGGTGTCAGTACCTCTTCACAATAGCTTTAATTTGCTAATTCTGAGTCCTGTCATCTCCCTAATTCCTGGAGCACAGATCTCTTCTCCTTTTTAGATCCAAGTTCACAAATCTTACAAGTACTTCTTGAGCAAAAACTCTACAGTATGGCTTTGTCTGCTTATTCACCTCACCTGCCAGGGCTACCATCTAACGAATGTCCTAGAACTCTGTTTATGTCATCTTAGAGCTCAGTAGGGGCTTGCCCCTGATACTGGTGCTCCCTGACCTCCTAGGCCTGCTCTAGGTACCTGGGCTGCTACAAAGGCTGGCTAGTAAACTCCTTCAGTCTGGTAAGGCTCAATGAAGTGATGAGTGGGACCCTGGTGTCTTAATCCATTCCTGCTGCTATAAGAAAATGCCACAGACTGGGTAATTTATAAATAATAGAAATTTATTTCTCACAGTTCTGGAGGCTGGGAAGTCCAAGATCAAGACACTGATAGATTCCGTGTCTGGTGAGGGCTGCTCTCTGCTTCTAAGATGGTGCCTTTTTATTGTGTTCTCTCATGGAAGAAGGGTTGGCAAAGTCAAACACACTTCCTCAAGCCGTCCCACGAGGGCACTGATCCCATGCATGAGGGTAGAGTCCTCATGGCCTAATCACCTCCTAAAGGCCCCAGCACTGTTTCACTGGGAATTCTGTTTCAACATGAATATTGGAGGGGACACAAGCATTCAGACCATAGGAGCTGGGTTACTGGTCCACATTTAGGGAACAACATCCAAATCCATGTCTACAACCCATCTGTTCAGATGGCTCTAGAGCAACTGAGTCAGCCTCAGCTTTACCTGCAAAGCTTGAAATATATGCATTTCACCACCCCCAGCCTCTGCCCTGGGATACATGTTGATTGAGCATGAGATCCAGTGGAATCAAGGACACCTTATGCTTCCCAGAGCTCACCAGATGTTAGAGGATTATGCATACATCTTTCAGTTGCTCCACCCTAAGAGCCTCTTCCAGGAACCTGCTTTTCCTTCTTTTACTCATAGGACTAAGATTCTGTCTTCTATCCCCTTCCTCAGCAGCTGCCACCTCCACTCTGGGTCAGGGATGTTTTTCTCTATCTTCTCTCTCCCCTAAAGCCTGCCAACCACTGGACCACAGTGTTCCTTACTCTCACTTGTAGAGCTGCCCCCTGGAATGAGCACATAGGACTTTAGGGCTTAATTTTTATTTGTTGCAGAGGAAACATGGAGAAGTTACAGCTGGAAGTTTGTCCATCAGAGGCTCCTGATCTAATGCACCTGAGAAGCTTTGGGGAAGGTGAGGCTTCACCTCAGCACTTTTATTTCCAGGGATGGGACTCACTACCTACCACCCTCCTCCATCTGACTAGTCCCTATAGGAGTGCCTTTTGGAAACCCCTTCCCCAACCCCAAATTGCAAACTGAACAATACATATTGCCTTGCTTCACAAAGGAAATGTGCATCTCTGGAATTATCTTTTGGGTGTTTTCTTACATTAAATATTATCAGCACTTTGTGGAGCCCCCTCCCTTACTAAAGGCCTCCCCCAGACTCTTGGGAGAGAAGCCATTCCTATCATTCTTACTATTCCCACCTGTGACTGGTAGAATAATGGTCCCCTACGATGTCCACATCTGTAATCCCAGAAGCCCAAGCCCTGATGTGTATGGGGTCTGAAACAAAAAGGATATGAAGTCTGTGGTTTAAACTGCAGTAGCTTTCAGCCTCAAAGTCACAGGTCATTAATTCATTCATTTATAAAAGACATTAAATGCCTATGATGACCCAGGGCTGAAATGAGGCCCTGGGTAGTATCTCCAATTGAGAACCATCTAGGATAGGGGTGTCCAATCTTGCTTCCCTGGGCCACATTGGAAGAAGAAGAATTGCTTTGGGCCACACATAAAATACACTAACAATAGCTGATGGGCAAAAAAACTGCAAAAAAAAACCTCATAGTGTTCTAAAAAAGTTTACAAATTTGTCTTGGGCCACATTCAAAGCCATCCTGGGCCGAATGTGGCCAGTGCACTGCGGGTTGGACAAGCTTGATCTAAAATGATGCAGGAATCACCTAGAATTTGGAGAAGAGTGTCTGGTCTTGAGGACTAGAGACTGGTAGGATCAGTCATCTGGGCTGAGGTTCAAGGCCGGGCTCCAACCTCAAAAGGCTACTCGGACCTTTTTCAAGGTGGATTGAAGATGAGGCTGCCTACAGAAAAGTTCAGAAAGGTTCAGAGAAGCATGCAACTTTCTCCCCTTCTCCATCCGCTGCCCCTGCCCACTACACCTGCAGGCTTAGAAGCCTAGCCCCCATCCACAAATGGGAAGAACACTCTCAATAGGCTTGCTTTTGAAGGCTTGTGACCTATTCTAAAATCTATTGCTGCACAATAAACCATCCCAAATCCATGGTGTAAAATAGCAGCCATTTGATCACACTCTTAGATCGTGTGCATCAGGAATTCAGCCAAGGCACGAGAGGGACAGTGCTCCACCTGGTCCCGTACCTCGGCAGGATTCAAATGGCTGAGGGCTGGAATTGTTCAGTGACTCTTTCCTTTATATGTCTGGTGCCTGGGCTGGGCTAACCAAAGGCTGGACTCAGCTGCGACCATCAACTAGAGCATCTACCTATGGCCTCTCCATGTCACGTGGGCTTATCACATCATGGGGGCTGGGATTCAAAGTGAAAATCCTGAGAAAGCAACTCTGAAGAGCAGGGGTTTTGGGGAGCTGGAAGCTGCTGGCCCTTACTGAGCTGGTGAGGTGAGTGAGCAGGTCTATGAGCAATGGAGGGTTCATGGAAGGACAGAGAATACACAACCCCTGTCCTCCAAAATATGGCCTTTGGGGTCACTCCAGAGTGTCCCTAGGTGACCATAGCTGGCCCAGGAAATGTTCATAGCTATGGCCACCAAACTGAATGCCCACTAGAGAATGCCATCTCAGAGGAGGACTGAAAACGGCGCTAGTCTTGGCCGGAGCAGGGATTCTTGTGTCAGGCCTCAATCATCCGTGTGCTCAGCTCCATTTGCCACCTCCTATTCCTCTACTCCTTATTCCCCATGCCCTACCCACCTCTAAGTTAAGTCCTGGGGACTTCACCTGTTTACCTGTGTGCAGGGCTCTGAGTCCCGCAAGCACTATTCGAGGCTTAGTTCTCTCCCTGGAGGAACCCCATGTATTTCTATAGTCTGGGTGTCTGGCAGAAGCCTGCAGCTCTAACACCCTGCACCTGGCCCTGGAGCATCCTCAGGTAGGAACCATGCAGAGGCGAGGCCCAGGCATCTATGCAAACTTATCCTGGGCCAGGGTCTTCTCCAAGGAATGATACATTCTGCCACCTATGGTCGTCAGTTCCACCTCTTCATCCTCCTGGCTTCCTGTCTGCTTCCAGGACACTTTTGACTTTGGGACCTCACCTTAACCAATTCTCTGGAGTACAACTCTACTTGTTACCTGCCTACCCTCTCCCCAAACTGCCTCCTGACTGCTTGTTGACTCTTTTTCTGAGAAAGGCAGGCAGACTCTGCACCTCTGACCCAGTTGGATTATGCAATTTGGCCCCCAGGGCGATTGATATGGCCTAGGAGTTTCTAGCCTAAACTAGCTAGCTGGGATCCTCCCTTTGGGGCCTGCAGGCAAGCCCATGTCCGCTGGGATCTGCCCCTTTCGGACTGACTTGCTACTGGATGAGGATATGACAGTTAAATATAAAAGGACTTTGCTTTGCTAGAAGTCTGGTGTCCAGAGTATTTAATAACTGCCCATCCCTAGTTCATATCTGCACTTCATCACATCTTTTCTTCTCTGTGATTGACCCCAGCTTTGCCTATTCATTTCTGGATATCTTCTGGCTCAGTAGGTCTTACTGACAAGCGAGATGACCTTCCATATGGCTAGGGCCATTTTCCCGCCAACAGTCCCCATAGCCATGCTGAGTGAGCCCACGTCCTGCTGTTTCCTGGCTTCTGGACTCTTCTCTGGCTCCTGGAGGGTTGGAGGCCCATTAACTCCTGGCTCACAGCCCCCAGCACACCTTCACTCCATAGCTACCCCGTGAGGGAAAATCAAGAATTTGATGGAGCAAATGGAAGACTGAACAGGAGACTCATACTCTTCACAGCTCTGCAAGAATGTAGATTTAGCAGGGCAATTGGCAGAATGAACTATCTTAGCAGCATGGGAAGTCCTCTCCTCTTCATTAGGTGGCTATAGCTGCCCAAAATTTTGGTCCTGCCCCAGTAGAACCAGCCACGAACTGGACATCCCACTCTCCACAGTGAGACCAGTAGCACCAGCACGGTGGGGGTGAGGAAAGCTGAGCTTAGGATTTGTTTTTGGTTTTGGGTTTTTTTTTAAGAGGTAGGGTCTTGTCCAGGCTGCTGGAGTGTAGTGGCACAATCATAGCTCACTGCAGCTTCAACCTCCTAGGCTCAAGTGATCCTCCTGCCTCAGCCCCTCAAGCAGCTGAGACTACAGGTGCATGCCACCATGCCTGGCTAATTTTAAAAATTTGTTTTGAGACAGGGTCTCCCTATGTTGCCCAGGCTGATCTGGAACTCCTGGCCTCAAGGGATCCTCCTGCCTGGGTCTCCCAAAGTGCTGGGATTAAGGGCGTGAGTCACCACATCCAGCCTAAGGTTCTCTTGACCAGGCAGAGTTTCTTACATGAACTGGTACGGCAAAAATAAAATCAGTGCAGTGGGTCCAAGAGAATTCCTTGAAGGAGAGCGAAAACTCAAGGTGCAGGGTTCCAACAAGGCCTCATGGTACCCCCTCATGATGCAACTGTGTAGGCTCCAGGGAGGGCAACCAGGTGGAGGCTAGTAGGGGCTGAGCTTCCACACATCTGCGTCTGCCTGCTAGACCCTACAGTTCTTGGGCTGGGGCTCTTGTTGCCAGGCTGAGGGTGCATTCACTTGGGTCTCCCTTGCTGTGGCTCTCAGAATCCCACACTGTCAATAGCATTGCTTGTGAGATATCTAAACAGACTTGGAGCCCAAAGTCATTTCTCATTTTGGGGGATAGTGTCAAATTTCAAAGCAATTCACAATCCCCTAGAGCCTACCTCTCCCAGTTTGCCCACCCATCAGGCCGACCACCAAGTGTGGAAAGAGGGCCACGTTGTTCTGTCACCTACTTCCAGGGGAAAGGGGTGCAGCAGTTTCTCAGAATTCCCAAAAGCCACTACTGATACCTCCACCCTGAAGTCACTTACACTGAACTGTGGGAGCTTTCACTTCTGCTATCCTAGATCATTTTCCTACCCCACTGCTGGTGATAGAGCTCTTCTTCCTTGCAGAGAACTCACACTATGTGTTGCAAGCGAGGTTGGCCGTCCACCCCCTCCCACTACAGAGCTGGGCAGATGAACCAAGTCTGGTCAATTCTGTGACACCATCCCCTGGTCACATGAATGAGCGTGTGACCCAAATCAAGCCAATCAGTGAAAGACTCAGGACTTTTGCTGGTGCTGCGAGGAAAGAGATCCTTCCTTTCTATGGGATCAGCGCTGAAGCCTTTAGCCATCTTTGGCTGAAGCTTTTACTCAGCGTGTTGCCTTTAGCCATCTTTGCCTCCTCAAAACCAGAGCTTGCCTATGAATAAAACAAACACCTCAAGCAAAAGCAGCAGATGAAACAAGAGACAGGGCCTTGAGGAAGTGTTTCCATCCTTAGATCCGTTGTACCTGCAGAAAGATGGCCTGTGTGCTCTTGAGTTACATAAGCTGATGGTTTCTGTTTCCCACAGTCTCCTGGGCTTTGACCATGGCAACTGCGAGGGTCCTCACTGATACATACTCTCCTCTGACTACAGTTTCTGTGCCCAGTTCTTTTTGTCCTCCACTCCCAGCTGCTCTGGCAGCAGATCAAGACTTAGAAGGTGGATCAGGCAGGGACAAGAAACGTAATATTTGAGAAGGGTTTATTTGCAAAGGGACTTATTCCCAAAATATGGGTAGGGTAAAAGCAAACCATGCAAAGACTAGACAGGACTCTGTAGAATGGAATCTGAGAGAATGGGGGGAAAGCATGCCTGTAGCCTGAAGGAGAGTCATGTGGATTAAGAGGCTTTGAGAGAACCAACGAGTTACTGTCCAAGGGCAGAGCATCACAGGAGAGTAAGGGGAACAAATACTCTGGCCTCATTCTCCTCCTTGCTTCCAGTTTCCTGATGGTGCTCCCTATTGACTGAACCCAACCCAAAGAGGGAGGGAACTGACTAACTTGTACAGCTGAGCCTCCCAGAGCAGAGGTCAGGGCAGGGAAGAGAGGGGGGTGGGTCCAGAGGGCCAAACAGAAGATGCACAGACCAAGGAATGATTTCCCACATCAGAGGGCCCAGGGATGACCTAATGAGCAGTTCACGGCTATAAGCAGTAAGCCACATTTGCCCCAAGAGAGGCCATTTTAGTGGAGAGCTGAGAGTGACCTAGTCTTGGTTCGTGAGGCTGTTCTTGGGATTTGGATTGGTTCATCTAATTTGGTCCACCTTCCATTTCTTTTCTTTCTTTTTTTTTTTTTTTTTTTGAAATGGAGTCTCGCTCTGTCACCCAGTCTGGAGTGCAGTGGTGCAATCTTGGTTCACTGCAACCTCTGCCTCCCGGGTTCAAGTGATTCTCCTGCCTCAGCCTCCCATATAGCTGGAATTACACGCTCCCACCACCACACTTGGCTAATTTTTGTATTTTTAGTAAAGACAGGATTTCACCATGTTGCTCGAACTCCTGACCTCGAGGTGTGTGCCACCATGCCTCAGCCTCCCAAAGTGCTGGGATTACAGGTGTGTGCCACCATGCCTAGCCCATTTATTTTCATGATCTTTCTCTTGCTCTTCCCACATTCAGCCTGCCAGACCCCCACCCTGCACACCACGCATCCCTCTTCCTGTCCCAAATGTCCCTCTTCCTGGATCAGAGATATTGAACCAATGTACATGGCAGCAGATCCAGTGATGAGTGGCCCTGGACACACAGCTCTCTGAGGCAGTTACAAGATCTAGTGGACCGGAAGAGGCACAGTCCTCAGGACACCCCAGGGGTCCACAGCTGGCATCGAGCATGGCCACACCTGTACAACAGCCTCTTACTGGGAGAACCCAAAGAATCCCAGCATATTTAGGCTGCAGAATGGGCTGGGGAAGCTGGCCGCAGAGGACAGCCCACAGCAGGACAACCCTGGTGGGCGATGCAACCTCCAGAGTGCCCCGCTGGGCTGGCCAAGCTGTGTTGGGCTCGCCTCCCAGTTTGCCTTCTTCCTCTGCCTACTCTTGCTTTCTGTTCATAGGTGTTGAACTCTGATAAACATCTCTGTCTCAGTGTCTACTTCTAGATCATCCAAACTGTGACAACAGTAATTAGAGCAGAGTTTCTGTAGGCACCTGGCACCCACACAGTCCTCTCTTCTGTGTACTGCAACTTGTCTCCTGCACTGTGGGTGAACTGTGTCTTGCTGTCACTGGGGCTGGCCTCTCCACTTGTGCACGGGTCCCTGTCCCAGCTCCCCTCTCACTCGCCCCACTTGCCCTGATCCAGGTCCTTCTCCCGTGTAAATGTTTCCCTTCCTCCTGGGTCATTTCTGTCTGCATATGAAACTTCTGCTCAGTCTGCCTTTCAGAAAACAGACCAATGCCCTCCTCCAGCCATTGTCATAATTCTCTTCTCTTTATAGGAAAACTGTTGCATGAGTTGCTTTAATCTCTCACCTCCCATTCTTCCTTATACTTCATCACTCCATTTAACCTTCTCTCACCTTGATCTCCTAGAACCTCCACGTTGTTAAATGGAATGAAAAATCCCCAGTCTCCCCCTGACTTAGCCTAGCAGCAACATTGGACACAGTTTATCTTTTCCAGGGACAATGGTTGTCTGGTTTTCCCTTCTGGCTGCTCTTTTCCAGACTCCTTTGCTGCTTCCTCCTCATCTTCCTTGCTTTATTTTTTTAATTTTAAAAAAATGTTTATTGAGACAGGGTCTTGTCCTGTCACCCAGGCTGAGTACAGTAGCGCAATCATGACTAACTGCAACCTTGGACTCCTGGGCTCAAGTGATCCTCCTGCCTCAGCCACCTGAGTAGCTGGAACTCCAGGCATGCATCACACAATGCCCAGCTAAGTTTTTAAATTTTTGGTAGAGACAGCATCTTGCTGTGTTGCCCAGGCAGGTCTCAAACTCCTCCCACCTTGCCTCCCAAAGCATTGGGATTATAGATGTGAGCCACCACACCCAGCCTTTTCTCATTTCTAAATGTTGGCATGGCCTCAGATATCTCTTTTCTGTCTATACTCACTCCTTAGAAAGCTTCATCCAAGTGCAGTGGCGTAATCTTGGCTCACTGCAACTTCTGCCTCCTGGGTTCAAGCAATTCTCCTGCCTCAGCCTCCTGAGTAGCTGGGATTACAGGCGCCCGCCACCACACCTGGCTAATTTTTTGTGTGTGTGTGTGTTTTTAGTAGAGACGGGGTTTCACCATGTTGGCCAGGCTGGTTTCATACTCCTGACCTCAAGTGATCCACTCGCCTCAACCTCCCTAAGTGCTGGGATTACAGGCATGAGCCACTACACCCGGCCCAACTCGCCCATTTTAACATGTATAATTCAGTGCTTTTAGTACATTCATGGTTGTATGAACATCACCACAATTACTTTTTAGAACATTTTCATCACCACCAAAAGAAACCCCACACTCCCAGTCTCTCTATCTCTCCCAGCCCCGGGAAACCACTAATCTACTTTCTTTCTCTGTGGGCTTCCCTATTCTGGGCACTTTATATAAATGGAATCATACAATATATGGTCCTTTGTGGCTAGCTTCTTTCATTATGACTTAACATAATGTCATAGGTTTTTACATTTTTTAAATGGCTGGAAAAGAATATTTTATGACACATGAAAATCCTATGAAATTCACATTTCAGGGTCTATGAATAAAGTTGTATTGGAACACACACACACACACACACACACACACACACACACACAAGAAAGCTTCATCCAGTCTTGGGCCTTCAAACAGCCTTCACGTGCTCATAGCTCACAACGCTTTCTCTCTAGCCTTGACTGCTTCCCTGGATCCCTGAGCTCAATGCCAGCCGACCCCTCATCCCATCTCCATCCACCTGCTCCTACAGCAATTGGGCACACTGCAATACCATTCAACCACAAGTTAAAGGGAATTGTCCCCAGTAGACAGCAGCCACAGTGGGGTCCCCATGTTACAGGAAAGGAGTCCTGATCCAGACCCCAAGAGAGGGTTCTTAGATCTCGTGCCAAAAAGAATTCAGGGCAAGTCCACAAAAATGAAAGTAAGTTTATTAGGAAAGTAAATGAATAAGAGAATGGCTACTCCATAGACAGAGCAGTGCCGAATGCTGCTAGTTGCCCATTTTTATGGGTTTTTTTTTGATGATATGCTAAACGAGGGGTGGATTATTCATGCTTCCCTTTTTTAGACCATATAGGGTAACTGCCTGACATTGCCATGGCATTTGTAAACTGTCATGGCGCTGGTGGGAGTGTAGTAGTGAGGACAACCAGAGGTCACTCTCGTGGCCATCTTGGTTTTGGTGGGTTAGAGCTGGCTCCTTTACTGCAACCTGTTTTATCAGCAAGGTCTTTATGACCTGTATCTTGTGCGGACCTTCTATCTCATCCTATGACTTAGAATGCCTTAACTGTCTGGGAATGCAGCCCAATAGGTCTCAGCCTCATTTTACCCAGCTCCTATTCAAGATAGAGTTGCTCTGGTTCACACACCTCTGACACCCAGGCCACCTGCTATAAATTCAGGGATTCCTGTTGTAGCAGGACAAGCCACAGGCAAAACCCCTCAGACACCGAGTTAAAGAAGGAAGGGCTTTATTCAGCCGGGAGCTTCGGCAAGACTCACATCTCCAACAACCGAGCTCCCTGAGTGGGCAATTCCTGTCCGTTTTAAGGGTTCACAACTCTAAGGGGGTCTGCATCAGAGGGTCATGATCGATTGAGCAAGCAGTGGGTACATGACTGGGGGCTGCATGCACTGGTAAATAGATCGGAACAGAACAGGACAGGGATTTTCACAGTGCTTTTCTATACGATGTCTGTAATCTATAGGTAACATAACTGATTAGGTTAGGGGTGGATCTTTAACTACCAGGCCCAGGGTGTGGCGCCGGGCTGTCTGCTTGTGGATTTCATTTCTGCCTTTTAGTTTTTACTTCTTTCTTTGGAGGCAGAAATTGGGCATAAGACAATATGAGGGGTGGTCTCCTCCCTTACTGTGACCCCTCCAGTTTCAGTAATTCCCTAACATGATGGACAGAGCTGACTGAAGGTGCTATACTTCCTATAAAGGATGCACACAGGATGAGGTCTGGGAGGGAGTACAGAGCTTCTGTGCCCTCTCCTGTCACATGACTGATCATCAACCAGGTGTCATCAACCTTGGTGTCCAGGGTTTTTACTGATTTTTGTTCTCAGGCTATGTGATTGAACTCTATCTCCAGCCACCCTCCCCTCCCAGGGATGAGGCTGACCCAAAGCTGCAACCCTCTATTCACAAAGCAGTTCTTTCTGGTGACCAGCCCCGATCCTGAAGCCATCTAAGGCCGCGAGTCACCTCATTAGCATAACAAGCGCATTCCTGTCGCTGTCACTCAGGAAATTCCAAGAGTTTTTTTGAAGCTGTGTGCCAGAGACCCAGAACAAAGATGTATTCTTTATTACACCACACTCCTCAACTGCTCCACTTGGAAGCATCTCAAATTTAACCTGTCCCAAGCCAATCTTCTAATATTTCACCTGTCCCTGCTCCTCTGGTCCTCTTCATCTTGGTAGAGAGTAACAGTCTCATTCTTGCCAAGTGCTGAGGCCGACTTCAAAGTCATTCTTGGCTCTCCTTTCTCCCATACCTCCCAACCAATATGTCAGCAAATCCTGTCAGCCCCACCTTTAATTATACAGAGAATCCAACCACTTCTGGGTATTTCACATAAATGCAGTCATGCAATACGTGGTCTTTGGTACCTGGCTTCTTTCACTTAGCATAATGCTTTCAAGGTGTATGTATCCTGCTGTAGCATATATCTGACTGCATTCTTTTTTATGCCTGAATTGGAGTCCATTATATGAATACACAACCTTTTGTTCATACATTCATTTGTTAATGGATATTTAGATTATTTCTACTTTTTAGCCATTTTTAATAATGCTGCTATGTACAGGTTTTTGTGTAGACATATGTTTTAAATTCTCTTGGGTATATAGCTATGAGTTAAACTGGATGATTTGGTAACTCTTATGTTTAGCATTTTGAGGCATGACCAAACTATTTTCCGAAGCGCAGCTGCACCGTTTTTCATTTTCACAATGGTATATCAGGAGATAAATGTTCTTACAGCCACATCCCACCCCCCGCCCCTCCCGCCGCCAAAAAAAAAAAGCAGAGAAGGGTCCAACTGGGAAAATATATATATAATTCAAGGAAAAGAAAAAAAAGGTCTTTGGCCGGGTGCGGTGGCTCAAGTCTGTAATTCTGGCACTTTGGGAGGCTGAGGCAGGTGGATCATTTGAGGTCAGGAGTTAAAGAGCAGCCTGGATAACATAGGGTAACCCCATCTCTACTAAAAATACAAAAATTAGCCGGGCGTGGTGGCACACACCTGTTATCCCAGCTACTTGGGAGACTGAGGCAGGAGAATCATTTGAGCCCAGGAGGCAAATGTTGCAGTGAGCCAAGTTCGTGCCTCTGCACTCCAGCCTGGTCAACAGAGTGAGACTCCATCGCAAAAAAAAAAAAGAATATGAACACCATAAAACAAGCTCAAAGATGAGACAGAGGGGGAATTCAGAACTAGGAATTAACTGAGGTCCAAGTCAACATTATTATAGAATAAATAAATTAGAGGCCTGGCACAGTGATTAATGCCTGTAATCCTAGCACCTTGGGAAGCCAAGGCAGATGGATCGTTTAAGCCCAGGAGTTTGAGACCAGCCTGGGCAACATGGTGAAACCCTGTCTTCACAAAAAACACAAAAATTAGCCAGCTGTGGTGGCACACAACTGTATTCCCAGCTGCTCAGGGGGCTGAGGTGGGAGGATCACCTGAGCTTGGGAGGTTGAGGCTGCAATGAGCTGTGATTGTGCCACTGCACTCCAGCCTGGGTGACAGATTGAGACCCTGTCTCAAATAAATGAATAAATAAGAAAGAACAACAATCAGAATAAACAGCATTAATAAAGGAATGAATGACAAAGGGGAAAGGCTGGAAATAATCCTAGCAAATGTAGATGAATAAGACAAAGACAGTAAAATAACTGGGCAATCTAAAACATATGGAAGATAGATAACAATAATCCAACATATGTACAAAGAACCCAAGAAGTAGAAAGTAGTTATGTTAAACTATGTCATATAAGATGACACAACTAAAACTGAAGAAAAAACTAAATCCACAGAGTATAGAAAATACAACATAATATAACGTACCAGGAGAACTTGATAAACTCTCTTCTCCAAGACATCTTCTGTGAATTTAAAGGATAAGGAAAGAAGTCTCTAGGCATTTAGACATAAAATGAAACTACCCAAAAGAGGGACACAACAGTGCTTAAAACCCCAGGTCATAGGAGCTGTAGCTAGAAAATTCTAACCAAAAAACAAAACCTGTGACCCAAGAATTAATAGCCAGGCAAGATGTTGTTCATGAGCAAAGTCAATAAGAAGACGTTCACAGGCATGAAAAATCTCAGGTAATACAAAACCGTGAGTTCTTCTTAGGAAAAAAACAAACTGCTTAACAATGAAATCCAGATGATTTCAAGATGAATCACCACAAATGATCCAGAAATGCAGAAGCCACAGTTAAAAAACAAACAAACCAAAACCGGCTGTGAGCACAAACTCCATAAAATCCAGCTCAAGAATGACTACCTATTGGGTTATTGTTACATAGGAGCATGTGACTGATACAAACCTGGACAGTATGAGAATAGCAATATAACTAATGATACCACAGAGGGCATAAAACATGGGGGCTGGACTGGGCACGGTGGCTCACTCCTGCAATCCCAGGATCAGCTGAGGTCAGGAGTTCGAGACCATCTTGGCCAATATGGTAAAACCCCATCTCTACTAAAAATACAAAAATTAGCCAGCATGGTCTACTCAGGAGGCTGAGGCAGGAGAATCACTTGAACCTGGGAGGCGGAGGTTGCAGTGAGCCGAGATTGCGCCATTGGACTCCAGCCTGGGAGACAAGAACGAAACTCCATCTCAAAAAACAAACAAACAAAAAAATGTGGGGGCTGGGAGAGAGTAAGAGCTATGCCCTCATCTTCCAAAGCAGGAGAACACTGGCCGCTACCTGAAATGGAACTATAGAGTTTTTAAAAATAGACACTAGCTTTATTTTTCATAATCTCTAGTGTTTTTTTCTCTTCTTTCTCCCTCCCTCCTTCTCTGTCTCCAACTCTTTAAACCCAGAAGATTTTTAATAATGTATTTTATTGTGCAGAAGCATTTACTTGAAAATTCAACAGTTCCTCTAGATGTATTTCACTTTCTTTTTACTCTATCAAATGCAAATAAAATTAAATTGTATACTTTAAAAGAACATCCTATACTTAATGCTATTCTAATAAAATCTTTCTCTTCTTTTAGGGGTGTGTGTGTGTGTGTCAGCATGTGTATGCTATATCTAGAACTAATATTTCCCTAAAGGTAGTAATTGATGGGATTTGGAGTGATTTTTTTCATCTTCAAACTTCTTTATATAAACTACATTATTTAAATTATTATGAAGACTTATTGTTTGTACACATATAAAGAATATGCTTAACAGGGTTAATACTAGATAATGGTATAATTAATGATTGTTATTTTATTTGGGATGCTTTTTTGTAATTTTAAACCCATCCCCATAATATTTTTTTCATTTAAAAAAATCAAATATAAATTACATGATGTAAAATTCACCCATTTTGAAGTATACACTTTAGTGGTTTTAGTTATAGTGAACATGCTGTGCAACCATCACCACTATCGACTCTAGAACATTTTCACCACCCCAAAAGAAACCCTGTACCTATAAGTAATTAGCGGCAATTTTCTCCCCTCCCTATCCCCTAGCAACCATAAATCTACTTTCTGGTTTCCCATAAGGTAGATTTCCCATTCTGGACATTTCACATAAGTGGAATCATATAATACGTGGTCTTTGGTGCCTGTCTCCATTCACTTAGCGTAATTTTTTTGTTTGTTTGTTTTTTGAGACAGAGTCTCACTCTGTCACCCAGGCTGGAGTGCAGTGGCACAATCTCCACTCACTGCAACCTCCGCCTCCTGGATTCAAGCGATTCTCCTGTCTCAGCCTCCCGAGTATCTGGGATTATAGGAGCCCACCACCATGCCCGGCTAATTTTTATATTTTTAGTAGAGATGGGGTTTCACCATATTGGCCAGGCTGGTCTCGAACTCCTGACCTCAGGTGAACTGACTGCCTCGGCCTCCCAAAGTGCTGGGATTAGAGGCGTGAGCCACCACACCCAGCCAACTTAGCATCATGTTTTCAAGGTTCATCCTGATGTAGCATGGAGCAGCATTTCATTCCTTTTTATGACTGAATAGTAGCCCACTGCATGAATGTATCACATTTTGTTTCTCCATTCATTGGTTGATGGACATTTGGGTTGTCTCCAGTTTTGTGCTGTTGTGAATAACACTGCTGTAAACATTTGTGCACAAGTTTTTGTGTGAACGTATGTTTTCAATTCTCTTGGGCCTATACCTAAGAGTGGAATTGCTGGTTTACACAGTAATTCTTTCTTTCTTTTTCTTTTCAGTGCTCAGCCCTCTATTGGAGATTCTGCCTCCCCTGGGTCGGATGTCCCTCCCTCTGCGTCCTCGTGAGTACACTCCCACAGTGGGTGGTGTGCTGTGTGTGGGTGTGCTCTGGTGCCGGACAGGGTGTAGGGGAGGGGTCTGGCGTCCTGTCCTTTGAGAGGGGACCTTGGTGAGCTTGTGTTTATGTGAGAATGCACGTGAAGTAGTGTCAGATCCCACAACTCAAGGCCCCTTCCTCCTAGGGGGCAGCCCAGGAATGGGCAGGCCTCGGCCAAGGCCTGAGCTCTCTTGAGGAGTCTTCCCTTGGTGCCTCCAGTTCCTGCCCTTGGCCCATCTCCCCAGAAGGTGATCTTTCCTTGGAGGGGTCTGAGGCTCCCTCCCCTGGTCCTGGGGTCATGGTGGGAACACCGGCCTCAGCTCCATAGTGTGCTCCTTGCCTGGCATTCACATTTCTTGGCCCGTTTCCTCCACTGGGAGCTGGGATCCTAACCTCTCAAAGGGGGGACCCCCTGAGAGGGTCTTGCAGGGTCGTGGGCATGGAGCTGGTACAGACTGTGTGTGCGGGGAGGGGTGACTGGGACAGGGCCTGGGCGTCAGGACGACTGGGATGGCCTAGTGGTCTCTGTCCTTGGTGCCGTGTTTGAGAATGCGGGTGAACTCCACATAGTTGAAGTTGCCTTTTTTGTCAACAGGCACCTCCGGGTACAACTCGCCCACTTGCTGGTCTGTGAGGTGGTCACCGTGGCGGGCTTCCTGGATAAAACCTGAAGTTGAGGCTTCCTCATCGAAGTGTTGCAGATCACATCCTTAGGGTCCATGCGGTTCAGCTGCTCCCCAAACACAGTGAGCAGCATGGTGAAGTTGATGGGCCCCGGGGCCTCACTCATCTCACCCTCCGGCTGTTCACCATGGGGTTCTTCCCCAGCGAGGCCAGGCCTTCTTTGTCAATGAAGCCATCACAGCTCTGGGCAAACCCGTGGAAGACCTCCTTAAACTCCCAGATTGGGGCTGGTCAAACATCACGAAGACATTGGATGTGGCCCACTGTGGCTTCTCGGTGGTCTGGCCATGGCCTGCCTGCTGGACAGCTTGGCTTCAGGTGAGTGGGGCTTTCCTGGTGCAGAGAAGGCGCTGGGCTAGGTGAGTGGGGCGGGGCCAGCCATCAGGTGTGGGCTCTCATATGGTAATTCTATGTGTAACTTATTAAAGACCCACCAAACTGTTTTCTACAGCCACTGCACCATTTTACATTCCCAGAAGGCTCCAATTTCATTATTTATTTTTGTAGAGACGGCAACTTGCTCTGTCAGGCAGTGGAGCACTATCACGGCTCATTGCAGCCTCCACTTCCTGGGCTCAAGGGATCCTCCCACCTCTGCCACCTGAGTAGCTGGGACTACAGTCACGTGCCACCACACGCAGCTAATTTTTTAATTTTTAATTTTTTGTGGAGATGGGGGTCTCACTATGTTGCCCCGACTGGCCTGGAACTCCTGACCTCAAGTGAACCTCCTACCTCGGGCTCCCCAAAGTGCTGGGACTACAGGTGTGAGCTACTGGGTTGCAATTTCTTCACATCCTCACTAACAGTTTCTTCTTTCTTTTTCTCCTTCCTTCTTTTCTCTTCTCTTTTCTTTTGATTATAACCTTCTTAGTGGGTGTAAAGTGACATCTCCTTGTGGTTTTCATTGCCATTTCCCTGTTGACTGATGATTTGGGGCATCTTTTCTTCCACCTATTGGCCACTTGAATATTTTCTTCAGAGAAATGTCTATATAAATCCTTTGCACATTTCAAAATTGGTTATTTATCTTTTTCCTGTTGAATTATAAATGTTCTTTAAATATTCTAGGTACTAGTCCCTTACCTGACACATGATTTGCAAATATTATCCCCCATTTTTGGGTTGTCTCTTTGCCTTCTTGATAGTATCTATTTAACTTGAATAAAGTCCAATATTTCCATTTTTCTTTGCTGCTCATTCTTTTGGTGTCATACCTAAGAAACTACCGCCTAATCCAAAGTCACACAGACTTACACCTATGTTTCCTTCTAAGAGTTTTATAGTTTTAGCTTTTACATTAAGATCTTTAATCCATTTTGAGTTAATTTAAAAACATTTTAGGGCTGGGTGCTGTAGCACATGCCTGTAATCCCAGCACTTTGGAAGGCCAAGGTGGAAAGATCACTTGAGCCCAAGAGTTCGAGACCAGCCTGTGCAACATAGTGAGACCCTGTCTTTACAAAATATAAATAATTATCTGGGCACAGTGGCACACACCTGTAATCTCATCTATGGGGAGGCTGAGGTGGGAGGATCACTTGAGCCCAGGAGGTCAAAGCTGCAGTGAGCCATGATTGCAGCCTGGGTGACAAAGTGAGACCCTGTCTCAAAAAAAAAAAAATTAGTTGTGGAAAAAATACACATAACAAAATGTGCCGTCTTAACAATTTTTGAGTGCATAGTTCAGTAGTGTTAAGTATATTCACATTATTGTACAATCAATCTCCAGAGCTTTTTCCTCTTGCAAAACTGAAATTTTATACCTATCAAGCAACTCCCTACTTTCCCCTCCTCCTAGCTCCTGGCAGCTGTCATTCTCCTCTGTTTCTATGAATTTGCCTACTCTAGATACTAAACGTAATCATACAGTTTTGCCTTTTTGTGACTGGCTTATTTCACTTAGCATAATGTCCTTAAGGTTCATCCCAATGACAGCATTTGTCAGAATTTCCTTCCTTTTAAAGGCTGTATAATATTTTATTGCACCATATATTACCACGAAATAATACCACATTTTGTTCATCCATTTATCCTCAATGGACACATAGGTTGCTTCTACCTTTTGGCTATTGCAAATAATGGAGCTATGGACATAGGTGTACAAATATCTCTTCGAGTTCCTGCTTTCTTTTTTTTTTCTTAAATTCCAGTGGCTTTAGGGGTACATGCGAGTTTGGTTACATGGATGAATTGCATGGGGTGAAGTCTAGGATTTTAGTGTACCCATCACCTGAGTAGTGTGCATTGTACCCAATAGGTAGTTTTTCATCCCTCCCCACTTCCCACACTCCCCCTTTCTGATTCTTTATTGTCAATTATACCATTCTCTATGCCTTTGCATACCCATAGCTTAGCTCCCACTTACCTGCTTTTAATCCCCTGAGGTATATACCAAGAAGTGGAAGTGCTGAATCACATAGTAATTCTATTTTTAATTTTTTGAGGAACTACCATGCTATTCTCCATAGTGGCTACACCATTTTACATTTCCACCAACATTGTACAAAAGTTCCAATTTCTTCACATCCTTATCAACACTTGTAATTTTCTGTCTGATTTTTTTTTAATAGTAGCCATCCTAATGGCTAGGAGATGACATCTCACTGTGGCTTTGCTTTGCATTTCCCTAATGATTAGTGATGCTGAGCACTTTTTATGGGCTTGTTGGCCATTCGTTGTTTTGTTTTGTTTTTATTTTTTCTCTCACTCTGATTGAGACATCATTGGCATTTGTATATCTTCTTTGGAACAATGCATGTTCAGTCCAAGGCTCACTGGGACATAGACAGGCAGGGAATCTTCAGTGCTCACACCTCTAATTTTCTCACCTAGAGATGTGCCTGGGCACAGACATTCTACAGCAGAAAGAGCTCCAGGAGAAGGATTCCACCCCGTGCTGTTTTGCAGGTTTATAGGGGAGTTGGAAAGTTGCAGGGAATGTTGAGTCAGTTAGGCAACAGTGGGAACCTCTTTGGGGAGAAGAAGCTGAGCTGAGGAGCCTCCAGAGCTGAGCTCTTAGTATCAGCCAGAGGCTGCTGGTTCTTCTGTTGAGCTAATTCAGACCTGCTCAGCTAGCTTCTTGATAAATTACTGTAGGGGTGCAGAGGGGGAGGAAAAGGAAGCCCCAGGCCCATTCCAGTTTGCCTCTTTTTATATTACAAAGATTGTAATTAAGAAAATAAGATTCTCTGCCCACCCACACCCACTAAGCCCCACACCCCAAGGCCAGACACTTGCAACTCTTTTACCTATTCATTTCAGGATTATACTTCCATATTCTTTTACAATTATTTCTTGACTCACCCCATCCCTACTTCTTTTTTGTTGTTGTTACTTTACCTATGGATTTTCTATTATACAGGAGGAAGCTTCAGCCTTCCTAAGCCTTCTCCTCCCACATTCTTCTAGTCGTTATATCGCAGTTAATGTTATTATTCAGTACTCATTCATTAATTCATCAGTATTTTTTGAGAGCATACTATGTGTCAGGCACTACTGTAGGTGCTGGAGATTCATTAGTAATCCAAATAAAGTCCCAGTGTTGATGGAGTTTATAACAATTAGTTAAATTATGTTCACTGTTGAGCCAATTAATATGCTATGACGACATTTTTTTTCTTGAGTTACTTTCTGTTTTTCCTGAAGTTAATGATTGCTTTTTGTTTGTTCGTTTGCTCAGGTTTGTATGTACCCAAATCATTCTTCCTTCATTCTTCAACAGAACTTCTCTTTCTTATTCCCCATCTGGTCAAAGGCACCAAGCAACCTATCAATTCTTCCCCTCCTCCTCCTTTTCTTTTTTCTCCACTTTAAAAAATTTGCATCCATGTAGGTTTTAGTTATTTCTTTGTTTTACTGTGGTTGGTTTTCATTCTTTGACCTAGACACTCATTGATTTATTTCAATTTAGATACTCAGTGATTTACTTCCCTTCAGTACTAGGAAATTTACTAGTTAAAAAAAAAACACCCAAAACAACTTCCTTTTCTCTATTTACAATAACATTCCTATTGATAAGGGCCAGGTGCGGTGGCTCATGCTTGTAATCCCAGCACTTTGGGAAGCTGAAGCGGGCAGATCACTTGAGGGCCAGGAGTTCGTGACCAGCCTGGCCAACATGGTGAAACCCCGTCTCTACCAAAAAATACAAAAAATTAGCAAGGCATGGTGGTGTGCACCTGTAGTCCCAGCTACTCTGGAGGTTGAGGCAGAAGAATGGCTTGAACCTGGGAGGCAGAGGTTGCAGTGAGCTGAGATCGCGCCACTGCACTGCAGCCTGGATGACAGAGCGAGACTCTCTCTCATAAAATAAAATAAATTAAAATAAAAATTAGACTTCCTGAATGGTCTTCTATTTCTCCTATATTTTATCTTTTGTTTTCTATACTTTTGTCTTTGTTTCTATACTTTCTGGGGGATTTCCTAGACTTACTCTCCCTAATGTTTTATTGAGTTTTTTATGTAGATAGTCATATTTTAAATTTCTAAAAGTTATTTTCTATCATCTGCTCTCTGTTGCTCCTTGTTTTGTATTATCCTGCTCTCATTCCATGGAGATCACTCTGACGATATTGATAATAGTTTTTATACTTCCTCTTCTTTCTTTTTTTTCTTTTTTGTTTTTTTGAGACAGAGTCTCACTCCCTCGCCCAGGCTGGAGTGCAGTGGCTTGATCTCTGCTCACTGCAAGCTCTGCCTCACAGGTTCAAACAATTTTCTTGCCTCAGCCTCCTGAGTAGCTGGGATTACAGGCCTGTGCAACCATGCCTGGCTAATTTTTGTATTTTTAGTAGAGACAGGGTTTCACCATGTTGGCCAGGCTGGTCTCCAACTCCTGACCTCAAGTGATTTGCTCACCTCGGCATCCTGAAGTGCTGGGATTACAGGCCTGAGCCACCGTGCCAGACTTGTTTCCTCTTCCTCTAATGAAAGATGTCTAATAACTTTTCCAATATCTTCTATGATAATGGACCATTCAGATTTTCCATTTTCTTTTGGGTCATTTCTGGTAATTTACATGCTACTGGAAGTTACCCATTTCCTCTAGATCTTCATATTTGCTGCCACATAATTTTGTGAAGTTAACATTTATATCTTTAATCTCTCCTGTATTCACGGTTATATCTTTCTTATTCTTTTTATTTTTACTTTCCCTCTTTTCAATTTTTTATTTTAATTTTTGTGGGTACATAGCAAGTGTATATATTTATGGAGTACACGAGATGTTTTGATGCAGGCATGCAGTGCATAATAATCACATCGTGTAAAATCGGGTATCTGGCCGGGCCCGGTGGCTCACGCCTGTAATGCCAGCACTTTGGGAGGCGGAGGTGGGCGGATCACGATGTCAAGAGATTGAGACCATCCTGGCCAACATGGTGAAACTGTGTCTCTACTAAAAATAGAAAAATTAGCTGGGCCTTGTGGCGCATGCCTATAGTCCCAGCTACTCGGGAGGCTGAGGCAGGAGAATTGCTTGAACCTGGGAGGTGGGGGTTGCAATGAGCTGAGATCATGGCATTGTACTCCAGCCTGGGTGACAGAGCGAGACTGTCTCAAAGAAACCCATAAATAAGTAAGTAAATAAATAAATAAATAAATAAATAAATGGGATATCCATCCCCTGAAGCATTTATCCTTTATGTTACAAGCAACCCAATTATACTTTTATTAATTTTTATTTTATTTATTTATTTTTGAGATGGAGTATCACTCTGTCGCTCAGGCCAGAGTACAGTGGCGTGATCTGGGCTCACTGCAACCTCTGCCTCCTGGGTTCTAGCAATTCTTCTGCCTCAGCTTCCCGAGTAGCTCAGATTACAGGTGCCAGCCACCACGCCTGGCTAATTTTTGTATTTTAGTAGAGATGGGGTTTCACCATGTTGGTCAGGCTGGTCTCAAACTCCTGCCCTCAAATGATCTTTCTGCCTTGGCCTCTCAAAGTGCTGGGATTATAGGCGTAAGCCACCGTGCCCTGCCCCTCTTTTAGTATTTTTTTAAATGTACAATTAAATTATTATTGACCATAGTCACCCTGTTGTGCTACCAAATACTAGGTCTTATTCATTCTTTCTATTTTTTTGTACTTATTAACTCTCCCCATCTCCCTTACTTTCTCTCTTTTTTGCTTGATCAGTTTTCAATTTCACTTTTTATTGTTATTTTCATTTTCTCTTCTTCAATTTCTTTTTTTTTCTTATTAAGCTAAATACGTAGCTCCTTATGTACTTAATCAAGAGACTTTTTGTGGAGCGGGGGATTAGGTTTAGGGTGTATTAGTATATGAATATGAAATATCAGTATATTAATAGAAAAAATATCAGTAAGCTGAGAAAATTCATTAGGTCTAATTAGCCAAACGTACAATGTTCAGTAGTCACTTCATATTCTTCTCTGCTTGTTTATATGTGTGCAGAAAAGGCTGAGAGGTGGACTGAGTAGAAGCTCAGGGGTAGTTTGGCAGCCGTAGGAAGAGATGGCAATGGATGTTTATTAGGGAAATGAGAAAAAATGAAAGCGGGAACTTCAACATCCTCATGGGTTGAGGCTTTTTGGGAACTTCCGGGAGACGAAAGTGTTCAAAGAGGGCTACTTGGGAGTTAGAAACAATTAAGTAATGGCAATTTAAGTCTGAATGGGAGGAGAACATTCCGCTCACACACACAATTAGTCTTACTATTATTCACTGATAATTTAAGAATAATCCTGGGAATTATTTTAATAGGAAATGTCCAAATGTTTTTCCCAAAGTGTTTTCAAGGCTTAGGAAAAGATCATTAACATTATCATAGCTTATGAATCTCATCTTGTATTTTTATTATTCATAGAATCCTTATGATCTTAATTGAGGTATTTTTTGGGGGAGAGGGTATATACGTTTTTACCTAAGTTCTAATATTTTCTCAATTTTGTTTTGTCCTCCAGAAAATTGGAGAAAAGACAGCTTTCAGACCGGAATCTAATTTTTTCCCAGCATTTGATTAGAAAAAACTTCAAACATACAGGAAATTCGTAAGACATGTACAGTAAATGGCTGGGTGCGGTGGCTCACACCTGCAATCCCAGCACTTTGGGAGGCCGAGGTGGGAGGATCACTTGATCCCAAGAGTTAGAGACTAGCCTGGACAACATGGTGAAACCATGTCTCTACTAAAAATACAAAAATTAGCCAGGTGTGGTGGTGCGTGCCTGTAGTCCCAGCTACTTGGGAGGCTGAGACACAAGAATTGCTTGAACCTGGGAGGCAGAGGCTGCAGTGAGTGTCACTGCACTCCAGCCTGGGTGACAGAGCGATACTTCATTTCAAAATAAATAAATAAAAATAAAAATTAGCCGGGTGTGGTGGTACACACCTGTAGTCCAGCTACTCAGGATGCTGAGGTGGGAGGATGGCTTGTGCAGCACAGCAGGTGGAGCCTGCAGTGAGCCACTGAACTCCAGCCTGGCCAACAGAGAGAGGCCCTGTCTCCAAAAAATATAAAAAATAAAAAATAGAAGAATAAGAGAGAAAAGAAAAAATAAATGTACAATAAACACCTATATACCCACCACCCAGATTCTATAATCAGAACCTAACTTTTACTAGCTAGAATTAACATTTGTCTAGACCTACAAGTGATATTGAGTAGTGATAGCTCTATCATAATTACATAGACGTACTCTGTTTCTGCTGGTAAGCCCAGTGCTTCATAAGAGTTTTGTACTGTGGCCAATTTCATGAGTGTTTTAAACAAGCCAACACAGGTCAGCTGTTAGCTGGGTGGAGGAGCTTCTAGAGAGTTCTTCCCAGCTTAAAAAAACAAAATTTCAAAGTCATCTGGCATGCTGCCTAAAGACACCCACAGCTTTTGGCTCTTAGAAGCAGGTGATGTCCATAAGCATAACCTTGGATTTCTGGTTGTGCAACAAGGAGCAACTGCCACCTCTCTGGGGCAGAAGGTGACAGAGACAGTGACAAGAGGAGGGGTAGCTGGAATTCATATCCCTTCACATCAGTTTCACTAAAAGTTCCACCCTGCAATTGGTGGCCATGGTCCCGACAGAGAGCCCTGTCCTCTTCTACAAATTCACACAATCTTCTGTATGTTTTCTAGAGCCATTAAAGCTTTTTTAAAAGGAGCACTGTTCTTTGAAATCTAAGGAAAACTGGCAATCATCTCTCTAAGCCAGTTCCAAGTACCGTATATATATCTCAAGCCATAATAATTACTTCATTTTGGCAAAACATCATCTATCCTTGGCTTATTTCTTTTCCTGGAACGTCTTTGCTTAAGAATAGAGTCAGGAGCAAAGGATGTGTGCTCATAGGTAAGCTAGCTCCTTCTCACAGAAAAACCAACCAAAAAACAAAACCAAAGAAGAGTCCTATTTCTTCTCAGCCTTTTGGCTCCGATCAAGCGTCGAAAAGAGGCTTTGTGGTTGAATGAAATCCATACCATATTCATCCTGTTAAAAACAGGTGTTATTTCCCCAAATGCTAAAGCTCTTTAGGTCAGCACTGAATATGCAATTTTGTTTTTGTTTTTGTTTTTGAGACGGAGTGCCACTCTCTTGCCCAGGCTGGAGTGCAGTGGCGCGATCTCAGCTCACTGCAATTTCTGCCTCCTGCGTTCAAGTGATTCTCCCACCTCAGCCTCCCAAGTAGCTGGGATTAGAAGGCACTCACCACCATGCCTGGCTAATTTTTGTAGTCTTAGTAGAGACAGGAGTCTCACCATATTGGCCAAGCTGGTCTTAAACTTCTGACCTCAAATAATCCGCCCACCTTGGCCTCCCAAAGTGCTGGGATTACAGGTGTGAGCCAACGCCCCTGGCCTGAATACGCAATTTTGAACAGGAATGGAGTACTTGGGTGAATATGAAAATAACACATTTAGAATGGGGCTGGTATTTTTAAATTCTAAAAGTTTTATTCTCTTTTGCCTTTCTGAGTACATGACCATCACTCTAGAACAAGGATCAGCAAACATTTCTGTAAAGGTCCATTTAGTCAATAATTTTGGTTGTTGCAAGTACTCAACTCTGCCATAGTAGCAGAGAAGCAGCCATAGACAACACAAACAAATGAGCTTGGCTGGACTCCAATCAAACTTTAGTTATGGACTGAGATGAAGACTACATCAGCTATACCTGCTATACTTTGCAACTGTTTCCTCAAAGGTAATCTAGTTCTCAACCTTTAGACACCTTTTATTCAATTCATGAAACCATAGGATGACAGACAGTCATACTGAGCCTGAATTTTCACCATAATTTTAAAAGTAATAAGTAGGGTAGAGGTTAAAAACTTAAGTTTTAGAGTCAGTCAGAAGTGAATTCAAATCCAGACTCTGTGGCTTTCTTAGTTGTGTTATATCAGGTAAACTGAAGAATGTTTCTACGTTTCTTCATTTGTGAAATAGGGAAATTGTTTTGAAGATTAAAAGAAATAATGCATATCAAACTCTTTTTTTTTTTTTTTGAGACTGAGTCTCAATCTGTTGCCCTCTTGGCTCACTGCAGCCTCAGCCTACCAGGTTCAAGTGATTCTCCTGCCTCAGCCTCCCAAGTAGCTGGGACTACAGGCCCATGCCACCATGCCCGGCTAATTTTGTATTTTTAGTAGAGTTGGGGTTTCGCCATGTTGGCCAAGCTGGTCTTCAACTCCTGACCTCAAGTGATCCACCCTTCTCGGCCTCCCAAAATGCTGGGATTACAGGCGTAAGCCACTGCTCCCAGACTGCATATCAAACTCTAAACCCAGTGCTCAATAAGGCACACAGTAAATTCTCAATAGATGTTAACTTACTATCATTAGTCAGTGAAGTCATTGCTAAGTAATGATTATTTTTATCTGTGTAGAAAGATCATCCATGGCCAGGCTCGGTGGCTCCCACCTGTAATCCCAGCACTTTGCGGGGTCAAGGTAGGTAGATCACCTGAGGTCAGGGGTTCGAGATCAGACTGACCAACATGGTGAAACCACATCTCTACTAAAAATACAAAAAAAAAAAAAATTAGCTGGGCGTGGTGGCGGGTGCCTGTAGTCCCAGCTACTCCGGAGGCTGAGGCAGCAAAATCACTTGAACCAGGGAGGCGGAGCTTGCAGTGAGCCGAGATCGCACCACTGCACTGCAGCCTGGGTAACAGAGCTTGACTCGTCTCAAAAAAAAAAAAAAAATCTATGACATTTGGTGTTCAATAGTCCATTTCACTGATTATATACCATTTTGTAACTAGGAAAATTTCCCTAATGTCATGTTTGTTTAATGTGAGATCCCTATGATTAATGTGATATAATAATAGATGGGTTATACAGCAGGCTCCTTGAATGACAGCTGGCTCCGTCCGTCTCGGCACCACAGGAAGGCAGGAAAGAAGTGTATCTTTTCATCTCTAACTTGCCACTGTCACTACCTTTACATATCTGTGGGCTAATAGCATTTGTGCATATATATTTTAAAAATTAATATTTATTAAAGCACTAAAAATGAGTTCAGATGCTTTATGGAGAGTGGCACATCTCATTAGACAGTGTTCAAGCAAATGCAACTTTATTTCAAAGTTCTTTTTTCTTTACAGGTAAAGACATAGTATAAACGGCAAAATTCAAAAGGTGCAGAAGATTCTAGTACGGTGAAAAGCAAGTTTTCTTTCTCTCCTCCACTCCTAGTCCCACAGTGACCATCCTAAGAAGCAACCACTTCCAGAGATGCAAACACACATACCACATACACACAGCCCTACTCACACTCTTCTGCACTTTATTACTTAGAATACACCGGAAAATTTCCACGTCTCAGCAAATACAGCTGCCCTGTACTCTTTAATGGCAGCTTAGTGTTCCCTCAGAGGGATGCGCCCCATATCATTCACCCAGCCCCCAGGGACGGGCTTTTAGGTTGTTTCCAGCTGCTTGCTCTTACAAGCAACATTGCAACGCTGCCCTGTTACTTTTAATCTTCTTTATCCTGTGATTCCGTTCTGCTTTTCCTTCCAGCACGACTGCAAAGTGACTGCGGGGTTTTCCCGAGTGCCCTCGCCCCAGACCTCAGCGAGTTATTTGTGGAGTCACCGGGTCCTGCTCCGCATTGTTATTCGAAGTCTCCCCGGGACAGCGGGGAGCAGGCGGAGCTGCGTGTCCCGGCCTGCGCGTCTGGGCCCAGGCGGGCGCGCGTCGCGCTCGGATTTCGGGCGGATAGTGCGTGGGAGGCGGCGCTGCCCTCCGTATGCAGCGCGCGTGCAGCCAAGGCGGCGCTGCGATCTGCGGCCTGGGGCCCTGGTGTGAAACTCCCGCGGAGACGCTCCCAGCCCCGGGCCGCAGCTCGCCCCTGCACGGAGGGAGGTGTCTAAAGGTGTCTCTTAGGAACAGGCACAACCCGAGCAGCCGGGCCCCAGAACAATGGGTGCTTTCAGCCGCCCCTTTAGATGCCTGGCCCGTCACCATGGCAACCACCCCATTATTGAAAGTCAGTGCCGGTCCCCGCCTTAGACGCTCTCCTCCCGGGCTCCCCTCCCCCGCCGGCCCCGCCGTATGGTGTGTGTGTCACTGGCAGCTGTTGTCAAAAGAAGGCACCTCTTTGTCTCCAGGGGATGAAAGCCATTTGGTTTCCAGCGCCACCCTTTCTCTCCGCCCGGCAACTTTTCTCCGCGTCCCGTCCCCAAGGCGTCCCTGGATGCGCGCGCTCGGCCCCGCGCCCGCCACCCGCGCTGAGTGCTGGTATCCTCCCCATCACTCAGCCCAGAGCCGTTCTGCCTCTGCCTCAAACTCTCAGAGTCCTTATAAGTCTTATTCTCAAGAGTTGTGTCCCAGCGAAGGGAATCCGCCTTGGAAATCGCGGCTTCCTCCTTGCACGCCGCTCGCTGTTTCAGCGCAAGCCGGATCTCCCCTCACACCCAACAGCACCACCTTCCGAGACTAGCGGCTCATTACCGCCCAGTCCCCGCGGCCGGCGCAAGAACTCCTCGCCGGGCCCCATTCCAGGCTGGGTCGGGTCTTTAGAATAAGGACCAGTTGTGTGTCTCCCTGTCGCTGGCAGCGGATCACTTTCTGGCTGAAGAAAAGACAAAACGACGAGGGAAACAATAGGACCTGTATGTTTTACACACAGTTCTCATTCGAAATGTATCATGATCATATTTTTAAAGATGCGTGTTACCTTTCATAAATACCTAAATAAAACTTACTTTCTGTTGTCTGCGGAGGAACTTGATAAACATTAAAAAAGCAAGAATATCTTTGGTGGCCATGTGTCTGGGATGTGGGGTTCACCTATCATCTGCCCCAGGGATCCTAAGAGGGGAACAGATGGTGTTTTCAAAACCTATCTGGAAATTAAAAAGGTTACGGTGCTGAGAGGAAGAGCAGAGTCCAAGAGGAGGGGGCTGTGAGAGAGAAACGCAGAGAGAGGATAAAGCTAGGACTTCCAGTTATTCTGTAAAGACAAACTTGAGATGCTGTGTGGGTAGGAAAAATAGAGGCGTCATAAAACTTCACTGATACTGAAAAGTGTAACTACTAGAGGAAGAAATTTAAGGATAATTTGTTCAGAACTCAGTCTATATTTTCAAATAAAGTTTAAAAATAATTACCAAATGATAAACACATTTTTAAAACTTTGTAAATGCTAAAAGTATGACAAGTAAAGAAAAGCAGGTGACTGACAAGAGGTAAGTTGTTCTGGTCTTTGCTTTCAATAACTATCCGTTCCATTTGATAAACAGGATGCAGGCGAGTCTGACACACAGGAAACAAGTGTTTGCAAAGCCCAGGGGTGTGTTTCCCTCTGCGTACAAGTGTTATCTGAGTAACTGTCTAGAAAATAGTAAGTATGTTACCCTGAAAACGTTTCCTGACAGTCCAACCTCTTTTCCTTTCCGATAAATTCTGGAGAAAATTCTGTCATTCTTCCATGAGATTTGATGAGTATTTCTCCAGTCATTTCAAATGAGGGTTTATTATGCAGTGTCAAAATTTGAAACGCTAGTTATTTAATGCGATGGGTTTGGTAAAAAGTGCGTAAGATTGTTATTACCAAGTAAAAGCAATTTTCCATATCTGATGGTAATCTCTGATTTTTAACCAATAAATGCGTCATTTTATTTTGTTGAAGTCACACATGGAACTATGTAGAAGTGAGCTCCACGGAACTCAGGGGCCACCATGGGAATGAAGACCGAGGCCAAGCAGACATTGCTCCGGAATTCTATTGCTGCGTCCTCTGGAGCACCTCTGCTTGATCTTTTTTGTTGGTTGATTGGTTGGTTGGTTGGTTGGCTGGTTTTGTCTTCAGAGATAGAGTCTTGCTATGTTGCCCAGAATGGTCTTGAACTCCTGGGGTCAATCGATCTGCCCGCAGCTTCCTGAGTAGTTGAGAATACAGGTGTGTGCTGTCTCACCCAGCTCTTCATCTGTTTTCTATGAAACCTTCCATTTGTCTAAAATATTTCACTTAATTAAAATAAAAGTTGCCCTGGTGTGGTGGCTCACACCTGTAATCCCAGCACTTTGGGAGGCCGAGGCGGAAGGATCTCTTGAGCCCAGGAGTTCAGCACCAGCCTGGGCAATATAGTGAAACCCTCATCTTTTAAAATAAAAAAAATTAGCCAGGCATGGTGGTGCACACCTGTGGTCCCAGCTACTCTGAAGGCTGAGGTTGGAGGATGGCTTGAGTCAAGGACGCAGAGGTTGCAGTGACCAGAGATCACACCACTGTACTTTAAGCCTGGTCAACAGAGCCAGACCCTCTCTTAAAAAAAAAAAAAATGACCACTAGAATTGTAGCGTTGGGAAAGATCTTAAAGATAATTTAGTTCAATCCTCTCATTTTACGACCCATGAGACCCAAGGACCTCCCTAGGTAACCTCCTGAGGTCACACCGCCAGTTTGTGGTGACCCTGTCACCACGCAGATGACCCTGTGATTGCTTATCATCCCCACAATGCTTTCAGACATGACTCTTACCCTGACATCACGTACTGTACCTTGTTTTCACAACGGACATGTTTCTGTCTTGTCTTCTAACAAGATTAAATAAAAAGTCGAGCACTGTGGCTTGTGCCTGTAATCCCAACTCAGGAGGCTGAGGCTGGAGGATCGCTTGAGACCAGCAGCTCAAGGCCAGTGTCAGCAGCAGAGCAAGACCCTGTCTCAAAAAAAAAAAAATTAAGTAAAGTCTGTTTTGTGGAACCTTCCTGTTTTCCAGTCCACCTTACCTAAGCCCTCCAATTCTAGACTTTAATTAAAATATTCAGTCTATTCATTGATTGTAATCACACTTCACTTTGTTAGTTGCCTATTGGATATCCATTCTCCTGTCTTCCTTATTCACAGAATCCATTTTGGAAGTGGGAGTGGGGGCAGTAATGTGCCCAGCTAAGAACAATCCCAGGACCTCCTTTAACATAATATTATCTGAACAAGAGAGTACCAGTGGGATTCAGGAAAAGTCCCTTAAAGGGAGCCTATGCAGTTGGCTCACACCCATTTGCTCTTTATCTTTTTTTGCCTGGAATATAGCTTGATGCCTGGAGCCACGGCAACAATGTTATGCACATGAGGATGAAAGCTCCACCCCCAGGAAGGGTAGGATGACAAGCTAAGAGATGCCTGAGTCCATGATGGAAGCTGCCATTCCAGCTCTGGATTTATGAACTTCTTGACATCTCATGATGTGGAGAGAAAACTAAACCCCTATCTTGTTTAAGCCAGTGTTATTTGGCTTTTCTGTTACATGTAGCTAAGCATAATCCCCATGGGCTCCAATTTAGGATAAGAATAAAGGAGAATTAGGGGGCCTGGCACAGTGGCTCACCCCTGCAACCCTAGCACTTTGGGAGGTCGAGGCAGGCAAATTGCTTGAGTCCAGTTCGAGACCAGCCTGGGCAATGTTGTGAAACCCTGTCTCTACAAAAAAAATAGAAAAATTAGCTGGGCATGGTGACCACACACCTGTAGTCCCACCCAGCCCAGAGGCTGAGGTGGGAGGATCACTTAAGCCCGGGAGGTGAAGGCTGCAGTAGTGAGCCAAGATTGCGCCACTGTACTCCAGCCTGGGTGAGAGTGAGACCATGTCTCAAAAAAAAAAAAAAAAAAAAGGTAGGATTAGGAATTCAGTTTTTTAAGGAAAACTTACTAGCTACTCATCTAGTAGCCTGTACATACAAATCACAGGGCTGTAGTATAGTAATTCATTCACTTAGTCTTATAATAAAATAATCTCTTCCCCTTACCCCCTGCCTCTGGCTACTATATGTGTATGTCTCTTGTCCAGATGCTATTATAGATCCATGTATGGTAAGAACTAAACTTTCAAGTGCAACCTTGACATTCTTGAAGATCACAGGGCCTGAATGCTTGTGAATTCCCCTCATCTTAGCAGACATCCCTGGCTAATTCTGTCAGCAGGACAAGCTGCACCCCATGCAGTTCTCAACCTAATGAGCTTCACCTTCCTATTAGCCCGCGAAATAATTCAAACAAACCAATCACATGCTCCAATGGGAACCAAGGGCCATCCTGCCCTCTTGTCTCTACCAAGGCTGCCTCTCTGGGGGTTTGCTCTACTCCAGAATGCAGCCCCCACCATCCACAATCTCCTCCTCCTGCAGCTGTGAGTTTACATTGTGAATAAACTGCTATCAACCTCATCCGTCCAGGGCCAGGTGTCATGTGTTTGGCTATCTTGTACTTTTTAGGGCAGGGATACCCCTCATTCACCAACAGTGGAAGGTGATCAGAACAGCCCATGTAAGCCACAAACATTTATTTATTTAAAATTTTAGATTCAGGGGTACAGGTGCAGGTTTGTTACATGAGTATATTGCATGATGCTGAGGCTTTAATGATCCCGTCAGCCAAGTAGTGAGCACAGTACCCATAGGTAGTTTTTTGACCCTTGACTTCCTCCCTTTCCCCTGCTTTTGGGATCCCAGTGTTTATTGTTCCCATCTTTGTGTCTGTGTGTACCTAACATTTAGCTCCCACTTACAAGTGAAAACATGCAGTATTTGCTTTTCTGTTTCTGCATTAATTTGCTTAGGATAACGGCCTCCAGCTGCATTCATGTTGCTACAAAGGACATGATTTCACTCTGTTTTATGGCTACATAGTATTCCACGGTGTATATGTACCACATTTTCTTTATCCAATCCACCATTGATGGGCACCTAGGTTGATTCCATGTCTTTGCTATTGTGAATAGCACAGTGATGAACATACAAGTGCATATGTCTTTTTGGTAGAACAATTTATTTCCTTTGGGTATATGCCCAGTAATGGGATTGCTGGATTGCATGGTAGTGCTATATTAAGTTCTTTGAGAGATCCCCAAACTGCTTTTCACAGGGCAACAAACATTTACTGAAACCTCCTGAATGCCAGATATTGTGCTAGGCAATGGCTACAAAGGTGAGCAGGACAGACACAGTGCCTGACCTCAGGGGGCACATACTCTAGTGGGGAAGACTGACAAAGAAGAAAAGACCACAGATAAATAAACACAGTAATTACAAGCTTCGATGGGTATTATAAAGAATAGAGACAGAATACTTAGGGTGGTAGAGGAAGACAAAGATGGGGGGTAGATTTAGACAAGGTGCTTAATGGAAGACTCCCTGAGAAGGTACCATAAAGGAAGACTTAAAGGAAGAACAGGAGCTTCCAAACAGAGGAAAGAGCATATTCTAGGCCCAGAGCTGAGAGTGGGGGTGAGTGGTGGAGGGGTGTGGCAAGAGATTCAACTGGAGAGATCGAGAGGACAGATAAGTGTTAAAGGTAGTCAGGTGTGGTGGCATGCCTGTAGTCCCATTTACTCAGGAGGCTGAAGCGGGAGTATTGCTTGAGTCCAGGAGTTCAAGGCTGCAATGAGTTATGATCACATCACTGCACTCCAGCCTGGGCAACACAGTGAGACCCTGACTCTAAGCGGGGAAAAAAAAGAAGTAGTAAAGGCATTTTTGATTTAATGCCATGGGAATGCATTGATGGGTTCCAAGCTGCACATAACTGTTTACAGTTTTAAAAGCTCACTTTTGCTGCTGTATAGAAAATGGATTGGAGGGGTGAGAGTAGAAATGGGAGACCAGTATGGCAGCGGTTATCATCTTTCAGGGAAGTGGTGATTGTGGCCTGGACTAAAGTGATGACATTGCATTGGAGAGATTCTGAATTCCTGATGTACATTGAAGATAGAATCCACAGGGTATGCTTCTGATTACATGAGGGGATGAGGGTAATGGAGGACTTGAGGATGACTCATGGGTTTGAGTAGCTGGATGGATGGTGGTATTGTTTACTAAGCTGGGGAAAACAGTTGAGGTTGGAGATACATCGAGAGCTGTCATCATTAAAAGGGTATTACACTCATGAAGCCATCTAGGGAGAGTGCAGAGAAAGAACCGCGGAGCGTCTACTAACAAGCCACAGAATAATGCCATGCCCCTGAGGTGAGGGTGTGGCCTCATGATTGGATATTCTTGTGGCTAATCATCTGGGGAAGGGACCATTTGGTGCAATAATTATGTCCCTCAGGAGACTGGAACCAGGAGGCCAGCCTGAGGCCACCAGGAGAGGGAGGCTGCTGTCTCCTTGTCAGACAAGGTTTGGATTTCAGGAACTCCAGATGGCTTGCCGGGGCTCCTAGGTGAGAGGAGGTACACAGCATCCCTGTCCCCTGGAAGCAGGTGTGCATCCCATAGAGACATCTAAGATGCCCGGATTGGATCACATTTGTGAGCTACATTTTTAGTTGCATGTTACTCTTTCTGCTCACTTCCTTTCTGTTATCTTCAAGTCTTTTTTTTTTTTTTTTTTGAGACTGAGTCTCGTTCTATCACCCAGGCTGGAGTGCAATGGCACGATCTTGGCTCACTGCAAACTCTGCCTTCCAGGTTCAAGCCATTCTCATGCCTCGGCCTCCCGAGTAGCTGGGATTACAGGTGGCCGCCACCATGCCCAGCTAATTTTTGTATTTTTAGTAGAAATGGGTTGGCCAGGCTGGTCTCGAACTCCTGACCTCAAGTGATCCGCCCACCTCTGTCTCCCAAAATGTTGGGATTACAGGCGTGAGCCACTGTGCTCGGCCTATCTTCAAGTCTTTAGACAAGCTTTGGATAAATGTCCATCCTGGTCTCTGCTCTGCTATAGGAAATTAAACAAACAACAAAAAATAGTGTGTCTTAAATGCCATTGAAGAGTTAAAGGGATACTGACCCTCCCAAAACCAGTATGGTGGTGGGAGCTGCAGCCAGCAGTGAGAGGTCCCTAAGGGGAAAGCGGATCTCTTTTTCTAGAGTAGGGCGTCAGGTTCAGTCTCTCCTCTCCACATGGACAGGCTCCTTTCATGGCCAGGCTTAAAGGAGCTGGTTTTTTTTTTTTTTTTTTTTTGAGATGGAGTCTCCCTCTGTGGCCCAGGCTGGAGTGCAGTGGCGTGATCTTGGCTCACTGCAACTTCTGCCTCCTGGGTTCAAGTGATTCTCCTGCCTCAGCCTCCCCGAGTAGCTGGGACTATAGGTGCATGCCACCACACTGGGCTAATTTTTTTTTTTTCTATTTTTAGTAGAGACAAGGTTTCACCATGTTGGCCAGGCTGGTCTCGAACTCTTGACTTCAGGTGATCCACCCGCCTTGGCCTCCCAAAGTGCTGGGATTACAGGTGTGAGCCACGGCGCCCGGCCTGGTTTTGATAAGGGGAGCAGTCTACACTTTAAATCCCCCCTCCACTTGACTGTATGTTCCTTGAAGTAACATAGAGTACCGCATCTTTGTACCCGCAGTGTCCAGGAGGTTGTAAGCACTCCATCACTGTTAGTTTAATAGGTGATTGTTCACTAGACATTGTGAGACACACTGTGGTTTCCCAAAGAGCTTAGAATCCAGATTTGGTCAGCAGATGCACATGTTGATGCATGGCAGAGTGTGCCCGCTCTGTAGGTTACATGAAAGAGCTGGGAAATGCTCTTTGATCACAGAGGAGGGAAACATTACTCCCAGTGTGGGGGCAAGAAGCTTCAAACAGACTTTGTGGAGGAGGAAACATATGGCTGGGCCTTGCGGGCTGGAGCGAATTTCCAAAATAGGATGAGTAAAAGACAAACATGTGCCAGGTAGAGGGCTCCGTGAGAAGGGAGGCATGAGGAGAAGGCATTCCATTGCTTCAGTGCATGACCGGTAGTGAGGTGTGTTGCAAGGAGAGCATACGTGTGAACAGGGAGGAAGTGGCAAAGACGCAGAAATGATGTTGCAGCTCTGAAAAAAATGTCTTTCTGGGTGGGCAAGGCCTCTCTTGTCTCAGACCAAAAATGAAATATAAATAAATAAATAAATAAATGGTTCCCAGTGAATCCTGATAGCTAGGATTAACTTTTTATGGTAGAAAAATTTCTCAGCAGTGAGAGCTGTTAAACATTAGAATGGTTTGTGAGTGGCAGCTTTAGGAAATCTTTCCCTAGAGATTTTTATGCACAAAATAGACTGACTTATCATTTGTCAATGATTTCCTGTGGCCTCTCTTAAAGTCATGGGAAAGTATTACATGAGCTCTCAGATTCTATGTTACTTGATTCAATTCAACAAACACTTGAGTGTCAACTTGGTTCATGCCCCCAGGCATTGCTATATACTGGATTCATGCGCCCTCCCCGCAAGGGGCCTCTCTTCCAGTGATCCCCATCTCAACACATGATGCTTCCATCCATGTCATTGCCCGAATCAGAAACCTACTCTGCCTCACCACTGACATTCCATTAATCCCTAATCCCTATCTTCTCTGGAAGGTGTCCACTTCTCTCTAATCCCTGCCTCATGGCTCCAGGCACTAGCTCTCTCCTAGGGATTACTGCAATTGTCTAAATAACCTCCCAGCCTCCAGGCTCAGCCTGTTACAGTCCATCCTGCACACATAGTCTTTCTGAAATGGAAATCTGAAAGTGTGCCACTCTCCTGCTTCACATTTCTTCAATGGGTTCCTGGGCTTAGAGGTAGGAAGTGTGGAATCTGAGCCATTCTGCTCAGATCTTCCAACGTCCTTGAATCACAGCTTTGCTGTTCGACCTTGGGCAGTTATTTAAGCTGTCTTTGCAGCTTCCTCATCTACGAAAAGGGGATCACAACGGTAATTCATTTTAGAGTAGTTGGGGGGATTAAATGATTTCAGATCCTCCTCTCTTATGTGAACTCTTAAATTTGGAGTGTCCCTGGAATCTGGTTCTCTTATCTCTCCACACTCCTTCCCTCGGTCATCTCAACAGGTCCTACTACTTTAAATATCCATATACTGAAAACACCCAAATTTATATCTCAAGCTCAGCCCACTCTCCTGAACCCTGGACTTATATGTCCAGCTGCCTTCTCAACATCTCCACTTGGATAGTTAATGGAGCTCACAGATATATTGATATACTTTGGATGTTTGTCCCCTCCAAATCTCATGTTGAAATGTGATCCCCAGTTTTGGAGGTGGGTCTAGCAGGTGTCATGGGGTTGGATCCCTCGTGAATGGCTTGGTGCCCTCCCCATGGTAATGAGTGAGTTCTCACTCTGTTGGTTTATGAGAGAGCTGGTTGTTTAAAGGAGCCTGGCACCTCCTCTCTCTCACTCCTGCTTTCACCATGCAACTGCCCGCTCCCCTTTCACCTTCTGCCATGAGTAAAAGCTTCCTGAGGCCTCACCAGAAGCTGAGCAGATGCTGGTGCCACGCTTGCATAGCCTACAGAACCATGAGCCAAATAAACCTCTTTTTTTTTAATATTATAAATTACCGAGTCTCAGGTATTCCTTTATAGCAAGCTTGTCCAGCCCAAGGCCCATAGGCTGCATGCGGCCCAGGATAGCTCTGAATGCAGCCCAACACAAACTCATAAACTCTCTTAAAACATTATCAGATTTGTGATTGCTTTTTTTTTTTTTTTGAGACGGAGTCTTGCCTTATTGCCCAGGCTGGAGTGCAGTGGCACAATCTTGGCTCACTGCAACTTCCACCTCCCAGGTTCAAGCAATTCTTTTGTCTCAGCCTTCCGAGTAGCTGGGATTACAGGTGTTCGCCACCACACCCGGCTAATTTTTGTATTTTTAGTAGAGACAGGGTTTCACCATGTTGGCCAGGCTGGTCTCGAACTCCTGACCTCAGGTGATCCACCTGCCTCAGCCTCCCAAAGTGCTGGAATTACAGGCATGAGCCACCGTGCTTGGCCTACCCATAGTCTTTCTAGTCTCAGCTGATGAAACTATCCTTCTCCATGCTGAAGCTCAGTGGCCCTCCCTTCTCTCTTGTTCTCACTCCCTGCATCCCATCCATCTGGAAATCCAGCTGGCTCCTCCTGGAGACTACACGCACAGTCCACCTCCTCCTCACCACCTCCATGGCTACAGCCTGGTCTGAGCTCCATCACCTCTCGCCTGGGTCACTGCAGCGGTCTCACTAGTCTTCTTGCACAGTCTTCTCAACCCAGATGACTGATAAATCAGATCCTATCACCCCTTTGTCCAAACCCTCCATGGGCTCTCTCTTTCACAACCATAATCTTTAAAAGAGCTTTCTAGCCCCTGTGTGATCAGGCCACCCACCCTGTAACCTTGTCTCCTCCTTTACCCTGCGCTCATTTCACTCCAGCCACACTGTCACCCTTCCTGCTCCAGAAACTCCCCAGGAGCATTCTGGCCTTACAGGCTTTGCAGTGCCTGTTCCCTTTGCTGGAATGCTCTCCCCCAAGATCTCCCTATAGTTAACTCTTCTGCCTTCTTCAAATCTTTGCACTAATGTCTCTTCTCAATGAGGCTTGTTCTCACTACTCTCTTAAAAACTGTAATTTGCCCTCCAATCCCATAACACTCCTGGTAGTTTTTTTTTATTGCACATGCCATCTTATAACCTACTATATACTTTACTTATGTATATTGATTATTATCTGTCTTTTCCCCACTAGAATATAAGCCTCACTAGGACAGGGTTTTTTTTTTTTTTTTTTTTTTTTTTTGAGACAGAGTCTCACTCTGTCGCCCAGGTTGGAGTGCAGTCGTGCGATCTTAGCTCACTGCAACCTCTGCCTCCTGGGTTCAAGCGATTCTCCCGTCTCAGCCTCCTGAGTAGCTGGGACCACAGGTACGTGCCATCACGCCTGGCTAATTTTTTAATTTTAGTAGAGACAGGGGTTCATCATGTTGGCCAGGCTGGTCTTGAACTCCTGACGTCAAGTGATCCGCCCACCTCAGCCTCCCAAAGTGTTGGGATTACAGGCGTAAGCCACCGCGCCCAGCTCCAAGAGATTTTTGTCTTTTGTTTACTGGTGTTATGTATCCAAGCACTGGAACAGTGCCTGGCGCATGGTAGGGCTCACTAAATATTTATGGAATGGTACTTACAAATTATAAAACACAGTGTATGGCACACAGTGTTTTATAAATATTAACATTTCCAAGGTTCACAACCACTAGGCTCCCTACTTACCTTTCCAGCCTGATCTCCCTGCGCTCTTCCTACCATTCCAGCTCAGCTATACTTAACTTGCTCATCTGCAGAGCCTTCCTTATGTACTTTTTTCTCTGTCCATCTATCCCTGCATTTGAGGGATCCTTTCTCATTTTCAGGTTTCAAGGTAGAGGGTCTTCCCTGACTCTAGGTCAGCCATCTCTACAGCACTCCTCCCACCCCCTATGCGTTCCTTATTCATCACACTGCATTGCAATCCCTTGCTTCTCATTTGTCTTTCCTGCTGGGCCCTGTAACCACAGGGACAATGCCTGTGACAGCAGTCATTGCAGCATCTCCAGCATCCAGCACAGGTCGATACGTGGGGGTTTTCGGCAAATGTTAATTCAGTGAATGAATGAGAAATTCTCACGGCAGCGACTGCATTTCTGCACCTTCGACACACATTATCACGTGTTATTGTATCTTGTGCTGTTCCTTAGGGCATAACAATTGCTAGCATTTTCTAACTCAATCCTCACAACTCTAGGAGGGAGGTACTATTCACGTTCTTATTTGAGAAGTGAGGAACTTGAAGTTTAGAGGAGTTACAGTTCTTTCTCACGGTCACTCAGGTTGTAAGTGTTGGAGCGGGTTCAAGCCAAGTCCTCTGGCACCAGCGTCCCTAAGCCCACCCAGAGTCATACCATTCTGCCATTTTGTTTCTGGCTTTTCTTCATAGTTCAAAGTCAGCCAACTACCTGCCCTTAGCAAGCGTGGAGAGAACCCCCCGCACCACCTCAGCAAAGGGCTTGTGTGTGGAGGAGCTGCCACCCACGCTCCATTTCACCAAAGTGACAACTAATGCTAGGGAGGGCGAACCTCTCATCGGCGAGGTCGCCACTGTCACCAGCGCCCACTGCTGGGTCCAAGGCTGGCGACGCCTCACCGCATCTGGGCTTGACTTCCTGCGTCACTGGGGCGACCCCTGGTCCTGACTTCCACTCCACGCCTTCGTGGATCAGGACGACTGGGACCACTCAAAAGCGTATCCAAGTCCTGAGGTCTCCAAAGCGGTGGAGAGACCCGCCCAGCCCCTCACTCCCCGGCTGGGAACTGAGATTGTGGAGGGTGGGCGCCCTGCCGCGGCCCAGTGGGGCTGGGGGCTTCCAGAGTCGGGGTCCAGGGCTCGGTGTCCGAGACTCCACCGCCAGCCGCGCCGACCTGACCCACGGCCGGGTACAACAGAGAAGGCGGCGCTTCCCAAAGGCACCGATGGAGTGCAGGGTAGCCGCCGCCCTCAGGATTTATCAACCGCGAGGCGCTGTCAGCAACTCGTGCCCGGAAGCCACCCCGCCCCGGCACACACATACTCCAGCGCCCCCTCCAGGCGCACTCCGCAAACACGCGAGCGCGGCGACCGCCCCAGCCCTTTGTGACTGGATGAGTGGGGCCGAGCAGCACGCACTGTCTTCGACCTCCAATCAGGACTCGGGGTCTCGGAGCTGTACCAATCGGAGATGACCGTGGCCTCAACAGGGCCAATCGGGGGACTCGAGCCCGACAACAGGGCAAGCCGCCAACAGCGATCAATCAGAGGGGAGGAGCGGCTCCCAGATACCCAATCAGCGGCCTTCAGGCGCAGATCGTGGGCGGAGCGGTAGCCAGGCCGCGGGCCGGCCAATCAGCGGGCGAGCGGCTGCCTCAGCGCGCGCGGCGGGCGGGGCGGGGCCTGTCCGCGCCTAGGAGCAGTGGGCGCTGAGAGCAGCAAGGCCAGGTGAGGAGTAGGGACGACCCCGAGCCTGGAGAGGGGGCAGGAGTGGGGGCGCGCGAGGGTCGGGGCGGGGTCTCAGGATGCAGCCGGGCGGCCTCTCAGGGCTGCGGACGCGGCGGGGAGAGGTGAGGGGCCGGGTTCAGAGTTCGGGGAGGGCGTCCTTCCCGGCGCCGCGGCTGCGGGCGGAGGGGACACTGTTGCCATGGCAGCGCACGTGCGCTCGCTGGCGCGGCCCGGCACCCCTGCGCTCTTCACCCCGGAACGCGCGTGCCCCTTCAGCCAGGCCCCTGCCCGCCTGCGCCCCGCGGCCTCCGTCGCCGCCGGCTCTGGGCCGGGGCCTGCGCAGGGACCGCCTGCCTAGGCCGCTGCCTCTCCCTCGCACCCCGGGCTGCCTGGCTGTCTCTCCCTCCTGCTGTCTCCTCCAGGCGGCGCTGGGCACCGCAGGCCTCTGCGTTTTGACCACCCGCGCCGGTTCGCGGAATGGCCACATCCTGGCGACTGGCACCAGAGAGATGCAACCGTCTGAGGGCCTTGGGGTGTCTGTCCCCCAGGGAAATTTTTTTTTTTTTTTGGAGGTGGAGGGGGCGGGGTTCTCCCTCTGTTGCCCGGGCTGATCTCGAACTCGTGAGCTCCAGCGGTCTGCCCGCGGAGGCCTCCCTAAGTACTGGGATCACAGGCGGGAGCCC
This sequence comes from Homo sapiens, assembly GCF_000001405.40. Lineage (NCBI taxonomy): Eukaryota > Metazoa > Chordata > Mammalia > Primates > Hominidae > Homo > Homo sapiens. The sequence goes on from NC_000008.11 coordinate 42,153,789, forward strand.
CAAGGGATCTTTTTAAATGTCTTACTGCATTAACAAGTGCCTAAGGAGTGCTCAGAGAATAGCTCTGATTGGATGAATAAAGACCCCCAAGGGCAGCTTTCCATTCCTCCCACCAATTCTGGTGGGCAGAAATAGAAAGCAAACCACATATGTAATTGTACATGTTCTGGTAACCACTTTAAAATAATAAAACAGGTTAAATTAATTTTAATATATTTGATTTAACCCAGGATATCCAAAATGTTATTACAACATATAATCAATATTAAATTATTGGTAAGATATTTGAAATTTTTTTTTTCATGCAAAGCCTTTCAGATTTGTCGTGTGTCTTACACTTAACAGCACACCTCAGTCCGCACCAGCCACCTTTCAAGTGCTCGCTGGTCCCATAGTGGCTATCGTATTAAGCTGCGCATTTCTTGTGTATGTGTGAGCTGTTGCCAAAACATGACATCAAATTCAGTGTTCTTGGAAGCCCTCTTCAAAGAACACTGATTGTGTTGCAGTCAGGCAACGCAAAACATGAGGCACGGCCCTTTTCTTCAAGGAGTTTGCGGTTCGGTTGAGAAAATAGACACCCACAGATAAGTAGTATTTTAAATGGATGCAATTTGGGCGATAGTAAAGATAACTGGGAGTATATGATTGACAGTCAGATGACTGATCATTATCGTTTCGAATTCAAGGGAGGGCTATCTTCAGGCTCATGCAGGAGGGGAAGATTGGGCCTGGTCTTGAAAGATGGGTAAGTCTTGGACTGTTGGGAAAAGATGGGGAGGGCCTTTTGGTTGAATGGAACTGAATATCGCTGCTTTTGTTTTTAGAGTTGAAAACTTACAGAGTCCTGAGGCTTTCAGACTGAAAAAGGCTTTCTTCTGTCACTGACAATCGCCACCATGATCCATAGTCTTTTCTTGATCAACTCCTCTGGAGACATTTTCCTGGAGAAACATTGGAAAAGTGTGGTCAGCCGTTCTGTTTGTGATTACTTTTTTGAGGCGCAAGAGAGAGCTACTGAGGCAGAAAATGTGCCTCCGGTTATCCCTACCCCTCACCACTATCTCTTAAGTGTTTACCGCCACAAGATCTTTTTTGTGGCCGTGATCCAGACGGAGGTCCCCCCTCTGTTTGTCATTGAGTTTCTTCACCGAGTGGTGGACACATTTCAGGTTCGTGAATGTGGGAAAGTTCATATATGTAAACCGTAAAGTGTCTTTGTAGTCCTGTTTCCATTGTGTAAAGCCTCCATTAAGAAACTTAAAAAAAAAAATCAAAACTCTGGTATTACTCACTTCCTCTCCCATCTGATAAGATTCTGGTTTCTATTTATTGAATTGGCTGCATGCAAAATGACAAATGGAATACTTTTGAACCTCTTGCGTGGGAAAGTCATCCTATTTGCGATGACTATATATAGCCTTTCTAGCTCTGATTCTACTTTTTGCTCACAAATTAGAGTTTAGATTGTTTTTGCCTGGTGGTCTTGATCCTAACCATTGTTATCTGCATTGCTTTGAGTTGCATCAGAAAGTGATTGTATAAAGTTTTAGAAAAGAAAAAGTAGAAAAAGCTAAGGAATGCTTAATTTAACTCTCCCAGTCAGGGGTAACTCATGAACCTGTACTAGTTCTCAGGTTTGAGGTGGTTCTTTATAGTGAGAGAGTGGTACTGATGAGCTCTGCTTGCAAAGATGAGATTGGGAAATCTCATGTGCCTGTAAGAATTTAAGTGAGCCATTTTATGAGGCAGTTTTCATTTTAAGCTTTTTCTTCAGGAATAGATGTTAAGAACTTAGGGGGTGATGTCCAAGGGAGGTCAGTGATACCAGGACACGACACCATTTGCAGCACAGGAGTTCAGACAGCACCGGCCCTGGATTCACACAGAGGAACTTTCTCCCAAAAGAACCAATCAACTTCTAACTGTTGTGGTTATTTGCATAACTCAAATGAGAAGCGAGGGCCTTTTGGTTTAACTTCTGTGTCATATGAGGTCTGGAATGAGTCATATGAACACTGGAATTGTGGAATTGGAGAAGAGAATGAGGACCCACACACTATGATAAAAGTTAAAAAGCAAGTCAAAGAGTTCCTTCTCTTGTACTCATATCTGCACCACGTCTAGAACAACTTCCCTTCCCAAGAGAATTAAAATACATTTTTTGTTTTTCCCTGCAATACTCTGTAGTACTACTGTTCTGGAATTTCAGTTCTCATGCAACATACCGGCCCCTTTGCACAGTGAAAACGTAAGTATAAGTCCCAGTATGTGGAAGAACTAGAAGAACCCAGGAGTTGTGATCCTAAACAACTTTTAACTGGGCCTTGTTATGATTTCCACGTGTGATACTTTACTCATTCTGAGATTAACAGTCGCACTGGTGAAACTGACAGCCGCTATATGGCCATACTAATGTAACTTATTACAAGACAGGAAGTGAGAAGAGTTGTTTGATCTAGTTGAAACCATGGGGGAATTTGGGAAAGCAGAGTAAATTTGCTAATTTGGAAGTCTGAGACTTCAGAGCTTGTTATTCTTGAAGCAGTTGTTAAAAGTCAGTGGACATCCTGATTCTCAGGTCTCCGATGTGGATGTGCATCCTCTCCGGCAGCATGATTTTTCCAGGACCAGAATGTGACAGGAGCGGCCCCGCAATAGAATTGCAGGCTCACAGGCCGGCTGCAGCACTTGGCTGTATTGCGAGGCTCCTTTCCAGCTGCTTAGTTCACATGATGCCTGGTTTATAAAACCTAGTGAAGTGTTTTATTTTTTAAAAATAAATCACTTTTGGGAAGGAAATGTGTGACTTTTTCTTCTTTTAAATTATCATTCAAAATGAGAATTTTCCTCTTAAAGAGGAAATCTTTTTGTTTTAGGAATACATTCCTGACTCTTAGGTGACCCGGGTATTGGAATCTTGTGGATAATTGACGTTATCTAATGTAATTTAGACTCTAGTAGAGTCTGTTCAGTTTTGGATGTCAAAGAAATGGAAAGATGGTGAAACAACCTGGAAACCATACCTTATCATGAACAGCGGAAGTATCTTGAAAGTGTGGCCCTGAGAAGAAAAAAACTGAGGTGAAAACTCGTAGTTTTCAGATAATTGCAGGGCTGTTATGTACACTTGCTCTGCAAAACAGAGCTAGGAGGCAAATTTCAGTTTAGCAAAAGAAAGAACTTTGGAATGATCAGAGCCATTCATGAATAGAATGGACTTTCTCAAAAGGAGTAAATTTTCCTTCATTCTATGAGTTCAAGAGGGTTGCATGACCCTCTCAGAGGTCCTGGAAAAGACATACTGACATTGCTGGAAGGGAACATTGAATAGCCACAAACATTTCTTGCTAAATAATGATCACGCATTCCATTTTGTAGTGCTTTATAGTTTACAAAGTACATTCATGAGCGTTAGTGTTTAATTAGTCATGCCTAATTCTTACAGCCCTGTACCTCCAGTGGTGTTATCCTGATTATACCATTAAAGAATCAAGATCAAAATTAATTAACATGACTTAATCTACAAATGACAAAATTATAATCCAGGTCTTCTGGTTTGAAATCCAGTGCTTTCCCACAATGCAGATAATTTAGCACCTAACGTTAGCCTTTTAAATAAAAGGACAAAGAGTTCTTGGAATGCTAGCGTCTTAAAGATAGTCCAAAGGAATTTTCAGGTGTGCTAGCTTGTCCCCTTCATTTCATTTTTTTCCCCTCAACTCTTATTCACTGCATGAATGTTAAGAAATAGCACAGCAGTAGGGGTAAAGATTTTCATGTACTGTTCTTTGTTATATCAAGTATTATTTTGTATAATTCTTTCAAATTCTTGTTGATAAGCACATAATCAAGATTCAATTTTGTATTCTGTGTATTTTATCAAGTTGAGGAAATTAACCCAAAAGATTTAAGTTCCTCTTGTTTGTAGAAGAAGCTAGTAATGACAGTAGTACCATAAGCCAGTCTAGTGCTTTCTACCAAACAGACTGCCTAAGAGAACTATGGTTATGCTGCATTCCCTCGTTGTAGAAGAGTAGCCCAGAAACACATGGACAGGCCAGATCCTTATTCTCTGTAGGCACATTCTTTTATTTATTTATTTATTTTACAGTATCTGAGTGATCAATGTGTATATTCTGTCTCCATCAGGATTATTTTGGAGTCTGTTCAGAGCCAGTGATCAAAGACAATGTAGTTGTGGTTTATGAGGTATTGGAAGAGATGCTTGACAATGGTTTTCCATTGGCTACCGAGTCGAACATTCTTAAAGAACTCATAAAGCCTCCTACCATCCTTCGAACGGTTGTCAACACCATCACAGGTACGGCAGAGGGGGAAACTGATAGATAGTGGCCATCCTACAGCCTGAGTGGCTTAGTCGAGTGTCGCACATTGTTTTGAGTGTTTGTCTTTGGGGATCTCAGGTGTCCCAGTGCTTTAATTTTGCTCTTTGTAGTTGTTTTTTTTTTTTTTTTGAGACAGAGTCTCCCTCTGTCACCCAGGCTGGAGTGCAGTGGCGTGATCTTGGCTCACTGCAACCTCCGCCTCCTGGGTTGAAGTGATTCTCCTGCCTCAGCCTCCCGAGTAGCTGGGATTACAGGCATGCACCATCACACCCAGCTAATTTTTGTATTTTTAGTAGAGATGGTGTTTCACTATGTTGGCCAGGCTGGTCTTGAACTCCTGGCCTCAGGGGATCCACCTGCCTCGGCCTCCCAAAGTGCTGGGATTACAGGTGTGAGCCACCGCGCCTGGCCCCTCTTGTAGACTGAGTACAACCTGAAATAATATTTTTGCTTTGTGGAAAATACCCTGATTTTAATGACAAAATGAAGTGTTCTTTAAAAATATTTTTTTCTGATTACAGAAGAAACACATGATTATTGTAGAAACTTCAGAAATACAGAAAAGCACAAAGAATGCAAAAATTGCTTTTAATCCCACCACACTTTTAACATGTGATATTTTATGAACATTATCCCATGATGATGTCTTCTACATGGTTCTTTTTTTTTTTTTTGAGATGGCGTCTTGCTCTGTTGCCCAGGATGGAGTGCAGTGGTGCGATCTCAACTCACTGCAACCTCCGCCTCCCAGGCTCAAGCGATTCTCCTACCTCAGCCTCCCGAGTAGCTGGGATTACAGGCACACGCCACCATGCCCAGCTAATTTTTGTATTTTTTAGGAGAGATGGGGTTTCATCATGTTGACTATGCTGGTCTCTAATGCCTGACCTCAAGTGATCCACCCACCTTGGCCTCCCAAAGTTCTGGGATTACAGGTGGGAGCCACTATGCCTGGCCTTCATTTTTAATAATTTATAGTTTTCTTCCATGTGGAGTGGACCCAAAGTTACGTACTGAATCCCTATTTATGATGTTACTGATTTTTGTTCTTTTAAATAACAAGGATTACCATTCTTACACTTGAACCTTGGTGCACATCTGGGATGATTTCTTTAAAGTAGTAGAGGTAGCAATGCTGTGTCAAGGGGTGTATACATTTTAAGTACTGTAATGTGTTGCTCTCCAGAAAAGTTAGGCCAATTTATACTTTCAGTAACAATTTCAAAGCACTGTAGTGAACCCTGTTATTGTCATTAATAATTTTTTAGAAACATTGGCAATTTGATAGTTTATTGATATCTTGTATTTACAGTCATTTTTTGTTATTAAGGAGACTAAAATCTTTTCAAGTATTTATTGACTGTTTTTCCTCTATTGTGAATTACCTTTTCATGTCCTTTGTTCATTTTTTTGTTGTTGAAATGTATTTCTTTTTTCATGTGGATTTAAAATCTCTTTTATGGGAGATCTTTATGTCTTTTGATTACTGCATTACAGATATTTTCTTACAGTCTATCACTTGTGATTTAGCTTTGTTCTGGTGGTGTTTAGCCACATTTTAAATGTTTTGATTTAATCAAATTAATCATTCTTTTCATTAAGGTTTTACATTTTGGGTCTTGTTTAATGCATAAGCAAGCATTTTCATGGAATTTTATAAACTGATTGAAAAATACATTTTAAAAGTATAAATATTGCAAGAATAGCCAGGACAGTTTTGGAAAAGAATTACAAAGGGGTTGTTGGGAGGATTTGCCCTGTCAAATATCACGACACGTTAAGTTTGTATAGTACACAAGACAAATATTCATACAGTAGACATCCTACAAGACCCAAGAGAGTTTTGAAAATAATATTTTTAAAAAGAGGAAAGATAAAATGTGTCCTACCAGATATCAGATATATTACAGGTTTAACATCCCAAATCCAAAATCCAGAATGCTCTACAATCCAAAACTTTTTGGATACTGACATGACACTCAAAGGAAATGCTCATTGGAGGATTTCAGATTTTTGAATTTGGGATGCGCAACTGGTATAATCCAGATATTCCAAAATTTAAAAAAATACAAAATTTGAAACATTTCTGGTCCTGAACATTTCAGGTAAAGATTACTCAATCTGTATGAAGTTTGGGTAGTTTTTAAAATTTGGTATTTGTCTGTAACAGACAGATAGGTCATTGGGATAAAATAGTCCAGAAACAGACCCTTGCTTTTATAGGAATTTGGTGTAGATAGATGTGGTCATTTATCAAATCAGTGGACCAGGGGCTGGTTGTTAACTATATTGTATTAGGGCAGTCAGCTTCAATATGGAAAAAATTAAGTCCCTCCACTTCACACTATACACAAAATAAAGTCTAGCTAGGTTAAGGAGTTAAACACAGACTTTATAATTATTAGACAAAAACAGGAGAATGTCTTTTTGATCTCAGAGAAGGGAAGATCTTTTTTAAAAGTCTAGTTTGTGATTTTATTTTTGGATTTAATTATTTAATCCATTTGAAAATTATCTTGGTGTGCAATAATGTTTATTTCTTCAAGAGTTTTCCTAGCACCATTGTGTAATTTATCCTTTTCCCCTGTTTTAGAATGACATTTCTATCTTGTCCTGTCATTATGGATTCTTGGTCTGTTTTTAGGCTTTCCTGCCTTTTCCCTAGACTGCTTTGATTATTATATCTTGATGATACATTTTAATACATAGTTCCTCTTTTTAAGGAAACAAATTTGGTGGTTTCTTCAATATTCTGAGTTCATTTTAAGCCTTAAAAGCTTTGTTAGTGCCTGAATCATTTACGAATATTATGAAGTGAGTTAAGCCTGTATCTCACTTTAATCTAGAAAAGGGTATCTAAGAACCACTTTTGAAAAGTTGAAATGGGCCTGACATATTGGCTCATGCCTGTATCCAATACTTTAGGAGGCTGAGGCGGGAGGATCACTCATGCACAGGAGTTCGAAATCAGCCTGGGCAACTTGATGAAACCCTGTCTTTACAAAAAATACAAAAATTAGCCAAGCATGGTGGTGCATGCCTGTGGTCCCAGCTACTCTGAAGGCTAAGGTGGGAGGATCACTTGAGCCCAGGAGGTCGAGGCTGCAGTGAGTTATGATTGTGCCTGTGAATAGCCACTGAACTCCAGCATGGGCAACATAGGAAAACCCTATCTCTTAAAAAAATTTTTTAGGTGGGCATGGTGGCTCACATCTGTAATCCCAGCACTTTGGGAGGCCGAGTTGGGTGGATCATTAGGTCAGGAGTTCAAGACCAGCCTGGCCAACATAGTGAAACCCCGTCTCTACTAAAAATACAAAAATTAGCCGGATGTGGTGGCACGCGCCTGTAGTCCCAGCTACTCGGGAGGCTGAGGCAGGAGAATTGTTTGAACCCGGAAGGCAGAGGTTGCAGTAAGCCAAGACTGCACCACTGTACTCCAGCCTGGGCGATAGAGCGAGACTCTATCTAAAAAAAATTTTGTTTAAAGACAGAAAATAAAAGGATCCAGGTAATGGAAGAAGGAAATAGAATTTAAATTAATGTATTTTATTATGTCAGTATAAAACCTTTTAAATTAAAAAAAGTTTATGCCTGTAAAGGAAAAAACAAGTGAAGGAATTGATCTACAATTCTTAAAGACAGGGAGAGATCAACTTTGTGTTCTTTTCCTAAGTTTCAGTGTTGGAACTTGGGAATGAGACAGATCATATTGATATGTACATTTTAGTACCTACCATAAATGTACCTAAGAACCTATCTCAGGCTCAAATACTGTTTTTACCCATGAAATTTTTATATCAATATGTAGATTACGAACTCTACTGAAAGCCAATACATTATTTAAGCTGCATCTGAGATACTAAGTTCAGGTTACTTTCAAAACCAAAATATGATATCTGTTTCTCAGGTAACTTTTTCTTAAACCTTTATTCTGTTTGAAAAGGCAGACCAGATGGCAACAAGGGGTTTTAAAAATAGACTAGGTTACCCCATATAGAAGTTGGGAAAAACCTCATCTTCTGTTTGAAAAATTCTTCAATTGAGTGCATGAATAGTGGGAGCATAGAAACTTCTAGGGAGGTGTTCTGTGGTTTCTAGAGTCAAAATGGTGTTAAAATACAGTAATATTAATTGCCTCAGGAAGCACGAATGTGGGTGACCAGCTTCCCACTGGGCAGCTGTCAGTGGTGCCTTGGCGACGGACTGGGGTGAAATATACCAACAATGAGGCCTATTTTGATGTGATTGAAGAGATTGATGCAATTATTGATAAATCAGGTAGGTGCTTTTAATATGTTCTCAGAAATATGAAAATAGAAAGGGACCTCTTTCATATAATGCTTGTAGTTTCAGAATTAACCCCCATTCAAGGTCATCCACTTCAATTTAGTGCCTACTTTGTGCCAGGCACTGTGCTGGGTACTGGGAATGGACGTTAATATTATGATGCAGACCAGGGTTTATTTCATATGTTTACTTGCTTTATTGGTCTTATCCTCTTGAATAAAAAAGAGAAGTAACAGGCCAGATGTAGTGACTCACGCCTGTAATCCCAGCACTTTGGAAAGCTGAGGCGGGAGGATTGCTTGAGCCCAGGAGTTTAAGACCAGCCTGAGCAACATAGTGAGACCCCATCTCCACAAAAAGTGAAAAAAATTACCTGAGCATAGTTGTGCATGCCTGTATTCCTAACTTTGTGAGGGGCTGAGGTAGGAGGATTGCTTGAGCTTGGGAAGTTGAGGTTGCAGTAAGCCCTGATCATGACACTGCACTCCAGCCTGGGCAACAGCAAGACCCTGTCTCAAAAAAAAAAAAAAAAAAAAAAAAAAAAGTAACAAATTAATTTCTTATTGATTAAATTACCTTCTCGAAAGTATTTGGCTCCCAGTTCTGATGGCAGAACTAAAGTTGTAATCACAAAATTCAGGGAGCTGCCTTTTCTATGTGTTCTGAATTAGGTAAATATGACTAGAAGTCCTGGAGCTTCAGAATTTGTAGAAGCCAGTCATGATGGTATGAGCCTATAGTCCCAATTATTGGGAGGCTGAGGTGAGAGGATCACTTAAGCCCAGTAGTTGGAGACTGCGGTGAGCTATGATTATGGCTGTGAATAATAGCTGCACTCTAGCCTGGGCAACATAGTGAGATCCTGTCTTTAACTAAAGAAAAAAAATTGTAAAAAGTCCTTTTCACATTAGTGAACTTATTAAATTCAACAGATGTTTACTGAAAACTTGCATCATAGCACAGTGCTAGATAGTGGGCACTTGATGATGAATAAGACATAGTCTATGGCTGCAGAAGTTAAGTCTAGTGAGGGAGAGAGAAAGGTAAAAAGGTAGAGCATATGAGAGGTACCCACCCCTGAGCAAAGTGCAACAGAGAGGTGGGGGTGTTTATGCTTCATCAGTGGATTGAAATGAAGTTATTAAGATGTGTGGATTTGGGAGCAAAGTATGCGCAAACATCACAATATTGAGCAAAAAATCAGATGCATAAGATTATAGACAGTGGGATTACATGTATATGAAGTTTGAAAACAGATGCAATTTAGTCTAAGGTAATAGAAGTCAGAATTTTGGGGATGTGAATTACCTGGGATGGGTAAGAGGGAGTGCTTGGATGCTGAAAATGTTCCGTATCTTGCTGTAGCTAGTATTTGCATAAATGTATATATATTTAAAAATTCATTGAGCTGTACACTTTAAGATTTTTACATTTTACTGTTTACCTCAACGAAAAAGTAAAATATATATGGCCAGATCATGAAGAACCTTGCCTGCCAGTTTAAGGAGGGCAGATGTGAGTGATTGAAGAGTTTTAAGTTGGGAATGACTTGATGAGACTTGTAGTTTAGAGCGATGAGTCTGGCTGCTGTGTGAAGAATGGCCTGAAGTGGGGTGGGCCTGAAGGCAGGGAGCAGCTACGAGGCTGAAATCCAGGCCCAAAACATAGATGTCCATAGTGCAATGAGGACAGAGAGGAATGCACAGACCAGAGAGAGGTGAGTCCTCGAAAAGAAAGGAGCTGATCATTGGCTGGATGTGGGCGGGAGAAGTGGACGTTGTCAGGGATGCATCTGTGTTTCTGGCTTAGGCAGCAGGATAGATGGTGCCATCACACAGATTTGGAAATGGGAGCACCGGGTTCAGGGCATGAGAGAATGGACTCATTTCTGACATGTGCCTCAGTGTCATCCAAGTGGAGATGTCCATTAGGCAGGAGTGGGGCTGAACTTGAAAAAAGAATAGGTAATAATGGGCTGTAAATGAACATTGAAGCCTTGGGAAGTAGGTAAAATAACCCAGGAGAGTGTGTAAAGTGAAAGAAAATAGAAGTTCAGAACTGAAAAAGCATTTAAGGGATGTGCAAAGAAAGAGAACCTGCCGAAGACACTGAGGAAGAGGAGCTGGGAAAATAGGACACCAGGAGAGGTTAGGAGGGAGGGATGTTTGAGAAGGCAGAAGTGATTGACAGTGACACATGCCACATAGAGGATGTATAGAATAAGAGACTGGGAGTGACCACTCACTTTAGCAGCAGAGCTCATTGGTGACCTTAGGGAGAACAGTTTCTGATAGGAAACTTTCTGAACCATTGGCTAAAATAATGATGCTCTGTTTAATTCTGATATTAGACTGACAACTCCTTTAGGCTAATAACTACTTCATTAATCTTTTTATCACCGTTACCTCACCATAGTGTCTCATGCTTGATGTGCAGTTGATAAGTGTTCAGAATGATGGATAGATGGATTGTATAAATGAATTGGATGGCTAGGCAGAAGGAAAGAAAGGGAGAGAGAGGAAGGGGAGGGAGAGAGAGGAAGGTGAGGGAGAGAGGAAGAGAAGGAGGGAGGAGATAAGTTTGTTGAGAAGGACAGAGAAGTATTCAGTAATCTGTGTTCTTTTTGTCTTATTCCTGTCTCAGGCTCCACAATTACTGCTGAGATCCAGGGGGTGATTGATGCCTGTGTCAAGCTGACTGGCATGCCAGACCTTACACTTTCCTTCATGGTAAAATCCTGGGCCAGAGATTAAGTTCTTGGGATGAGAAATTAAATGCTGCTGGAAAGACAGAGTAGTGGGAATGGAATAGAACAAGAAGAAATAATTAGGACAGCCACGAAGCTTGTCTCAGGCTTGAATTTTCTAGAAGTCACTACATGATTTCTGTGTGTGTGTGTGTGGTGTGTTTTAATTAAAAACAGCATTTAAATTGCTTTCCTGAAAGCACTGCGGGTGTTTAATGCCCACTTCTTGCTTCTCCTCTCCTGATGACTGTAGAACCCTAGGTTGTTGGATGATGTCAGCTTCCATCCTTGTGTTCGTTTCAAACGCTGGGAATCTGAGCGCATCCTCTCCTTCATCCCTCCTGATGGAAACTTCCGCCTGCTGTCTTACCATGTCAGTGCACAGAAGTAAGCAGCTCTTATAATTAAGAATGGAATCCGTGTATGTACATGTATGTGGAAACCGTATCTGTGGTGATTAAGAACTCAGGCTCTAGAGTTACCTGGGTTCACATTCCAGCTTCTGTGGTTACTAATTGGGTAACCTCAGGTGAGTTGCTTAACCCCTATGTATCTCTTTTCTCATCTGTAAATTGAAAATAATAAAAGTGCCTTGTTCTGAAGATTGAATAAGAGAATCTGAATAGTGCTTAACACAAAGAAGTGCTCATTAAGTTTGCTGTTATTTTTGTTGTTATGTGTCTAAACAAGAACATTATTTTCTCAAATCAGAATCTGGGCATACTGTGTTCAATGTCCCTGGTCTAAAAGAAGCATTAAGTTATGCTATGAAAAAGCATAAAACGCAGTGATTTTTGGTCTTGAACATTCTCTTTAATTTGGAATCTAAAGGCTTTTGGAAGCAGTTTTGTATAGTATAAGGTATGCAGACAGAAGAGAGTCAGGAGGCCTCAGAGCCACCAGTCCCTTCCCGTGTGATGTGGAATGAATCATTTGGGAAAATATCTGAGTGCTTGAGGTCAAAGCCTCTGGAATCAGACTCCCTGGACTTAAACCCCATCTTCAGTACTTAGAACCTTGGGCAAGTTACTTAATCTCAGTTAAGTATAAGGACATCAGTATTCATCTATAAAATCAGTACCTACTACATAGTTACAGTAGCAGTATCTACTTCATACTTATTGGGAGGATTAAACACGGTAGGAGTTAAATGGATAGAAACCATTTAGCATAGTGACTGGCAAACAGGAAGTACTCAATACATGTTAGGAACTGTTATTACTTCAGGGTTATTCCGTGACTTCTCTGAATCCTTTTCTTCTGTCAAATCATGACAGCCTACCCTACCTTATGGGGTTTTTGTAAGGACCAGATGATGTCAGATGAAAGCATTCTAAAAAAATTATAGAGACAAGAGGATCACTTGAGCCCAGGAGTTCGAGACCAGCATGGGCAACATGGCCAAACCTTGTCTCTACAAAAAAAAAAAAAAAAAAAGTAAAAATTAGCGGGGTGTGATGTTGTGTGCCTGTGGTCCCAGCTACTCAGGAGGCAGTGGTGGGAGGATCACTTGAGCCTGGTATGTCGAGGCTGCAGTGAGCTATGATCGTGCCACTGCACTCCAACCAGGCTGACCGAGCCAGACCCTATCTCAAAAAAAAAAGAAAGAAATTATAAAAGGTCCATGAGCTATGAATATTATACTCCCCAGTGCAAATGATGACTGGTCACATGTTACAAGTTAAAAACATGGAGACATAATGACAATACATTTTTGTACATTATGCCTTTGTCATAGTAGTGTACTTTTTGATTTTGTTTGTATTATTCAGAGTCATTAGAAAAGTTAATTTAGTTACTAGACAGTAGCTTTTCAAAAAGAAAAAATTAGATTACTGGGGTTTTTTTCTGTTTATTTTTTCAGATAAAAAGTAAGGACATAGTTAAGGGAGAAGAAGCTACCCACAGGGCAGAAAAAGCATCATGTGAAAGGAAGAACTACCATTTTCCCAGTGCACGAATGAAATGACTCTTTGTCTCTCATTTCCAGTCTGGTTGCAATCCCAGTGTATGTCAAACATAACATCAGTTTCCGGGACAGTAGTTCCCTTGGACGCTTTGAAATAACGGTGGGACCCAAGCAGACGATGGGGAAGACCATTGAGGGAGTGACTGTCACCAGCCAGATGCCCAAGGGGGTCCTGAACATGAGCCTTACTCCATCACAGGGGACACACACATTCGACCCAGTCACAAAGGTAGGGATGAGCAGGACATCTTGAATTGCTGATGTTAAGCAGAAACCAGTCTGCAGGTTCTCTGTGTAGACTCTAGACCTTGTTTGGAAGGTGAGATGAGTCAAAGGGACCTTGTTTTCTCCTGCCAGGTAACTTAACAGTAACACGTAGGATTCTCAATGGAAAGATACCCAGAGGCAGCTTATAATGTTGTGGACAGGTGCCCTGAGTTTAGATCTCAGCCACCTCAAATGCAGGATTCTGCTGTAACTATTTTTTGGAAAGACCACTTCTCCATTTTTATTTTCTTTGAAGATGCTGTCTTGGGATGTAGGAAAAATAAATCCACAAAAGCTACCAAGTTTGAAGGGGACCATGAGTCTTCAGGCTGGAGCTTCCAAACCAGATGAAAACCCCACAATTAACCTGCAGTTTAAGATCCAGCAGCTGGCCATTTCTGGTAAGTGACCCAGAGCTCAAGAGGCTCCAAAGGGAACAAAAACGGCTTTCTGCCATATGGCGCAGGCACCAGGAAGCCTTTCTGGGCTTCCTGTTTACAAGGTTTAGTTTCATTACCTGATAAACAATCTTTAGTAACATCTTTTCTGGCATGTTTCTGGGGAAAATTTACAATCCTTCCTTTGAAGTTGGCATAAGTGACCTGAATAAAAGTGCCTAAGACACACTGAGAAAGAAACAGTATTGGTAGAAGGAAGTATTCACTAGCCATTTTTGGATCATCTTAGGGTTGTTCATTTCAGGTTCCCAAGGTTTTCAGTATGAGAATCCATGTGCATTCTCAGCTATAACTGAAGTGTAATTTCCACTCCTTTCTTCTGTTTTCAGAAGACTTTCATGTTTGCTCTTATTTCTATTTTGGAACCACTGGGCCTTTCCAGGTCAGTTCACTATAGTCTGTGCCGACCTTAGCACGGTAGTCATCAGTTACCACTTTGGGGGCATTTACCATGTTCCAGGCACTGTTTTAAGCTCTTTTCATGTGTTTTCTTTTTTAATCCTTAGAAACTCTGTGATGTGGAAAGGAGATGACTTTAGCTTTATATGAAGTTTCTGTTTTTCTGTACAAACGGGCCTTATACAATTTAAGTGATTGGAATTCATTTGATGTATAAGCTCTTCAATCTTAAAACAATAAACTATAAAGCTCTATACCATATAAAATATTCTTGGCTTAGTCTAGTGAGAATACTTAGGAAGCATTCATTTATTAATTACTTTCATTGTTAATTCCTTTATTTATAATTTACTTCATTATTCATTTGTTTTGTTATTCATTTTTTCAGTCCAATAATTTGAGAAAAATCATGCAGTGGTCTAATTTTTTCCTTATCCTCATTTTAGTCTGCACATTACTTTGTACCCTTTCCACTTCAGGGACAGGTCTTCTCATAGGTAGCTTGTCTGTTGGAGCCTTTTTTTGCTGTCAGTATCTGTCCCAAGACTGGAGAATCCATCTGCTCTGCATAAGTGGTTCCCTGTCACAGCAATGTCGGTCCCACTGACTTCAGTGTATTGAACAGAAACAGTTAGGCGACCTGCTCCTTTTGAATAATACTCATGTCTATTTTCCCTCTCTCCCTCCTTTCTAGGACTCAAGGTGAATCGTCTGGATATGTATGGAGAAAAGTACAAACCCTTTAAGGGCATAAAATACATGACCAAAGCTGGGAAGTTCCAAGTTCGAACCTGAAGGGAGCATTTGCTGAGGGAATAGTCTTGCACATTTTTTCATTTCTTACTTGTCTAAAAGTAAAAAAAAATATCAGCCTGTCTCCTAGGTCAGTCCCCTCCTGGACCCACCCGCTCCCTTTTTTCCTTAGCCTTCAGTGCCATGGAACTAATCAAGGGAGGAAAAGGTCACCAGGGAGAACTGGACAGAACTGAAACACAGCAACACCAGTTCTCAAGGACAAGGTGTGTGATGGGGGTAGGAAGCTTGGTGCTTATGTAACCATTTTAAACGTGGTTTCTATAGGAAAGACCAACATTTGTTTAGCTTGCTTGGCTTTAATTATCTAAAGCCAATGAAAGACTTCTTTGTTGATTTTTTAAGATAGAAAGATTAAAAAGAAAGAAAGATGGGAAGAAAATGAATGTCAGTCAAGGAAAGGCCACTTAAGGATCTGCTCTATGAAGGAGAAGAAAGAGGAAAAAGAAGTAAAGGAGTTAGGAGGAGACACTTAAATGAAAGATTGGCAAGAAAAGCAGTCGGACTCTACCTTAAGGAGGGATGGGAAGGAAAGAGTTGAGTTGGTTTCTTTCTGATTCCTCTACTCATGTAGAAAACACTTGTACTTCTGGAAATGGACTGGAGACTTTTTAAATTTGAGTCCACTATTGACATGGAAACCCCAGTGGAATCAGATTTTCCCTCAAAGACCATGATGGTATCGGACTAGTTTTCAGACACTGCCTGTTGCTGTCCATCAGCACTTGGTCTCTTATCTTCAGTGAGAAGGTGACCCGCCTTCTTCCCATGGTGGCTGCCTAAAGTGCTTCTTTTCTAACCCAAAACAGTTCTACTCACTTCCTTTTACAGAATTCACCGGCCATTTTCCTGTTACCTGATCCTTCTACAGGATTTTTAAAAAGTAAGAGAGTTTCAGAGAAGCCGATCCCATAATCCCCAGTGCAGCCAGGGTTTGTGTGTCATCGTACTGGAGTAGAGGGCCGACTCTTCCCATGAAGGTGAGCACAGCTGTGAGTGAGTGAGCTCATATCTCCATTTGTCAGTGCTGGACTGGTACCAGATCGTAACCTTCCCGTTGGTCGGAAACTTTTCCATCTGTCGCCCTAGAAAAAGAGAAAGCTTACCATCGAGGGTGTGGTTGATCCTTGAAGCTGCTTGGTAAAGTTATCATTTCCTCAGTCTTTTCTTTTGTACTCCTATCATGTATTCATTAATATCTACCAGTCCCTTTTCATTCTAAGACAAAACATTTCTCCTAAATCTCTGAATAAAATCAGTGCTGTAGGAAGATGGACTGTGTTGATCATGGGTGTAAGCAACCCAGTTTAAGAAACATGGCAACTAAAGGGATACCTCAGGCTTTCTTTCCCAGTGGGTCATTTTTGTCCTAGTTCAGTGTGTCTGTTACTATTTAAATATTTATACAAAAGGGTTTTTGTTTATAGCTTAAGGAATGATACTGTGCTCTGCTTGGTGCATGGAGAAAAAGGAAGACCCGTACTCTCCACACCCTAGAGCTTTTCTCTAAATATTGTGCAAAGTTTTTGCTAGTTTTATCTTCTGACTTTGGGACTAGTTTTTGCTGCAGAGTTGTGTTGCTTTGTGATTTTCCTCTGGGATAGTGTACTGTACACAACCAGATGTGTTCCACACTCCGTGACTCCGCAGTTTGTCCTGGAGTGACATACACATCCACCATGGAAAGGGAAGCATCTCTGCCTGTGGATTCTCAAGTACTTGGAAGCACCTCTCCTGAGGAACCTACAGGATTCTAAGGTTTCCTAGGTCACTGAACAACTAATCTTGGTCCCTGAATATTTCTAGGTTTGTAAGTGCAGCAGTTTTATTTCCTCTAGAACTCATCCTGTTTCAAGGGAAGTACCTAAGAAGATATAGAGTGTTTCTAGGGTAAGGGACCTGCAGGTGTAAGCATAGATGAAATAACTGTCCTGTCACATGTGCAGCAGGCCATGGAGTGTAGCGGGCATCGCTGCCGCCATTCCTGCAGCATCACCATAAGCAGTGCAGGGTGTCTCCATCGAGCTGTTTGGTTCCATGTGTGTTTAACATGTGCAGAAGTAGCTTCTCTGTTTAAGTTTAATAAAGTTGAGTTTCACCAGTCTTCTATGTCCTAAGTGGTTTGTTACCAGAACTAACAACAGTGCTATGCCACTCAAACCTCAGTAGAAGCAGTGAGTAAGGAATTCATCGACTCAGGAGGATCTTACTGCTTCTGTCCTGTCTAGCCAGCAGACCTAAAGCATGTGTTTTGATCGATTCTTTGGTCACATCTGGAAGATAGCAGATGCTGATATTAATGTCATTTTTAGGGTTGTGAGCATAAGGTCCAGATCCACCTAGTTATTTTTCACCAGAGTTTTAAAAGACGAAATCGTTGAAGCTGCCGGCATTTAGTCTAGGGCTTTCCGCATTCTCTTGACCTGCTTCTCTTGTCTTGTTAATTTAGGCATGAAACGGTGTCGCAGTACTCTGGCGTCTTTATTCCAGGAGAGGCTTCTTACAAGATAAGGCACTGCGAGTCGATTGTTACGCCACACCTGTAACAATTTTCTATAAACATCTCATGGCCATCAAAAAACCTTAAAACTCAATGCGTACTCACTGTGAGTGTTCAGTGCCAGCTAGTGCTCCACCCCTTCTCCCTCTCAGCCGGCGTCAACTGTCTCTTCGCCTGTGCTCCCGGGTGCTCTGACCCTGGTGGTGGGACAGGAAGTTGGTTGTATACATGTACTTTTCTCTGTGGCCGGTAGGTGGGGACTCCATGCCATCAATACTCATTATTTTAATGGTTAGATTTTTTTTTTTTTTTTTTTTTTGGGGGACGTAGTCTTGCACTGTTGCCCGGGCTGGTGTGCAGTGGCGGGATCTTGGCTCACTGCAATCTCCGCCTCCTGGATTCAAGCGATTCTCCTGCCTCAGACTCCCGAGTAACTAGGATTACAGGGCGCCCACCACCATGCCCAGCTAATTTTTTTTTTTTTTTTTTTTTGTATTTTTAGTGGAGACAGGGTTTCACTATGTTGGCCAGGCTCGTCTTGAGATCTGCCTGCCTCGGCCTCCCAAAGTGCTGGGATTACAGGCATGAGCCATTGCGCCTGGCCAACTGTTAGAATTTTTTTTTTTTTTTTGAGGCGGAGTCTCACTCTGTCGCCCAGGCTGGAGTGCAGTGGTGCGATTTCGGCTCACTGCAAGCTCTGCCTCCTGGGTTCACGCCATTCTCCTGCCTCAGCCTCAGAGTAGGTGGGACTACAGGAGCCCACCACCGTGCCCCGCTAATTTTTTTTTTTTTTTTTTTTTTTTTTTAGTAGAAATGGGGTTTCACTGTGTTAGCCAGGATGGTCTCGATCTCCTGACCTCGTGATCCACCCGCCTTGGCCTCCCAAAGTGCTGGGATTACAGGCGTGAGCCGTCGCGCCTGGCCCTGTTAAAATTTTTAAAAGGAAATTTGACCAGCCTGGCCAACATGGCAAAACCCATCTCTACTGAAAAATATAAAAATTAGCTGGGCCTGGTGGCGGGCACCTGTAATCCCAGCTACTGGGGAGGCTGAGGCAGGAGAATCGCTTGAACCCGGGAGGCGGAGGTTGCAGTGAGCTGAGATCGCACCACTGCACTCCAGCCTGGGCAAAAAGAGTGAGACTCCATCTCAAAATAAAATAAAATAAAAGGAAATTTAATTTCAAACTCTGAAACTTCCTCCAAGATCCTAAGTACTGAGGATTGCATGAGTCTTTGGCTTTTGAAGTTAAGTGGAGTGAAAAGTTTATGCACTTTCTGATAAACAGACATGACTGGGGCTCTGGGAGGGTACAGTGTCACCATCCCAGAGTTCCTCTAGGTTTTCACCCAGTAAGAAGAGTTGCACAGGTACCTGGAGATCTTGTTCTCCTGGACTGTTACCATCTGCTTGTTTTATTAACTAGCTGGGAATAATGAGGAGATGATATTTAATTTCCCCTGACACCCATTCCCGGTAATGATGTGTTGCTCTTTGAGCGTGTTTTAGAATTTGCATCACTGGGCTGGGGCCCCGTCTCTCAGTCAGGGGCCTCTTCTGAGCAATTGTCTCTATCTAGTCTGTGGTTCCAAGACTGCGTGGGAGGAATGCTGGGGCCTTTTTACCTCCCATTTCCATCCCCAGGGGCCTCACTGCCTCAGTTCATTTCATTAATCCTGAAGAAGAGCTTGTCCTGCAAAGGGGGAGGGGATGAAACCAGCTGAATTTCTGCCGGAGATTCAGTGGCTGGGGGTTCCTTCGCACTGGTCCTCAGTGTTTTTTTTTTTTTCTTTCTTTCTTTCTTTTTTTTTCTTGACAGAGTCTTGCTCTGTTGCCCAGGGTGGAGTACAGTGACACAATTTCAGCTCACTGCAACCTCTGCCTCCCAGGCTCAAGCGATTCTCCTGCCTCAGTGTTCCAAGTAGCTGGAGCCACAGGCGTGCACCACCACACCCAGCTAACTTTTGTATTTTAGTAGAGATGGGGTTTTGCCACGTTGGCCAGGCTGGTCTCAAACTCCTAGCCTCAAGTGATCCACCCACGTCAGCCTCCTAAAGTGCTGGGATTATAGGCATGAGCCACCGTTCCTGGCCTCAAACAATGTTTTTCTTAAATGGCTGAGACACACATCTGTCTAAAAACTGTAGAACATGCAAGTGAGCAGTCTGAAGTCAAGAAATCTGTGACTTAAGTCTCTGTGACCTGCATTTATTTACTGGCCTAGGTACTTCAACACTTCAGGGATGTCCCCCGCTGCCTCCCCCACCCCAGTCAAGCTCTTGGGAGTTAAAGAATCTCTTTCTTTTGTGAGTTTAAACGACTTTTGTTCCAAGAACCTCTAAACTGAGCAGTTCTGACAACTCCACCAGAGAGACGACCACCTTTCTCCTCTCTGAGGAGCTGTGTCAGCATATCCCCAACAGCAGCATTGCAGCATCCGATTTATTCTTGGAACTAGGATGTCAGTGAGAACAAAAGCTGCCAGACAGCAGCCAGGAATAGGGGTTGCATCTCGCGAGTAGAAAGTAGTCTAAGAGGGCTGGGTGCAGTGGCTCACGCCTGTAATCCCAGCACCTTGGGAGGCCGAGGCAGGCGGATCACGAGGTCAGGAGATCGAGACCATCCTGGCTAACACGGTGAAACCCCGTCTCTACTACAAATATGAAAAATTAGCCGGGCATGGTGGCGGGCACCTATAGTCCCAGCTACTCGGGAGACTGAGGCAGGAGAATGGCGTGAACCCAGGAGGCAGAGCTTGCAGATAGCGCCACTGCACTTCAGCCTGGGCGAAAGAGCGAGACTCTGTCTCAAAAAAAAAAAAAAAAAGTAGTCTAAGAGAAGCAGAATGCAACATTACTTAGATAACGTACTTGTGTGGACTGGTTTAGGGGTTCAATTTCTAATGAGCAGAAAATTAAGACAATGGGAAACAGATGGCCCAAATACCAGCTTCTAGGCCGAACCAACGGTTGGGATGTTGCTGTGTTAGCAAGGTCATGCGAGGTTCTTCCTCCCTATCCCCACAGCGTTCCTTTCCTGCTGTCTGCTTGCTTGCCAGCCACCCCCTGGTTAATTTTCCTAAGGCATGCCCAGTTCCTCACTTCCCTGAGCAGAATCTCCATGGCTCCTCGTTGCCTACAGAAGTCAATTAAGTCCAAACTCAGTTTGGTGTTCAGAGCCCCCATAATCTAAATTCCAGCCTATGTTCCTCTTCCTGAAGTTCACTTCAGACAAGCTCAACTCATTTCTCCCTGTACTCCCCTCTCTTGGCCCTCTACATATTCATACCTCCATGGAGAGTGCCTTTTCCACACCTGTCCACAGTCCACGTCTCACCCAGTTATTTTTTCCTTAAGATTCTATTTTTTCCTTAAGATTCCCCAATCCCTCTTGCAACTGAATTCTACTACAAGTCTGCCCTTTTGTGACCGGCTCCACTGTACCTTGGTACTTCTCTAAATGCCATATTAGCCCATCAGACCAAGCATTCCTGTCCCTCCTTTTCCCGGTCTGGAGCACCTAGCCCATTGCCTTGTATGTTACAGGTGTTGTGTATATGTTAAGCGAGTGAAGCAGAATTCCAAATGATTTTAAAATGTGAACATGAATAAAGAGTGGGATACAGCATCTATAACAAAACCATTCCACTCTGATTTTGGAAAAACTGTGAAAAATATATCTGAATTTATTAAGTACAGTATAAAACAGGGTTGTGGCAACAGAAAGTAAAAACTAACATGGATTGCTATAAATATGCTGAAGCCTAGTTGTTCAAATGATACAATTCTCTCATGCTACTCTAAAGTTTATAAAGAAAAAGGATTTACACTTTACACACTGTACACAAAAGGAATACCTTCTGAGAGCCAGGGAGTGGGGAAAGGGGAAGGAGACTTGACGTCAAGGGTGCTTTTGAGGAACATGACGGGCCAGCCAGCCTGCCCCAACTTTGAGGCCCTGCTGGGCTCTTGTGACTATAAATATACTGTCTATTTCTAATGCAATCCGTCTTTCCTGAAAGATCTTGTTATCTTTTACTATTGAGACATGCTTTCATTTTTGTGGTCCTGTTTCCAAAGCTGCTCACGGTGACAGGTCAGGAGGTTGGGCTTTAGCTGAAAACAGGGTGGCATGGCCACTTTCTGCCCAGGGAGGAGGCATTCCTGGAGAGGCTAGTGTGCATTCATGTCTTCCCATCTGACAGAGTATCCTGAAATCAGACCAAGTCCTGAAAACTTCCAAAATGGGAAGTATCTGGGAAAATGCACTCTTCCCTCTCCTGTAGGGTCTCGTCCCGCTTCTGCGGTGTGGTGGGTCTGGAGAAGTCTGTAGAGAAGCACTGCGCCTTTGCAGTGTCTTCTGAAGAAGAAGAGGCGGGATCTCATTTGCTTTTGAGGAGTCGGGTGTTCCTGGTCACGGTCGCATGTTGTCACGAATCCAGTCTAGGTAGTTGGTAACCTTGGTGTACACACCCGGGACATCCTTCTGTCCACAGCCCAGGCCCCAGCTGATGATGCCCACCAAAGTCATGCGGCCATCGTTCAGACACACCAGGGGGCCTCCCGAATCGCCCTGCAAAGGAGATAGCAGGTTTGGCGTTTGCAAAAAAAGCAGACTATCTGGAGAAAGTCAGTATGTGTAGCATGAACATCGTAATCTTCAAAATACAGCAGGCCCTTCAATAATATTCCATTCAGTGTCATTTCATTATAACTTTGATGAGGAAAACAAAAATCAATTCCTGTCTGGGGACACTGTCTGCCTGGGTTTTGTCCAGGTACCCCGGTTTCCTTCCACATCCCAAAGCTTGCACATTAAGCCAACTGAGGATGTATCTACGTGGGCCCAGTCTGAGTGAGTGTGGGTGTTAGTGGCTCTGCAATAGGATGGTGGCGTCTGTCCAGGGCTGGTCCCGCCTGGCGCCCTGAGCTGCCAGGTGGCTCTGGCCACCCCCACCCAAGACCCTGAACCGGAATAAGCACGTTGGAAAATGAATGAATACAAAGTGTTATAAAGTAAAAATCTGTCTAGTCTGTGCTAAATACACGAATGCATGATAAACTGTGAGGTGTGGAGGCAGTCAGGGAGCCTGCCCTATTTGTGATTGTTTTTGAACTTCATGGTAGTAAGAGGTGTTCCTTACCATTTTTGCTTTGCAAACATTTATTCCCTGAATTAACCCACCACTATTATGGCCGCCATCATTCACTTATTCTCCAAAAATTGGGTAAATAAATACCATGTTTGTTTTTATTAACCTTTCTTAAATGTTGTATAGCTCACATTTATTTCAATATTGAATGTTAGAAGTGTTTTGGGTCTTTATTTAGAAGTTTGCTGATGTTTTTATGACTAGAAATATTGCCACAAGAACTTCACTCTTCTTTTTTTGTTTTTTTTTGTTTTTTTGTTTTGAGACAGAGTCTCACTCTGTCACCCACCCAGGCTGGAGTGCAGTGGCGCAATCTCAGCTCACTGCACCCTCCACCTCCGGGGTTCAAGCAATTCTCGTGCTTATGGGCACGCACCACCACACCTGGCTAATTTTTGTGTTTTTAGTAGAGGCAGGGTTTCACCATGGTGGCCAGGCTGGTCTCGAACTCCTGACCTCAGGTGATCTGCCTTCCTCAGCCTCTCAAAGTGCTGGGATTACAGGCATGAGCCCCGCACCTGACCAACTCTTGTTTATATCAATTAGCTGGTGGTAAAATTGGTTTTGTTATACGTCATTTCACTTACAGTTGCAGTTTCTAAGAACCTATTTTTTCCAGGCATGCTGTTAAGTGGAGACTTACTGAAGAGTGGGTAGATTGTATCTCAGTTATCTTGGTCCCATGGAGGATTAGGCTGTATCTATTCTGGTAAAGTAGAGTTAATTACTCAAACGTTTCAGGCCTCAAAAACCCTGGCTTGGCTCCATCACTTACTAGCTGATGGCCTTAGACTAACCATGCTTTGGTTTTCTTATCTGTACCATAGAGATAATATTCATACTACCCATAGAGTGGTTATGGCATTCAGTAGAAGAATGCATGAAAAGCACTGGAAGACATCTAGTAAAACTCTTGGTAATTGTTAGCTGTTCTTATATTGAATTAAAATGATTTGGTTTTGCTTTTAACTAAGCTTGCAGATAGATAATGGTTTCACTTTGGTACAACCTTTTTGTTTCTGGACTGTAAGCTGGTACAGCTGAGGTTGCTGAAGAAACCATTCAAAAAGAAACTAAATCCTGTCAGGGAATCAGAGGGGAAACCGCCGATATGACTGCCTTGCGAAAACAAAGCCCACACATCCTTCAGCACCAGAGCCTGGCCTCACTTCTCTTTGTATCTCTTCTACCCCCAGCCCCTAAAGGAGAGCTTCGCACGCTGCAGGCACTGAAATGTCTGAGGAAGATCAATTCCTTGGCTCTGTGCAGGTCTTAATACCAGCAGGCTGGCCTGTCCTCCCATACCCCAGTATCTGGCTAATCATGAAATATAAGTACTAATTCTGATAAGGATGCCCACACAAAGGACCTCAAATAGTGTGCTTTCCCAGGGTATTAGGGCTGAATGTGAGTTTTGAAAACTTCTTTCTCACATCATCTAGATCCTGCTTCCCAGTAAGTTGCCTTTCTTCCTTCTCCTTCTACAAAGCAGACTCCAATTCTCTAGTGCCAACAGAGGCAAACATTTCTTTCTTTTTTTTTTTTTTTTTTTTTTTGAGATCGAGTTTCGCTCTTGTTGCCCAGGCTGAAGCGCAATGGCGCGATCTCGGCTCACTGCAACCTCTGCCTCCCGGGTTCAAGCGATTCTCCTGCCTCAGCCTCCTGAGTAGCTGGGATTACAGGCATGTGCCACCATGCCAGGCTAATTTTGTATTTTTAGTAGAGATGGGGTTTCTCCATGTTGGTCAGGCTGGTCTCGAACTCCTGACCTCAGGTGAGCCTCCCACCTCAGCCTCCCAAAGTGCTGGGATTACAGGCGTGAACCACCACACCAGGCTGAGGCAAACGTTTCTTAATTGTGTGGCTCTCTCCATCACTTCAATAGTCAATCAATTGCCTGGGCTGAAAGGAAATCCTGTACAGGTGGAGTTGCCTGTGCAGATCCTGGGGAAATTTCCTGCAGTTTAGAATTCTTAGGTTTAGGTGACTTTGATCTTCCTCCAGTTGCTTTATTCTGTGAGGCCCTCATCTAGAATCCCCAGGGGTATCACTAAGAGGAAATCACTCCACTCTGGTGATAACTTTTTTCTTTGGTGAAGAACCTGTTGTCCCAGGGGCATTCTCCCCTGGGTTGTGCCCAGCATGGGCGCGCCACTCCTGGTTACCTGGCAGGCGTCGTGCAAGTTTGCCTGGGGCCCGCCGCTCCGAGTGTCTCCAGCACACAGCATGTTGTCGGTGACTGTTCTGTTAAGTAAATGTTGTGATGTGCAGCGGCTGGATGGGTACAGTCTGACATGAGCCTCCTTCAGCCGCTCCGAATAGAAAGGAGACACTGAAAGGGGAGAACCATCATATGGTTTTAGGGAAAGTTATTTATAAACGTTTTTGAAAGAGAAAGCCAAATTTTCCAATAATAGCTAACATTGATCAAGATTCAACATGTATTAGGTCGAATCCTATGACACTGCTGGTATTTTATCGTTTTGACCCACAAAAACAGCAGGATTCCGGGATTGAACCCACAGCCTCTCCGTAGTGGCACTGCTGATGCTTCGGACCAGGGAGGTCCCTGTTGTGGGGGATGGGGACAGTCCCGAGCCCTGCAGTGTGCAGCATCCCTGGCTGCACTCACTGAAGGCCGGCGTTAACCCTCACCCTAAACTGTAACAACCAAAA
Source organism: Homo sapiens (assembly GCF_000001405.40). Taxonomy (NCBI): domain Eukaryota; kingdom Metazoa; phylum Chordata; class Mammalia; order Primates; family Hominidae; genus Homo; species Homo sapiens. The sequence continues at coordinate 42,179,408 of NC_000008.11, forward strand.
ACGTCTCCAGACCTCGCCAAACGTTTCCTGGGGGACAAAATCACCCCAGCTGACATCCATTCGTTCAATATTATCTCATTTAACCCTCCTAATCTAATTAGGGAGATAGTTCTATCTCCACTTTACCAACGAGGAAACTGAGGCTGGGAGCAGTTCAAAATAAAAATCCATGTCCACGGTCACACAGCTCAGCAAGTGGGATTTGAAATCGGGTCTTTGTAACTCCAGCTTCCCAGAACCCACACGCTTAGCGACTGTACTCCACTTCCTACTCAGAACCTTCCCAACACCTGCAGCACTTCGAGGCCCTCATACTGTTGTGTCCTTTCCTGGCCTGCAGTGTCCCTGTGAGGCAGAGACAGCAGAGACGGGCCCCCACGACACAGGGAGACGGGACTGGCGTCAGTGCCTGACCCGGGGCTGGAACTTCGGTCTCCTGACCCCATTTTCCTCTGGTGGACCGCAGCCTCCCCTGCTGTCCCGCAGACAGGATGGGGCCGAGACTTCCTTCCACTTACAGGCCTCATGCTTGCCGTAGCCGGAGAGCTCACACTCCGTCCAGTCCGGCAGCTGCAGGTCCGCCGGGGGAAGGCACACAGTGCGGACCACGCTGCTCTCCTGGGCACAGCGGGACGAATCCGATTTCAGCTGCAGCAGCGCTGGGAGGGAGAAAGGAGGAGTGAGCTGGCGTGAGGGCCGCGTCCCCGGGAGGGGAGGAACACGCAGGAGGGGCAGGGGCTGGAGGAGGAGGCCCGTGTGTGTAAACATAGGTGAGTGCATGTGGGTGTGTTGTGTGATCTGTATGAACTGGAGCCGGGAATGACGAGCTCTTACCAATGTCATTGTCGTAAGTGTCATCATCGAATTCCTTATGGACAATGTATTTTTCGACTTCAAATTTCTGCTCCTCCTCGCCAGGGACCACCCGGTATGTTCTGCCCAAGATCACCGTCAGGTGGTGGGGCGGAAACCTGGTGGAGAAACAGCCTTAGAATGCTTTTTTTGCTGTGGGATTTCCCCTAAAGGGCTTGGTTTCTAGGCGTTAGAGGGTGGAAAAACCAACTGGGTTTCCGAGCCCCTACCTCTCCTGGAAGCAGTGGGCGGCAGAGAGAATCCAGCAGGAGCTGATGAGTATGCCCCCGCACAGGAACCGCTCTCCGGGCGACCTCCTGTGCTTGGCAAAGATGGCAGCCTGCCAGGGGTGGGAGGCGATGTCGGCGAAGAGCCCTCCTTTGATGCGAAACTGAGGCTGGCTGTACTGTCTCAGGCCGCAGGTGGCTGGGGAGGAAAGGACGAGGAGGCAGTCAGTCCCACAGGCCTCCTGCACGTGTGTAGGTAGAGTGAGGAGGCCATCAGCATGGCTGTAAAACCACAACTTTCACTTGGTGGGATCAGCATGCCGAATGTTGTCCATACATTCTCTTTAGTTCCCACAGCGATAAGTTTCAGGAGGCGGAGACGTTTTTGCCCAAGGTTGCAATGGCACCTGGATTAGTTCCCAAGTATGTTTGACTCCAAAACTGGGGATCTGCCATCCTTCATTCCTTCTAATGTTTTCCTACAGCCATTTCCTGGCCTAAGAAATGAAGAATTGCAGCTTCCTTCTGTGGAATGTCTGCTCATTTCTTTTCCATCTGTCCAACCTTACCCATGCTTCAAGGCCCAGGTGCAATCCTGCCTCCTCGCAAAGCTTTCCTGACGTCCCCACCTGCTCAGCTCTGAGGAGCTTAGGGACACGGACCACTGAGGACTCACACTAATGCCCTTGGGTGTGAGTTAGCTGGTGGTCTGTGTCTCATCGTCCCAGTTGGACTTGTGTTCCTTGGGGAACATTCTGGCTGATCTGTGTTCACAGGAGGTGATTAATAACCTACTCTCTGGCCATTTCCAAACTAAAGTTTCATTTTTTAGCAATATGCACCAACTTGAATCTCCTATCTCTCACCCACATCATGAGCCAGCTCCCCTGTGTGAAATAGGTCAACAGGAAACGTGGAAGATCTCACAGTGGAAGTACATGCCATTGGGGTCAGAGGGCATGAGGGCAGGCCCTAGCTTTACCTCCCGGTGCCCAGCGAGCTTGGGCAGGCCACCTGGCGTCTGGGAGACTGCTTCCTACTCAGTAAACTGGAGGTAGGAAGACCACCTCCACCACGCTGTTGGACAAATGTGGTGAAGGCACTTTATTATCTAAGGAGCCATGCATGCGAGGCCTCCTCCTCATTCCCCATTACTCTCAGCAACACCAATAGAGGCGTCTAGAGAGAGCCGGGTAGAGCCTACTGACTTCTCAGAGAGGTTGCTGTGTTCTTTTCTTTCTTCTTGCCCCTCCCCACCACCCCCATGCATGGGTCATGGACACCCGCCCACCCACCGTGGCTTCAGTCATGGAAGCCCCCTCCCCACCCAGCCTGGAAGTCTGGTAGGCACACAGTCTGCACCAGACAGCCATGAAGGCCTAGAAAGTGGCGAGGAGATGGTGAAGAAGGGAGACCAGGTGCAGGGAGGCAGCCGGGGCCCAGCCCTTACAGCAGGAGGGCACATCACAGTACTCCCACGTCAGCCTGCGGTTCTTCAGCACGTGGCACCAGGGCTTGGCATCCCCATCAGGATTCCTAAATGATAAGAGAGTTTAAGGTTTCCTTTTTATCTTCTTATTTTTTAATTTTTGTAGAGATGGGGTCTTGCCATGTTGCCCAGGCTGGTCTTGAACTCCTGGGCTCAAGCAATCCTCCTGCCTCAGCCTCCCAAAGTGCTGGGATTACAGGCATGCACCACCACACCAGGCCAGGAGTTTAAGATTTTCAATCCCATTTTCAGCCACATCACAGGCCATGTAAGAGTAGAAGGAGACTCAGTCAACCAATGAAAACCACTGAGCTGGGAGGGAGGACACCGAGTTCATCTTGACCTTGCAGCACACCCCCACCCTAGGAGAACTTCTCTTTAACTTTGTTACCCAGTCAGTAATGTAGTGTTCTAATCTCATAGGGTTGTCAGACAGAACTGTGAGCTGTCCTGTTACGGAACTCTTACAAATCATTGCAATAAAGATGTCAGGAGAACAGCTGAGGACTAAATGGTTACAGGCCAGGACCCTTAACTTGGGATTTAGGTTGGAAAACTGGTAGACCTTGCTTTTCACAATATGTGTTATTCTAGCAAGTGAAGAGGTTGGATTAGATAATATCCATGGGTGCTTCCCACGCACTGGGTCTGTCATGCAACTTGAGACATTGGATCTTCCCCCGTCTCACACCCTAATCCCACGTTCTGCCAAGACCTGAACCCCCCACCCCTGTGCTACCTACCGGCAGTAATTATGTTTGCCCAGGCCCAGTGCCTGGGCACTGGGGTTCTGTGCTGTGTAAACCTTGCCTATCAGGATCATGGAATTCCACGGGAGGCAGGAGGCACCCGACTCGGTGAGGCTGTGCGTGCCACGGTAGGCTGACCCATTCCCAAAGTAGCAGTCACTGTTTCCTAGAAGAAAAGAATTCTCAAACTGAAACAAAAACAAATTCTGAAGCACGCAAGTCAGGGCTGGGGCTTGAAGCGGAGCTGCCGGTCGAGGAAGCTGGAGGCCGCTAGCCCGGCACTGAGAAGAGTGTAACACCTCACACTTCCCCTTTTGTTGCCCAGGCTGGAGTGCAATGCGCGATCTTGGCTCACTGCAATCTCCACCTCCTGGGTTCAAGCGATTCTTCTACCTCAGCCTCCCGAGTAGGTGGGGTTACAGGCATGCGCCACCATGCTACGCTAATTTTGTATTTTTAGTTGAGACAGGGTTTCACCATGTTGGCCAGGCTGGTCTTGAACTCCTAACATCAGGTGATCTGCCCGCCTCAGCCTCCCAAAGTGCTGGGAGTACAGGTGTGAGCCAACACGCCCGGCCTGAGCCTTTTTCCCCCTCTTTGAGTCCTTTTACTTAGAGATGGCAAGGGGGTTTCATCTCCACCGGAAGTGGCTCCCTAGATTGCTATGTTGAGAGAGAGTCTGGGGACATCTTCAGGTTCAGCAGGAAGAACCACTTCCATGAGTGGGGGCTGTTTCTGAAGCTGCTTTGAAAGCCAGTAGGGGTTTCCTTGTGTTACTTAACAGGCTGCAGTGAACCAACGTGCTTCAGTGGGGCTGGGGTGGGGGTTATTTCTCGGACTGTGTCTGCCAGTGTCCTGAGGATCTGATGATGGGCTTGGGAAGGAGGAGGGTATGAGCCGTGGAGTGCTGCCTGTTTTCATTTATTTCCCCCATTTTTCCATTTTTTTCTCCCGACCTGAAACTGACAAAGCATACCTCTATACATAAATACCATAAATGGAAGGGATTTTCAAGATTATCTAGATCTGCGAGTCCTCATTTAGACCAGACCATGGGGGATGGGGAGGATATTGTAGAGTGACTGTAAAGTCTTCAGAGTCACAGGCATCACCCGTGGACCTGGGTGCTGAATGCATATAGCTGGTGCGTGTTTATATATATCATATATAAATTTAATATATGTGTATTACATATATATATACACACACCCACACACATATTTATGTATTTATTTTGAGGCAGGATCTCACTGTCACCCAGGCTGGAGTGCAGTGGCACAATCATTGCTCACTGTGGCCTCAACCTCCTGGGCTCAAGCGATCCTCCCACCTGAGCCTCCCAAGCAGCTGGGACCATAGGCACAAGCCACCACACCTGACTAATTTTTGTATTTTTTGTAGAGATGGAGTCTCACTTTGTTGCCCAGGCTGGTCTCAAACTCCTGGGCTCAAGCAGTTCTCCCGCCTCAGCCTCCCAAAGTGCTGGGATTATAGACACGAGCCACTGCACCTGGCCCTATATATATTTAGAACTTAAAAAAAATCTTTCATAGTGCTGTGATAAATGTGATAAGTAACGTAATGATTTGTATAAGCACCACTGAATTCATAGTACCTTTCTGTAACTTAGCATTTCATTTTTTTCTTTTTTTTGAAACAGTTTTTTGTTCTATCACCCAGGCTGGAGTGCAGTGGCATGATCTCGGCTCACTGCAACCTCCATCTCCCAGGTTCAAGCAATTCTCCTGCCTCAGCCTCCTGAGTAGCTGGGATTACAGGTGCCTGCCACCGTATCCGGCTAATTTTTGTATTTTTAGTAGAGACAGGGTTTCACCATGTTGGCCAGGCTGGTCTCAAACTCCTGACCTCAGGTGAGCCGCCCGCCTCAGCCTCCCAGAGTGCTGGGTTTATAGGCATAAGCCACTGTGCCTGGTCTTGTAACTTAATATATATTTTTTCAATCTTGGAAGTTTTTTTTTTTTTTTTTTTGCATTAAAAAGTTTGAGAGGGAGCGAAAGAGAGACAAAGCCCCATTCACCCATTAATCAAAAAAGGGAGAATCTCCATTCATTCTCAAAAGGACTGAAAACCACTGATTCAGCCCCATCCTCTCCTCCATAGAGGAGGAAATTGAGGGTCAGAGTGTGAGGAGATCAGCTCCAGGTCAGACAAATAGCCAGTCAGAGGCCAAGCCCAGGCACAGACCTAAGTCCTGTCTTTCTTCCCTCTGCAACCAAAATGACTCACTCCTGGCCTCCCCCTTTCTCCCCTCAGGTGCAGGAGGGCTATCGGCCTGTCCTCCTGGACTTTCCTCCCCCAGGGACATTCAGGGAAAGGCGGGGTGGCTGCCACTTACCCTCAGAGCAGGCAGGGGTGCTGCAGAACTCTGAGCTGTACTTCCCCGCCTTAAAGACGTAGCACCAGGGCTTTGAGTCTCGATCTGGGTTTCTGAAAAATCAGCCAAGGGAAGGGCCAGGGTAGGTCAAAGGTGAAGCCTCTCCTTTAGGACCCAAGGACTTTGGTATCCTTTTCTGGAGGAATGGGGGGTGCTTTTTTTTTTGACAGAGTCTCGCTGTTTATCCCAGGCTGGAGTGCAGCGGCGCATCTCCTCTCACTGCAACCTCCGTTTCCTGGATTTGGGCAATTCTTCAGCCTCAGCTTCCCGAGTAGCTGGGATTACAGGTGCCTGCCACCATGCCTGGCTAATTTTTGTATTTTTAGTAGAGACAGGGTTTCACCATGTTGGCCAGGCTGGTCTTGAACTCCTGACCTCAGGTGATCCACCTGCCTTGGCTTCCCAAAGTGCTGGGATTACAGGCGTGAGCCACCACGCCCAGCCGGGAGTGCGTTTTTGGTTGTACACTGGTAGTTCTATCATGTTAGGCAGGAGTATGATTTTGTTCCTGTGTTTACTTGGAGGTGAAGGATGGTTTAAGGAGATGCACATGGGTGCCAAATTGACAAGGTGTGGACTGGAATAGTCTTATATGTCAACTTGGCCAGGCTGTGGCACCCAGTCAGTTAACCAAACATTCATCTAGGAGTTGTGAAAGTGTTTTATAGATGTGGTTAATATCTACAGCCAGTTGACTTTAGAAAAGGAAATTGTCCTAGATAATGTAGTTGGGCCTCGTCCAATCACTTAAAGGCCTTAAGAGCAAATATGAGGTTTCCTGAATAAGAAATTCTGCCTTAAGAGAGCAGCCTCAGCTTCTGCCTGCACTTCCAGCCTGGCTTACCAAGATGTTTCGGACTTGCCAGCCCCCACGATCCTGTCAGCCAGTTCCTTAACATAAATGTCTATCTATCTAGTGTGAAAGGAAAATAAATCTCAGGACCCCAACGTCATGAGCCAAGGGAAATGTCAAGCCGGGAACTACGTCAGGCAAACCTGCCTCTCATTTATTCCTCAATAAGATAGCTGCAAAGTTTTTTTTTTTTTTTTTTAATTCTCTACAAGGACATTCCTTGCAGGCCTAAAGATCTTTACCCTAAAACAGTTCTGTTGACTTTCACCTTGGCATTGTAAATGGATAGCTTATCTTCCCAGGTGCAGGACAGAAAATCATCCCTCTGCTCATCTGAGACAAATGCGTATCTGATTGCTTCCTCTGCCCTATTTTTTATGTAAAAATGCAGATGAACTGAGCCAGACTCAATTGTGTGTTCAGTGAAAAGCTGATCAAGGACTCAGAATACAGCCTTTTGTCTCTTATCTACCTATGGCCTGGAAGCCCTTGCTTCGAGTTATCCCAACTTTCCCGACCAAACCGATGTACATCTCACACATGTTGATTGATGTCTCATGACTCCCTAAAACGTCTAAAGGCAAGCTGTGCCCTGACAACCTTGGGCACATGTCCTCAGGACCTCCTGAGGCTGTGTCACGGGGGTGTCCTTAACCTTGGCAAAATCAACTTTCTAAATCGATTGAGACCTGTCTCAGATACTTTGGGTTCACACACATTCTCTCTCTCTCTCTATTTCTCTCTCCTCTTTCTCTATCTCTATCTCTCTATCATCTATCAATCTGTCTATCATCTATCTATCTATCATCTATCATCTTACATCTACTATCACCTATGTATCTATCATCTATCAATCTTCTATCATCTATCAATCTATCTATCACCTATCATCTATCATCTATCATCTATTTATCATTATCATCTATGTATCATCTATTTAATCATCTATCAATCATCTATCATCTGTCAATCTGTCTATCATCTATGTGTCTATCATCTATGTATCTATCATCTATCTTTCTAATCATCTGTCTATCATCTACCACCTATCATCTATCATCTATCCATCTATCATCTATCTACCATCTATCATCTATGTATCTATCATCTATTTATCTATCAATCATCTATCAATCTATCATCTATCTATCACCTATCATCTGTCTATCTGTCATCCATCTACCGTCTATTTATCATCTATCTATCATGTATGTATCATCTATTTATCTAATCTATCACCTATCATCTATCATCTATCAATCTATCATCTATCACCTATCATCTATTATCTGTCTATCATCTATCCATCTATCCATCCTGTATTGGTTATGTTTCTTGGGAGAACCCTGACGGATCTGACAGAATCTTTCCCCAGCTGTAGCAGCTTCTCACAGGGGGAATCCCTCCTTGGGGATGTGCCCTCACCTGCAGTAGTTGTGGTTCCCCAGGCCCAGCCTGATGGCGTCTGGCCTCCGCCCGCTGTAGGGCTTCTGGGCCAACGCGCTGCTGTTCCAGTTGGTGCACTCGGCGCCACTCTCCGCTGTGCTCCACGTGCCCCTGTAGCTGATGCCCTGGTCCTCGTAGCACGTGGCCCTGGTATCTGACAGAGAGCAGGGCATGGATGCCTCACATGGGAGTCCCCTTTCATTCAGCCCTCAGGAGGCTCCCCTCTCTGCCCCGTCCTCCCCCAGGCCTGATGCAGGCTGGCTCGGAAGCCACAGGCTGGGTGGCAAGGGTGCCAGCCTGGATTCAGGGTCACACCTAGGCTCTGCTTGCTGTGTGGCACTGTGCTTCCTGACCCATGGCAGAAGCGCCTTCCCTGTCCCTGGCCCCCACCCCTGGCCCTGCCATCGCACCCTGCCTTTCCTTCCGGGGGCGGGGGAGACTGGAGAGGTGGGATTTCAGCTCGTTTCACGTGCTCTCACCTACTCACCTATTTCACAGCACTTCCCAGCAAATCCTTCGGGGCACTGGCACACGAAATCTGAGAAGTACAGGGCCTGCTGGCAGGTGCCCCCGTTGAAACACCTTGGCTCGCTGCAACCTGTCAAGTATAAAAAAGGAAGCCCCTAATGACAGCCTCCTTCTGTGTGCTCAGGCCATGGTTCCAGGAGCCCTGTCTACCACAATCCACACACACTCAAGTCCTGCAGCGTGGAACACGCGTATACCAGTTCTGCATCCTACAAATACTGTTTTCATCCTGCCTTTGGTTGAAAAAAATCCATACATAAGTGGACCCTGCAGGTCAGACAAGTGTTGTTCAAGGGTCCCCTGTATTTTCAAAGCAGCTCCAAGGATGATGTGAGTTAAAATATTAAGAATGTGCTCTATGTGCCAGGCGCTGTTGTACAGTCTACAAAAATTAGCTAATTTAATCCTCACAGCAAACCATGAAGTGTGTACTGTTATTCCCACCTCTTTATAGATGAGGAAACTGAGGCAAGCGGGCATTTGCCCAAGGTCACTTGGTCTTGCTCCCTTTTCTGCTTGTACCTTCACCTCCGCCTAAGGCCGAACAGGCCTGGAGGCTCCTTTTGAAGATTTGAACTTTCCGGGGACCATGAAAGACAGGGTTCATGACTGGACCCCTGAACTCGAAGTCTCAGTTTGAAGTCGATTTGTACTGGGCTTTTCTGTGTTTTTGTTTTTGTTTGTGTTGTTTTGTTTTGTTTTAGAGGTGAGGGCTTGCCCTGTCACTGAGGTTGAAATGCAGTGGCACAATCGTAGATTACTGCAGCCTCCAACTCCTGGGCTCAAGTGATCCTTCTGCCTCAACCTCCCAAGTAGTTGGGACTACATACCAGGTCTGGCTAATTTTTTTATTTTTTGTAGAGACAGGGGACTTGCTATGTTTGCCCAGATTGGTCTTGAACTCCCGGGCTCCAGCGACCCTCCCACCTTGGCCTCCTAAAGTGCTGGGATCACAGGCATGCACCACCTCCCAGCCTCAGTACATACTTTTGACAGGCACTGAGTGGCACTGTGCCCTGCCACTGTTGCACCAGCAATATTCCACCCGGTTGCTTCTGAGCACAGGGCGCAGCCATGACTGATGTTGCTGGTATATCATCTGCGTTTTTTCATCTCTGCAGATCACTATGAGAAAAGACAGGCCAGCCTCATCAGAGTATGACTCAAAATGAAATGCCTCACTACCCTTGCACCTACTGAGAAAACTCCCTCACTTGCTTTCTATAGACTCCATTGCATACTCCCTTATTGAAGAGACACAACTGGAAGACAACAAGATAATGAATACTGGCCAAACACGGTGACTGATGCTGGTAATCCCAGCACTTTGGGTGGCCGAGGTGGGTGAATCACTTGAGCTCAGGAGTTCGAGACCAGCCTGGCCAACATGGTGAAACCCTATCTCTACTAAAAATACAAAAATGAGCCAGGCATGGTGGCAGGTGCCTGTAATCCCAGCTACTCAGGAGGCTGAGGCAGGAGTATTGCTTGAACCCAGGAAGTGGGGGTTGCAGTGAGCCGAGATTGTACCACTGCACTCCAGCCTGGGCGACAGAGCAAGACTCCATCTCAAAATAAAATAAAATAAATTTGCATTTCTTTTCTGAGTGCCATTGAGTATCTTCTCATATGATTTATTTATTTATTATTTATTTATTATTATTATTTTTGAAACAAAGTCTCACTCTGTCGCCCAGGCTGGAGTGAAGTGGCACAATCTCGGCTCACTGCAACCTCCACCTCCTGGGTTCAAGTGATTCTCCTGCCTCAGCCTCCCGAGTAGCTGGGATTACAGGTGCCCGATACCATGCCCGGCTAATTTTTGTATTTTTGGTAGGGACGGGGTTTCACCATATTGGACAGGCTGGTCTCGAACTCCTGATCTCAAGTGATCCACCCACCTCGGTCTCCCAAAGTGCTGGGGTTACAGGCATGAGCCACCGTGCCCAGCCTAATTTTTTCTTTTCTTTTCTTTTTCTTTTTTTTTTTCGAGGGTCTCTGTCACCCAGGCTGGAGTCCAATGGTGCTGTCTTGGCTCACTGCAACCTCTGCCTCCCAGGCTCAAGCAGTCCTCCTGCGTCAACCTCCCAAGTAGCTGGGACTACAGGTGCACACCACCACACCCAGCTAATTTTTAAATTTTTTTGTAGAGGCGGGGTGGGGTGGGGGAGGCAGAGGTGTCTCACTATGTTGCCCATGCTGGTCTTGAACTCCTGGGCTAAAGCCATCCTCCTGGATCCGCCTCCTAAAGTGCTGGAGTTACAGATGTGAGCCATTGCACCTGGACTTTTTCTCATTGTAATTCACCAAAAAATATATATATGCATAACTGTCTACCAGAGTTTTTTATCCACATAAGTATTACCACACAGAAATGATGCATTTTTGGCCCCAAAGAAAATTGACATTTTAGACTTTGCAGAAAATGTGCTACTTCTCCAAGTATTTTTGGCATAATGAAAATAGTTGAAGTACTCCCATTAATATTTTCATGCCATCTTTCTGTTTTCAAGCCAGAATGCCAACTTAAAAAACAACAACTTTACTTTCAATTAATTAAAGAAGTAGCACGTGCCCACTGTAAGTCAGACCCTTGCTGCTTCTGAGGTCACTGAGGCCAGGATAACCTGGTAGGAAGCAGGATGCCATCCAACAACGAAGGCATTAAGAGTCCAGGTGTGACTCGCTCTGGGGAGTGAGTCACCCTTTTTAACACCTTCACAAAGGGTATTGCAGAGTCTTCCAGACTCGAAGGAACTGGGTCGTGAAGGAGGGAAATCGAGGGCCTAAGTTGGTAGTTTTGGACCTGAAGCTGGGCCTCGCATTCCTCAGCCTTCTAGAGTCAACTCTAGATGTGGACTTAGAGACCCCACCATGTCGAGGGGTTGCCTGGGTGGGACATCCCAGTTGGGACATCCCGGTTGGATCAACAGAGGGAAATGGATACACAGGGATGTTGTTACCAAAGCTGCCGGTGCACTGTGGTGGGATCACAGCCTAGGATGAGACCCAGAGCATGGGCCTGGCCTCGGCTGTGACTGCCCTGGCCGTGCTGCTGGCGGCTGTGTGACCCTGGGCAAGCCACTTGCTCTCTCCTGGGCTCTGCCTTTTGATCTGTATAACCAGGACCTTGGGCCAGTGGCCGCCCCCCCCAGCCCCCGCTAGGTTGTGATCCCTGACAGCCTGGCTCCTTGGGGGGGAACACCTGTTTCTGCTCCCCTCAGAATCAGAACCCGCCCAGTGGCCGCAGCTGATGGGAGAATGGTGCCGACACAGGCATCTCTGTAGAATCATGCTGCAATGGCACTGTCACACCGTAGGCAGGTGGTGGGTGGAAGAAGGCAGGTGGTGGGTGGGTGATGCACCCTGCACCCCGCCCTGCCTCCCTCCCTGATGACCCCATGCACCCCTCAGCTTCACCCGACCTTGGTAAGATCTGGCTCCTCTTCTGAATCGGGCATGGATTTCCTGCGAAGAAACCAGAGGTGGAGGAAGGATCAGCACATGCCAGGTGTACTAAGAGTAAAGGCGGCCAACCCAGAAGCCCATGTGAACCTGCCGGCCAGATACCTCTGCTCAGAGACCCCCTCGGGTAACTGGCCCAAGTGAAAGTCCATCTCCTGCCTTCTAGTCCAATTCTTCCTCTCCTTCCTGACTGGCTCTGTCCAGAAGAGCTTTCTGCTTGGTGGAAATGTTTTCTGTCTGTGCTGTCCACGACAGAAGCCACACAGGGCCACCGAGTGCTTTGAATGTGGCCAGTGGGACTGAGAAACAATTTTTAACTTTAATTATTTTAAATTTAAACAGTTGCACAAGGTAAGTGGCCACCATATTGGGCAATGGAGTTGCAGCTGGCTGTCTACTCCACGCAGTCACCTGGCTCTCCCCGCTGTAGGGTCCTGTGGGAGAGGTGTGGTTAGTTTGGACTTCCGTGAGGCCCTTTATTGCTAGGCATTTTCAGAGAGTGTGTGTAGCGCTTCCATCTCAGCTAGAGAGTAGGCACCATGAGGGCAGTTTGCCTCTGCTGTGGCTCATGGCACTTGCATTGCCTTTTTCTTTTTTTTTTTTTTTTTTTGAGACAGGATCTCAGTTTGTCACCCAGGCTGGAGTGCATTGGCGTAATCATATCTCACTGAAGTCCCAACCTCCTGAACTTAAGCGATCCTCCCGCCTCAGCCTCCTGAGTAGCTGGGACCACAGGTGCATACTAGTACACCCGGCTAATTTTTAAATTTTTTGTAGAGACAGCATCTCACTATATTGCCCAGACTGGTCTCCAACTCCTGGGCTCAAGCGATCCTCCCACCTCGGCCTCCCAAAGTGCTGAGATTACAGGTGTGAGTCACTGTGCCCTGTCCTGCATTGTCTTTTATAAATACAGTCCACTTTGTATATCTGCAGGTTCCATATCTGTGGATTCAACCAAAACAGAAAAATAAAAAATAATAATATAAGCTGGGCTTGTGGCTCACACCTGTAACCCCAGAGTTTTGGGAGGCCAAGGCTTAAGCCTAGGAGTTTGGTGCTGCAGTGAGCTATGATTGTGCCATTGCACTCCAGCCTGGGTGACAGAGTGAGACCCTGTTTCCAAAAAATATATAAATAAATAATACAACAATAAAAATAACACAAATTAAAAAATACCTTATAACAACCATTTACATAGCATTAACATTGTACTAGGTATTATAAGTAATTTAGAGATGATTTAAAGTATACAGGAGGGTGTGCATAGGATATGCAAACTCTACACCATTCTATATGAGGAACTTGAGTATCCCTGGATTTTGGTATCCTTGGGGGTCCTGGAACAAATACCCCATAGATATGAGGGACAACTGTACTTTATGGATTAATTTGAATACATTCTTTAAAAACAGCTGCAAAAAAAGGCAGTCACAGGCAGGGAGTGGCATGTTAATTCCGCTTACTCAGGTCAAAATAAGTGCCTAGGGCCCAGCTACACACTGGGCCCCCAAATACAGAGTTTGCTGTACAGAAGGGAGTGTGTGCTGTGTGCTCCACAGCAATGCCAGCCCCTCGTCCCTGTGCCTCTCTGCTCCCTGACAGCATTCCAACCTCCGTGGCCCAGATGGACACAGACCCCTGGAGCCTCCGGAAGCATCACAGCCTTGAGGGGCGGGACACAGGGATCCTGCACACCAACCTGGCTGGGCGAAACGAAGACTGCTCCACACAGCAGCAGCACACAGCAGAGCCCTCTCTTCATTGCATCCATGATTGCTTCACAGCGTCCCTTAAATTCTGGAAGGAGAGAAAAAACAGCTTGATCACGGGGTGCGAGAGGTCCATGATGGCAACAGAGGAGGATAAGCCGCAATGTTGTCCTGTCTGGCTTCCTCCAGTGCCAGCCCCGCGGCAGAAACGCCAGACATGCATCTAGAAGAGGATTCTAGAAACTACATATTTTTTATTGTTGCAAAATATATATAACACAAAATTTACCACCTTAACGATGTTCAGTGCACAGTTCAGTGGCATTAAGCACGTCATATTGCTGTGCGGCCGGCCGTCACCACCGCCCATCTCCAGAACTTCTCCATCACCCCTAACTGAAACTCTGTAGCCATTAAAGAATAACTCCCCATTCCCCTTTTCCCCAGCAGCCACGCTGCTACTTTCTGTCTGTATGAACCTGACTGCTCTACATACATCCTAGAAGTGGAATGAGACAGTGTTTCTTCTTTTGCGACTGGTTTGTTTCACTTTGCAAATGTCTTCAAGGTGCATCCATGCTGTAGCATGTCCTTTTTTTTTTTTTCTTTTAAGATGGAGTCTCGCTCTGTCGCCCAGGCTGGAGTGCAGTGGTGTGATCTCGGCTCACTACAAGCTCCGCCTCCCGGGTTCATGCCATTCTCATGTCTCAGCCTCCTGAGTAGCTGGGACTACAGGCGCCTGCCACCACGCCCGGCTAATTTTTGTATTTTTAGTAGAGACGGGGTTTCACCGTGTTAGCCAGGATGGTCTCGATCTCCTGACCTCGTGATCCGCTCGCCTTGGCCTCCCAAAGTGGTGGGATTACAGGCGTGAGCCACCGCGCCCCCGCTGCCTTTTTTTCTTTTTCCTTTCTTCTTTCTTCTTTCTTTTTTTTTTTTTTTTTTTTGAGACTAGGTCTCGCTCTGTCATCCAGACTGGAGTGCAGTGGCATGAACATGGTTCACTGCAGCCTTGACCCACCAGGCTCAAGAGATCCTCCTGCCTCAGCTTCCCAGAGCTGGGACTTCAGGCATGTGCCACTGTGCCTGGCTGAGAGAGAGAGAGAGAGAGAGAGAGAGTGTGTGTGTGTGTGTGTGTGTGTGTGTGTGTGTGTGTGTGTAGAGACAAGGTTTCTCTATGTTGTCCAGGCTAGTCTCGAACTCCTGGGCACAAATGATCCTCCTTCCTCAGCCTCCCAAAGTGCTGGGATCAGGCGTGAGCCACCGCGCCCAGCATTTTTCCTTCCTTTTTAAAGCTGAATAATACTCCACTGTGGGATAGAACACATTTTGTTTATCCATTCGTCTGTCAATGCTGGGAGATAATTTTGCCCAGAGATTTCTGTGGGCTGAAGGGCTAGACCATTTCTGAGACATCTTGGCAGCCCAGAGACCACAGCGCTCTGGCTTGGTTTCCTGGAAGGGAATTCCTGCCCTGGGCTTGACTAGATGGAGCCGCAGTCATGTCCTCTTGGACTTCTGCAGCGGAAGCCATTGGGATTTTATTGCCAGCACATCATAGAGCCAGCCTGCCTTAGACTGCTCAGGTTCCTCCACGCAGGATGGAGCCTACTCCCCTGCCTGAGGTTCTCCCCACAAAGCAGAGGCCCCCCAACCCAACCTCCACGCCCACCCCCCCCACCGCTCTGCCAGAACATCTGTCTCCTTTTTCATAGACTGCAGCAGATCCGGCAATGTGCATATTTGCAGGAAGGAGGGGAGGCAAATGATGTTTGGTCGGAAGACTCAGATCTTCCTGGACCCCAGAGCCCCAGTTTCCATCTGCCTCTCCTCTGTGATCCTGCCCTCGGCAGCTAAAAGTAGGTTAGTCGGCCGGGTGTTATTTTGTGGTCTGGCGGCCTGTTCCCTCCTTCATCCACAAAAATTAAAGCATGGCATTTCTTTCCCTGACTCATTTCCCTTCGGTCACAACAACTTCAGGTCCCACCCTCCCCCTCCCCCTCCCCCGAGCGTCCTAGGGGCCTGGAGGCACAGGGGCTTCCAGGCCTTGCCTCCCTGCCTGGGTCCGGCTCTGGATCTTTGATTGTTACTTCGAAACGAACTCCCCCGTGGGAGGTGCTGATCACCCTCCTTGCCTCGCTACATTTCATGCCTGACAGATTCTCCCCGGGCTCCTGTGTCAGGCAGAGGAGCTTAGGGAGAGGGCGAGGGAAACCTGCAGGAGGCTCCGGGTACAGCAATTCCAATGAGAAAACACAGCTCAGAGGGAGGCTCGCCAGCGTGGCATCCTCTCAGCCTCCCTGCACCTGTCCCATCAGGAGGGAACAGAAGTGCCATCTCCAGCCTTTGAGCCCGCAGTGCCCAAGGTCTCCCTGGAGTGCGCTCTTTGGGTGTCCCTTTCTCCCCGGGAGGAAGCAGCTGTGCTACTCCCTGGCTCCAGGCAGTTTCAGAAGAAAGGGAGTCAGGAGCCAAGGCCACCCAGAACAGGAGTGCGGGGTGGAATCTTCTCATCACAGAGACTTACTCCAGATCTTCTCTTTCTCAGCTTTCCTCAAATTTCCTGTTTCTCAAAACTGCCCAAAATTCCTCTTAAATTCCCCTTTTAAATTTTATCCCATTACTTAATCTTGTAAAAATAGCTCATGTGAAACTCCCTCCCCATTTCTCCTTGATGTTCATGTATCTCTAGGTTGCCCCACTCCTTACTCTTAAGCAAGACCCAAGGATGGTGAGAGCTCCCACCTCACAGGAATTGTGAATGAAACAGCAAACGAGTGAGTACAAGGAACTTGACCTTCTTCATCACGCTGTCCACACCACCCAGCCCTCTCGATAGGCTCCTGCACCCCAGCCTGGGATACAGTTTGGGTGTTTTTTCCAGATGCCCACCAAGTTACTTCTTTATTTCAAGAACTCAAAGTCCTTCCAAAAGGAATGCAATCCCAGATGCCGGGAAACTGCAATGTGAAGAGTGCAGTATGGACATGTTGGCATTGCCTGGGAACATCCCCCTTTCTGGATAACTAGGGGTGGGGGGACCAGATGGAGGAGAAGCACGACCTAGGGCTGGTCCACACATACCACCCGCTGCATCATGTTCAACCCTTTTGCAACTGAACGGTCTGAATAAGAGATAAGAGAGCAGGAGCATATTTTTGTCTTTGCTCCTGAGAGAGTTGGAGACTTGTCTCTTCTCTTCCTTGGCTTCCCTGGACCTTCCTGCGCCTTGAGCTGATTCAATGCAAGTGAATCTCACCCCAGCAGGGCGATAGCTCTGTCCGCATCACACAGAGGCGATTCGAGCAGCTGAAAAGGCCAAGTGGGGTAAGAGATGACAAAGAAATGAGTCATCCGGCCAGCAGAAAAACAGTGCAGTCTGAAAACAAGAAAGAGCGAAGAGAGGGAGGAAAAATGAGTCCTTGTTTCGCCTTCGCTGAAGAGGTGGGCGTCGAGGTCTGGGGCCAGTGACGGGATGCAGAGCAGAGTGAAAGCCAGAACAATGGACTCAGACTCGGGACCGCAGGGCGTGGCTGGGATGGACTTTGGGCCTCACCAAAGGGAGGTCCATGAGTGCTCTGGCGAGACCCGGGTGAGAGATGACATTGGCGGAAGGGATGGAAGAGGCTCATTTTTATAAATAGACTTCTAATTTTGTTCTGTGTTATCTCCCTTTTGCTATATTTAGTAGCTTCTCAGGATCATCAAAGAACTGAAAAAAAAAAAGGCAAATGAGAAGAAGGAAGGAAGGGGGTAGGAAGGGAGGCACAGAAGGATAGAAAAGGAAAAAAAAGAAAGGATGAAAGAAAGGAAGGCCCCAAGGTTGGCTGACTTTTGCTGGGCTGGAATCCAGAATCACTGTATGAGAGGAGAGGTGGAATGCTGGTCCCCAAGACCCCAAGGCCTAGCCCTGTCAGGCCACCCTAGCACACAAAGTTGATTTTTGCAGATTTGCAAAAGGTACCCTCTCTGTTGGATGAAGTTCAGCAGTCTCAGGGCATGGCAGGTTGACAAAGAATCTGTGCAAATTAGAAAAAACAGAGTCCGTGGGTTGGCTGATAGAGTGCAGCCCGGATCTGAAGGATGTGTGTGTAGGCACCTGTGTGTAGGACACAGCCAGCATATCTGTGCTCGGCCAGCCCTGTCTGCTTCCAACCTGCATGTGCATCCTGCAGAGCAGCTCTGACCTTCCTGCCTGGAAGCCGTGTTTGGTCTGTTGGCTGTAGCAACCAGAGTGACTCTGTTCCTGGGCCCTGCCAAACAACCTGTGAATGATGACTGTTCTTGGGGAAAACGGGAACAATAGTCTGGTAACCAGGAAGTGGGGTACCGTGCTGTAAGCTCACTTTCCTGGGAGATGTACTGTTTCCCAGAGCCAAGGATGCATGCCGTTTTGGCTGAGAAATTGATGATCATGCCAACCAGAAAGGTGGTGTTCATTTCTTTGGTGGCCACATGGGGAAATGATGGTCGATGGGCACCAGTGAGTAACTGATTCTGGATTGGGCACAGCCCCTGGAAAGGAGGAGGCCAGCTGGAGGAGGGACAGGGGAAAGTCAGTGGGGTGCTGTCTCAGTGCCTGTGTATTACATCCCCCTCTATCTGCCTCTACCGGCCCCATCTTCCCTCCATAAAAACCAGCTCCTAGGAAAGGAACTAATCAGCTTGTTCGCATAAGGTAAAAATGACTGAAAAATAATTAATGTGCTGTCCTTCCAAAAAGCATCTATATTTTGAGGCATAAAATCTCCTGCCAGCAATGCAAAACCAAGTGGGCTGGATGCTCCAAGGTTGCCTCCGGTGCTGACATCCTGCGGTTTCTGTTCTGTTGTGAGAACATACGACATGGGGAGTGTCACATGCAGTATAAACTGGGAAACTCTTACAAATGGCACTATAGTTCTATTGTTTAAATTATATAGGAAAGCGAGGCCACATGAGGTGGTTCACGCCTGTAACCCCAGCACTTTGGGAGGCCAGGGTGGGAGGATCACTTGAACCCAGGAGTTCGAGATCAGCCTGGGCAACACAGTGAGACTCTGTCTCTGTTTATTTTCATATAAAAACATTTTAAAAATAGATTATATGGCCAGGCACAGTGGCTCACACCTGTAATCCCAGCACTTTGGGAGGCCAAGGCTGGCAGATCTCTTGAGGTCAGGAGTTCAAAACAAGCCTGGCCAACATAGTGAAACCCCATCTCTACTAAAAATACAAAAAAATTAGCTGGGCATGGTGGCGGGCGCCTATAATCCCAGCTACTCAGGAGGCTGAGGCAGGAGAATCGCTTGAACCCGGGAGGCGGAAGTTGCAGTGAGCCAAGATTGCGCTACTGCAGCCTGGGCGACAGAGCAGGACTTCGTCTCAAAAAAGATTATACAGAAAAGTGACTTGCAATAAAGGAACTGTACACATGTAGTCAATCAATGAAATTGCAAACAGTGCAGTCGCTCCAGATGTTAGTGAACTGGAGAATTATAGTCTGTACTCTTGCCAGCAAGAAGAAGGCAGAAACGTGAGCAAGCTAGAGGAGGAGGGAAATTGCAAGGGAAAGACAAACGTAAATTGATACTATTATCAAATGTTGCACCATGTGCAAAGTTTGCTACATTTATCTTTGGTCAAGGAGATTCTTAGGTTATTGTTGCTTAGCAAAAGGTCTCTCTGAAAACCTGAGCAAGAGAAAGTCAGTCTTCAAGAGTACCAATACCCTAAAATGACTCATGGATTTAAAACAACACACTCTCCACTGCCACCCCCGCCACAACCACCATAGCCCAGATGAATGCCAACAATTAAGAAAAGAAACGGCCAGGATTCCTTGGACCAGCAAAGGCACGTTTCTAGAGCAGGACGAGAGCTGAAGTGAGATGCTGGGAGAGGAACTAGCCTTGGAAAGGGTGGCGTGCTCCCACGAAAGCAACCCTTTGTTCGGGACAGGAGCTTTGAGCCTGGTAGCTCTCATCCCACTTCTCCAGGCCCTGCATAGTACAGAGGCCATGATCTCAGAATAAAAACCACTTTCAAAAACTACCATCACATAAGTAATTCTTAACTTTTCGAAAAGGTGATTTTCTATAGGCTAAATGGTTATTTTCCCTCTCTTAACAGAACTGTTTATAACTAGGGGAGAAGAGAGGAAGAGTCTGTTTCTTATCTAATTTCACCAATTCCAATGAAGTGAAGAGTATAGCATCCTCTCAGAGCTGGGTGTGGTGGTTTGCACCTGTAGTCCTAGCTACTCAGGAGGCTGAGGCAGGAGCATCACTTGAGGCGAGGAGTTCAAGACCAGCCTAGGCAACATAGCAAGACCCCATGTCTTCAAAAGAATAGAATATTTTCCTGGCAGACCCTGCCCCCCACCCATCAGAGCAGAATTTTCTCCAAAACATCTTCCAAATGTAGGCATATGGCCTGTGTCTAAGCTATATGGAATTAAACTCAGAAAAAGCTACAGCAGGCATGTCCAGCTGTCATCTCCTCAATGCTCCACCCTCTGCCTGGTAATCCCGGTTATTTGGAGGAGTGGGGAATTTTGGTTGTGGGTCTAGGAAAACAGAAGTCTATCCCGCCTCCTCCCACAATCAAAACAGAAGAAACCCTGTCCTAATACACTTAGATCCTTCTGAAGCAAACACAAGGACCACCTGGTGAAAACTAAATCAGTCAGTGCAATAAAATGTTAACTGCAAAGTCTGCATCTAAACAAGCCCTGAAATCTAAAGTGAATCGAAATGAATGTCATCTTCCGTGATGAAGGTCGTTCGTTCCTCATGTTCCTTCCACTCCCTAAAGCAAACATCACCACAAGGTAATTAAATACGCAATGATTTGACAATTCTCCAGCCCAACTCCACATTTCAACACACTTGAATTAGGAAATACTGATCAGAAACTTTCATTGTATCATTATATGACTTTACCCACATTTTACTGGCCTTAGGTGAAAGTGACATTATTGTTGCCTGAGAAATGTACACATGGATGAATGCCACTCACTCAACAGATATTTGAGTAGCTTCTACCTTTCCAGGCACAGAGTTTACTAAACCCTTTCACATCCATTAAGTCATTTGAGGCAATATTATTACCTCGTTTTTACAGATGGGAGAACTGAACTTCAAAAAAGTGTAAGGGGCTGAGAGCAGTGGCTCACGTCTGTAATCCCAACACTTTGGGAGGCTGAGGAGGGTGGATCATTTGAGCCCAGGAGTTCAAGATCACCCTCGGCAACATAGGGAGACCCTCGGCTGTACAAAAAATACAAAAATTTGCAAGGTGTGGTGGCTCACATCTGTAATCCCAACACTTTGGGAGGCCAAGGAGGGTGGGTGGCTTGATCCTTGGAGTTTGAGACCTCCCTGGGTAACATGGCAAAACCCCATCTCAACAAAAAAATACAAAAAATTATTTGGGCATGGTGGTACATGCCTGTAGTCCCAGCTACTTGGGAGGCTGAGGTGGGAGGATGGCCTGAGCCTGGGAGTTTGAGGCTGCAGTGAGCTGTGATCATACCACTGCACTCCAGCTTGAGACAGAGCAAGATCCTGTCTCAAAAAAAAAAAAAAAAAAAGTATAAGCGTCGTGCTGTACGGTGACACATCTTGTGAGAGTTGGCATCAGGACTCAAGCCCAGGAGACACAGTTCTCTTACCCCAAATCTAACACTCTTTCCACTACTCCTCACTGTCTATGTGACACCCAATTGTAACTTTTTTTTTTTTTCTGAGATGGAGTTTCACTCTGTTGCCCAGGCTGGATTGCAACGGTGCAATCTCAGCTCACTGCAACCTCCGCCTCCTGGGTTTAAGCGATTCTCCTTCTTCAGCCTCCCGAGTAGCTCGGATTACAAGTGTGTGCCACCATGCCTGGCTAATTTTTGTATTTTTAGTAGAGACAGGGTTTCGGCATGCTGGCCAGGCTGGTCTCGAACTCCCAACCTCAGGTGATCTGTCCACCTTGGCCTCCCAAAGTGCTAGGATTACAGGCGTGAGCCAACACGCCTGGCCATAACGTTCTTAATGTGTTCCACATGGTATACGACAGCAGAATGCCACAAAGAAGGGGCGTGGTCACTGGATTCTCAACCTGGAAATCTAACTGCATTTACAGCACACATTCTGTGTGGGCAACTCACTCTCTCTGAGCCTGTTTCCTGGTTTTTGTCATGGGCTAATCATTTCCGTCTTGCTGAATTGTAAGGTAACTGGAAAAGAAGCAGGAAAGTCCTTCCCCCACACCTGGGTGCACGGCAGGAGCGACCTGCACCTACTGTCATGAACATCCTTCCTCAACAAAAGCACTGAGGCTTCCCGCTTCTCCCTGGAACAACTTGAAGCTGCTGATGCAGAAGAGATGCCACGCTTCATGGGGTCCTCATGGATCCCCGTTAATACTGAATCCTGCTTCCTAGATCATCCGACCACCTGTGTTAGCCTATAACCAATTCTCTGCAATTGATGTAGAATTTTGTGCCTTCATCTGTGTTCGTAGAACAGTATCAACAGGAGCCATTATTTCCTGAATACAGGGTGATGTCTTTAATCTGGTTTTTAATCTGCTTTTTTATTTGCCTTTCCCACACCATGCATGCAGAGGCCACTGTGGACTCCCAGCAGAAGCCAGAACTAGCAGCTGAGATGACACAGCTGAGACATCAGGCCATCTCTATTGATAAGGCCCATCTGACCAAGCCACACTATGAAAGTCAGAGGCATCATGTGAGAGAAATAAGGAAATTGGAGCTTCCCAGAAAAAAACCCTTCGCTTTCTCTCAGTAGCCCAGGTGTTAGACACCGGCTCTTGCTACAACAAGATAAAATACAACGGGTTTCTCTTTTTGGTGAACATGACAGAAAGAGAATAACCAGCAGAAATCAAGTTGACCAGTAGTCTCTCTTTCTTATTTATTTGTTTTGAGACAGGGTCTCGCCCAGTCACCCAGACTGGAGTGCAGTGGCGTGATCACAGCTCACTGCAGTTTCAACCTCCCTGGCTCAAGTGATCCTCTCACCTCAGCTTCTCAAGTAGCTGGGACTACAGGTGCGTGCCACCATGTCTGGCTAATTTTTTTTTTTTTTTCATTTTTTTGTAGAGACAGAGTCTTCGCTATGTTCAAGACCCGGGCTGGTTTCAAACTCCTTGGCTCAAGCAACCCGCCCACCTCGGGCTCCCAAAGTGCTGGGATTACAGGCAGGAGCTGTGTGCCCGGCCTCTGTTAGCTCATCCATACTGGGTTATCGGGTTTAGCATCCCCTCCCAGTCCCTGTCCCCTGCCTTCTGGAGACTCAGCTGAAATAAAAACTGCCCACATCAAGAGTCCCATCTATGGGGCTGGAGAAGCTGCAGGGATGTCCTCCTCCCAGCGCCTACCAGACCCCCACCCTGCCCCCCCAGCCCTCAAGCACCCACATGAGCTGCTTCTCTGTTAAGCATTCACAGACAATGATCTACCCATGCTATATATTCACCATCAACGTGTATGGAGCACCAGCCGTGCCCTGGCACAGGCTCTGGTGATGCAAAGACACAGCTCTTATCCTGAAAGAGCTCATAGTTAGGAAGGGGCCTGATGAATAACTAGACACTCAGGGTACAGCAGAGCAGCGCCATACCACGCAGCAGGGTGGGGACGGGGGTGGGCTTGGAGTGGAATGTGGAGGAGGTTGTCCATCCCAGGCTTGTTGAGGTTGGGGTGGTCAGGCAGGCTTTCTGGAATGCATAACACAGAAGCTGTTCCGGGAACACACGAAGGAGTTAGGCAGACAGTGAAGGGGTCTGCTCCAGACAGAGCACATCCCCACGGCTTGGCTCTGGGCCACAGCAAGCACAGAGCCCCCTACCCATCAGCACAGCTCCCGACAGCAGGCAAAGGTGACAGTCGCCCCCGGGCTCTTCTGCCAGGGTGTCCTGGGAGGACGTGTGCTTTGGAATCTCTGAGTGTTCTAAGGATCTAGGGGCCTTTGTAGGAGTCCAGCATGGATTCTCTAATGCCTAGCTGTATGTTAATGGAATAGTTGTGACTACATAAAAAAAACAAAAGGCTCTCAATACACAGGTCTCCTGGTATCTGGGTTCAGCCTAACCTGGAAGTGATCACTTCAGAGGCTCCAGGTGGAATCAGATCTTCTGATCAATCCTCAAAAAAACTTCCCTAAGCCACCAGTGCGTGTGTCAGGAGCATCGCGTGGTCACCCATGCACATCGGCTGGGCCTGTTAGCCAAGTCGCTGCTGGGTCTTGGCCATTGGTGTGTGCAATTCACAGCCGGGCAGCTGCTGCAGACACCCAGTCATATACTTGTATAGGAAGAACAGCTGGCTAGCATTTCCTGGCAGCCATGATCAGCACCACAACTCAGGCAAAGTTGAGTTCAAAAATGTTTCTAAAACACTTGCTGTGTGCCCAGCACCTGTTTCATCTTCACTCTGTCACAGGTGTTATTTTTGAGTGGATCAAGAATTGGGTTTATCTGTCCCTCTATCCCATTCTACAGAAGTTTCCCAAGTGGCATACATAGAAAATATTTTTTGAATATATAATATGCAAAATATCACTAAGAGGGACTGGGCACAGTGGCTCTTGCCTGTAATCCCAGCATTTTGTGAGGCCATGGCAAGAGGGTTGCTTGAGGCCAGGAGTTTGAGACTAGCCTGGGCAACAAAGCAAAACTCTGCTTCTACAAAAAAATTTTATAATTAGCTGGATATGGCAGCATGCCCCTGTAGTCCTAGCTACTTGGGAGGCTGAGATGGAGGATCACTTGAGCCCAGGAGTTTGAAGGTTCAGTGACCTACGATCACACTGCTGCACTCCAGCCTGGGTGATGGAGTCAGACCTTGTCTCTAAATTATATATATATATATATATATATACACACACACACACACACACACACACACACACACACATACAAACACATATTGCTAAGAGAATGTGCTGTCTTTTTATGTAAGTAGAAAACTGAGCCACTATCGGAAGACCATGTGGCTTGACTTAGGGTTGGAGCAGGGTGGATGAGCTTTAAATTTATTTCTAGCTCTAATTTTCTTTGAGTCTAAATCATCCTCACTCTTTTACCTGGTTTGATGTGAGACCCACCATATGGTTTTGTGAGCTGCTTGACTAGGACGAGGTTTATAGCCTGACACTATAGACAGACATTTTCTCCCGTATATACAAAAGAAATGGCCCCAAGAAGGAATGAGCAGAATGCACTGGTCCCTTATTGTCCGTCCCAACAATCTCATCAAAGCAGAAGCGAAAATCACTCAGAGAAAGTAAAAAATTTATTCTGAGACTGCAGGTGCATAATGCCAAATAATCAAAGAAAAACCTGTCTGGGCATGGTGGCTCACGCCTGTAATCCCAATACTTTGCGAGGCCAAGGCGGGCAGATCACTTGAGGTCAGGTGTTCAAGACCAGCCTGGCCAACATGGTGAAAACTTAGCTGGGTGTGGTGGCGGGCGCCTGTAATCCAAGCTATTTGGGAGGCTGAGGCAGGAAAATCGCTTGAACCTGGGAGGTGGAGGTTGCAGTGAGCCAAGATTGTGCCACTGCACCCCAGCCTGGTGAAAAAGCGAGACTCCATCTTAAAAAAAAAAAAAAAGAAAAGAAAAATTGGCCGGGCATGGTGGCTCATGCCTGTAATCCCAGCACTTTGGAGGAGGAGGGCAGATCACGAGGTCAGGAGTTCGAGACCAGCCTGATCAACATGGTGAAACCCTGTCTCTACTAAAAATATAAAAATTAGCCGGGCGTGGTGGCTTCAAGTGACACTACCAAGGTATGAAAGGAAAATAAATCTCAAGACCCCCAAATCACTAAGCCAAAGGGAAAAGCCAAGCTGGGAACTGCATGAGGCAAACCTGCCTCCCATTTTATTCCTACATAAGACGGCTACAAAGATAAAAGGCTACATACCTCTCTCACAATTTACCCACAAGGAAACTCCTTGTGGACTTCAAGATCTTTACCCTAAAACAGTTCTGCTGAACTTCACCTTGGCAATGCAAATGGGTACAGGACAAAGGACAGAACTCAAAGTCATCCCTCTGCTCACCTGAGACAAACGCATATCTGATTGCTTCCTCTGCCCTATTGTTTTTGTAAAAATGAAGATTCAGGCCAGGCATGTTGGCTCATGCCTGTAATCCCAGCACTTCGGGGGGCCGAGGTGGGTGGATCACCTGAGGTCACGAGTTCAAGACCAGTCTGGCCAACATGGTGAAACCCTGTCTCTACTAAAAATACAAAAATTAACCAGGTGTGGTGGCAGGCGCCTGTAATCCCAGTTACTCAGAAGGCTGAGGCAGGAGAATCACTTGAACCTGGGAGGTGGAGGTTGCAGTAGCCGGGATCATGCCATTGCACTCTAGCCTGGGCAAAAAGAGTGAAACTCCGTCTCAAAAAAAAAAGTAGATTCACTGAGCCAACTAAGGCATAAGTGACTCTTCCTCTGCCCCCCTCTCATATGTAAATTGTGTATTCAGTGAAAGGCTGACAAAGACTCAGAAGAATGAAGCCTTCTCTTATCTACCTATGACCTGGAAGCCCCTACTTCGAGTTGTCCTGCCTTTCCAGACCGAACCGGTGCACATCTTACATACATTGATTAATGTCTCATGTCTCCCTGAAATGTATGAAACCAAGCCATACCTTGGCCACCTTGGACATATGTCCTCAGGATCTCCAGAGGCCGTGTCACATGTGTGTTCTTAACATTGGCAAAATAAACTTTCTAAATTGACAGACCTGTCTCAGATACTTTTGGGTTCACAAAGGAGTGCCTGACTGTTTTTTGGAATCCTTTGAAATCTACTGGCCGCTGGCTCTGCTCAGCAACGTCAGGCCCTGGGGGAAATCAAAGCCTCAGTGAACTCAAAAACCAACAAAGGGGAACTGCTATTCCCAGCTATTCCCTGGCTGCCTGGACTGTCCCAGGCCTGTGATGAAGCAGGGGGAGCCGCAGACACTGGGAGAATCCGACGCGAGTCATTGTGAAATAAACCAAGCTGGTCTTGGGGAGTCGGGCAGAGAAGGAGCATTTTGGAGACAAGGGCAGCTTTCATTTGCTCCTGAGATTTTGATCTGGGGCTTTATCATTTGATCCAGAGCTTGGAGGCTTGCATCTTTGAGAACATTTTAGGTGGAATAAATGGGTGGGCAGGATGGAGCTATTCATATCTCAATACTCACAGTGTCCCTGCCAGTGCTGGAGTCCGACTCTGCCTGCACAGGAAGCACGCACCCAGCAGCTCATGCTGACCGTCATGGATTGAGTCTAGATCCCAGAATGAGCGTTCTTGCCACAGCAAGTACTGCTAGGAAGTCACCTTTGAGGGGACTCCACCTGACAATGGTATTTGCAAGACCCCTTCCCGGGACTGCAATGCACACGCATACACACACACACGACATTTTTTCTGTCATCAAGCAGCTACAGGAGACCACCATATTATTCCCAATTGGCCACCAAACACATCCTTGTTACCACACTTCTTTGAGCTTGAGTTGTCATTAGTTACCTGGGACCTCGGCGTGTTTTCGTCTTCCCTCCCTCCCTTCCTCTCTCCCTCCCTGTGAGGTTAAGAAAATAAAGATAATAACAGTGAAAATCTGGAGAACCCCACATGCTTCCTGCAGAGTGCTTTAGGAATAAAAGACATTAATGTCAGTTTTTTCCCCTGTAATTAAAATGTCCTTTAAGGAGGACTGCACACTTGACTGATGCACCCTGGGCAAAAAGCCAGAGGGCCAAACTGACCTGTGGAGACTTGTAGGGGTGGCACCTAGGGAGATCAGAGGCATTTCTCTATCCCACGGGGTAATGTGGGGTGTGAAAGCCACCTGCTTCTCTCTCCCAGCACCTAGCAAATAGTGCTCTGGAAGTAAGTCCCCCTCTGCCCCATCCACAGCCTCAGTTCCTTTCTGGGGGTTCATCGGGGGAGGGAGGAAACTAGGGGACCCAGCGGGCCCTCCCAGCTGTCACAGGCACGTGTCCCAAGGCAGCCGATTTTGCTTTTATTGCTTGCTCGTCTTGAGGTACTCCCATAGGCTATTTGGGGCTTTTCTGTATCGTTCTTTTCACTTTCCCCTTTACTCTGTCAGCAGAGGCTTCTCCAATGAATGCAACCTCCCTAGTCTCCCTTTCCCCGACTGCCTCTCCCCTCCAAAACACTCCAGCCTATCCCAATCACATGCAAATGCAAACAGACATCTCCCCTCTGGAGTGGATTCTAGCGGATCCTCTAGTTGCCTGAATTACAAAGTTGGTCCCTTGGTTAAAGCATTCCTTCACTGGCTCAGCTTGCTGGAAAGACTTTTAAGAGAAAGAAGAGGAGACAGACCCCAAGGTACAGAAACCCGACCTACCACGGCTTGCTCCTTCCCTTTCCTCGCAGAGGTTTTCTCTCCAGCCCTGGACTCCTGTAGGATCTCAGCTCTGAGCTCCCCACAGCTCCGGCCTCCTTTAAGTTTCCAGGCAGGGGGTGGGGTCGGTGGCCCCGGCTGGGCGGGTTTCTGTGTGGCGGGAGGATGCTCAGTGGACAGGGCCATGAGGGAGCTGAGGCAGGCCTGTTTTTATAAAGCAGGGGGAGGAAGTTCACGGTGGAAGCAGCACAGCCCATCCTGGCTTCGGGCCAGGCTGATTATTCACAGCCGTGATGTCATTGAATCGCAGGAATTTGGAAGTGGGATGGGACCTTAAGAATCATCTTCCTTTAGAGTCCTAGTGTCCCAGGCTTAAAAGGGACTTTCAGGACCCTGTGATGACAAGAAGTGTTTATAATTCTAAAGGCAGCAGGTTGGGGCTGGGAGTGGGGTGTCTTCTGGAATCTGTGGCTGTAGCTCTGGCCTCTCAGGACATGAGAGGTTAAAAGGACTGGAGGATGCACAAGGATTGGAACACTTTGTGTGGTGGCGGGAGCTCAGGGGGGTAGCCACTGAGAAGGCAGGACCAGCCTTGGGCTCACCTGCGGTAGGAGGTGCCCCCATGGGGGTTTGCTCCGGTAGGCATCTTTGGCCCTGTTCTGTAATTTTAGGGAGAATCTTTCTCTTCTTTGTAAAGTGCAGGGCTGCAGTAGGTGGCCTCCGGGGACTTTCCGGCTCCAGCATCCCCTTGAGTGGGCCCAGGGAATATACACAGGGCCTTGGGGCCAACATGCCTGAAATTCGATCAAAGCCATCAGCCCTTAAGCCCACCGAAGCCTTTCAGTATTTGCTTGTAAAATGCCCCTGGAAATAGACAAGCCATTTCCCTTGCTGACACCTTTTCAGATGACTGAGAAATAAAAGCCCTGTCGTGTAGGGGAAAGTCTTAGGTTTAAATCCGGCTGTGCCAGTAACTGGGATATGACCTCAATCAAGATTTTCAACTATGCTGAGCTCTGGCTTTTGCATCTGCAGGTCACGTGAGGATCAGAGAGAAGCCACGCATGTCAGGGCCCTGGCACATCACAGGGCTCAGCAGGAGCATCTATCATCATTGGTTCATGTCTGGCTGAGACCAGACCTTGTAAAAATGAGAGAGAGGTGAAAGAAAGAACGCAGGGAGGGAAGAGAAGTTTGGCAGAGGAAATTGTGGGATGACCGACTATTCAGGAGAGGCCAGATTTCATACATTCTGATCCTAAATATACTCATATTTGTCAAACCATGAGTGCTGAGTTTGAAGTTGAAAGGCACCTAACTGCTTTTCACATTGCTTTCAAACTGTTTTTCACATTTTTATGAAGCTGCAGCCCTGCTGATGGTCATTGTAGAAAAGGGGCACTGGGGTGGGTTGCCTGCTGAGCACGGGAGGTAGACCTCCCATGAGCAGCAGCAGCTGTGGGCCTGTCTGGTGGGCATGGGGCTGCTTTCCTGCAATGTGGTCTAAGATGGTGAGGATGGAGGCTTTTTTGGGGGGTGGGGCATTGCCGTTCAGCAGGGAGTGCTGGTCATGAGGACTCTCATTTGAACTCTTGAGAGGATGGTTTTCCACTGAATGGTTGCACTTAAATCCTGGATCCTGAACCTCTATGGAAAACAATATGGAGATTTCCCAAACTAAAAATAGAACATCCATTTGACCCGGCAATCCCACTACTGAGTATCTATTCAAAGAAAAAGAAATCATTACATCAAAAAGACACCTGCACTCACACGTTTATCACACACAATTCACAACAGCACAATTCACAATAGCAAAGGCACAGAATTAACCTAAGTGTCCATCAATGGAGGACTGGATAAAGAAAATGCACATATACACCGAGGAATACGACAAAGCCGTAAAAAACAATGAAGTCTGTCTTTTGGAGCAACATGGATGAAACTGGAGACCATTATCCTAACTGAAATAACTCAGAAACAGAAAGTGAACAACCACATGCACTCACTTATAAATAGGGGCTAAACAACGGGAGACTGAGAGGAGAGGGTTTGCAGATCATTAGCAGGGGCCCTGAGCTTTGCTGAAATATACCCGAATGATTAAGACCCAGCAATATCCTGCAGCCCTAGAAACTGGGGCCTCTGTGTTCCTTCTGAATTGAGATTGGTTTCCCTCGGACAGATTCTGGGGAAGCCTGAGAATGCAGAATTAGGCATGGGCAGGCTGATAAGGTGACAATGGGAGCCTTGATTTTAGTCAAGGGATCACTTCGAGGAAAAGAAAAGAACAGAAAAAAAGGAAAAAAATCTTGGTGACCTCACATCCTGTGAACATTTCATCAAAGCCCTTCATTTTCAAAAAAGAGAAATAAATCCAGGCCTAGATAACACGGAGACAAAGTGGGCACAGAGAAACTGGACGGGGAATTGCTGCAGGGCTTTTCCCAGCCAGCCTGGCTGTTTCTGCAGTGGGCGCCTCCCCCACAGAATGCATGAGTCATGGAGGTGGCGGGGGCAGAGAACAGGGGCTGCTCCAACCCTTCTCACTGGGGCAGGTGGCAGGATGGGTATTCGAACGAGAGCCATGCTGGGACTCTGCTCAGCTGGGTAAGAAATGATGTGATGTCTCTGGAAACTCAGAGAAAGGAAGAGTGGGCAAGAAACTTGTTTTTTTTTTTTTTATTTTCTTTTTTTTTTTTTTGAGACAGAGTCTTGCTCTGTCGCCCAGGCTAGAGTGCAGTGGTGTGATCTCGGCTCACTGCAACCTCCACCAGGTTCAAGCAATTCTCCTGCCTCAGCCTCCTGAGTAGCTGAGATTACAGGTGCCCGCCACCACGCCCAGCTAATTTTTTTGTATTTTTAGTAGAGACGGGGTTTCACCATGTTGGTCAGGCTGGTCTCAAACCCCCGACCTCGTGATCCACCTGCCTCAGCCTCCCAAAGTGCTGGGATTATAGGTGTGAGCCACCGCGCCCAGCCAAGAAACTTATGACAAGGATGTTTTGGACCAGAAGACGGACATTCTGTGTCTAAACTAAGATTTAATTTTGGTAGCCATCTGGCTTTGCAGGGGATGGGGTAAATGTCATGATGGATCTAAAATCGGTGTTATTGTCGCACGCCTTGTCTAGGTCTCCATCTAGACTGGGAATCCCCGGCCCTGGGGCCATGGGCTGGTATCTGTCCGTGGCCTGTTAGGAACCAGGCTGCGCAGCAGGAGGTGAGTGGCTGGAGAGCCAGTGAAGCTTCATCTGTGTTTACAGCCGCTCCCCATCACTCGCATTACTGCCTGAGCTGCACCTCCGGTTGGATCAGCAGTGGCACTAGATTCTCATAGGAGTGCAAACCCTATTGTGAACTGTACATGCGAGGGATTGAGGTTGTGCACTCCTTATAAGAATCTAATGCCTGATGATCTGTCGCTGTCTCCCATAACCCCCAGATGGGACCATCTAGTTATAAGAAAACAAGCTCAGGGTTCCCACTGATTCTACATTATGCTGAGTCATACCATTATTTCATTATATAATACAATGTAATAGTAATATAAATAAAGTGCACAATAAATGTAATCCTCTTGAATCATCCCGAAACTATCTCCCCTCCCTCTGTCCGTGGAAAAGCTATCTTTACAAAACTGGTCCCTGGTGCAAAAAAGACTGAGGACCACTGATCCAGACTAGACGCCCATGGTGGTAACAGCACCAGTTGTGTGAATTCCACACAAACAATGAGAAACATCAAAACAGGACAAGCTGAAGGCATGGGAAGGACTCTTACAAATCTTATTCTTGTTAAGAGCTGTTCACCAAACTGTAGGAGGAGGTCTTTATTCTTGCAACTCTTTGGTAAGTTTGAAATTATTTCAAAATATTAAGTTAAAAATTGGATTATTTTCTTGGAGCAGTAATTTTTTGAATATTTAGCCTGCTGACATGCATTTTTTAAATCCCCATACAAGATAATGATAAGTATTCAACATTGTTTTGACTGTCTAAATACTGAAAATAACTTAGATGTCAAAACATAGGGGCCTAGTAGACTAGGACATGTTAGAATACTGCAATATTGTGTAGCCATTGAGATGACTGATAACATAATTATACCGACATACCAAAATAAATCATAAAATTGCCTTGCCCAAAAGAAGAAGAAAATAAATTTGTACATGAGCTGTGATATAAATAATGTAGATCAGGCATGGTGTCTCACACCCATAATCCCAGCCCTTTGGGAGACCGAGGCAGGCAAATCACTTGAGATCAGGAGTTCGAGACCAGCCTGGCCAACATGGTGAAACCCCATCTCTACTAAAAACACAAAAATTAGTCAGGCATGGTGGCGGGCACCTGTAATCCCCGCTACTCGGGAAGCTGAGGCAAGAGAATCACTTGAACCTGGGAGGTGGAGGTTGCAGTGAGCCAAGATCGTGCAACAAGAGTGAGACTCCATCTCAAAAAATAATAATAATATAAACACTACATAGATGTATGGATAGAGATTAGAAGATAAAACTAGGTGTTGGAGTACTGTCATTATTGGTCAATTGTTTTTCAGTTCCTTTAGTGATGCTTCTAAATGACTTTCATAAAAGTAGATGTACTGGCTCCACACTGGGTGTGCCCAGCCCAACACTCTCTCTCTGGCACTGGAAGGACCTGGTTGTTCATGGAAGCGTGTCAGAAGAATAGGAATTTTCCTTAATAACTTATGATGGAGTATCCATGAGTTTATTCAAGTTATTTTTGAACACATCTAATTTTCAATCAATTCCTTTGTGGAGTGAGTTGAGTTTCTCAGGTTGGTTTGCTGATTCTCCGACACAGAACTTTCTTTCTCTGCTCCTAAATCTACCTCTTTTGAGCCTCCTAACACATCGCCAGCTATCAATCTTCAAATACACCCCCGTGGTGAATGTGCAGGCTACTGGAATGAGCCTGGGGTTGGAAGTCAGAAAGTTTCCTTTCTCTCCTCTGAGGTCAGTTGCACGACTCTGGTCCAGTCCATTTACCTTTGATAAGCTATAGGTTCCTTGCGTTTCAGATAAGAGAAGTAAAGATGGAAAGAACTTTGCAAGGGAAAGCCTCGTACTGTTTTCTCAAAGATGAAGAAAGGAACTTTAAAGAGCCCCTGACTCAAATTTTTTCCAACTGCCTCCTAAGCTATGTTAGTGTTACACACATGAACAAGAACCAAGGCTACCAAGTTAAAAATTGAAGTACTCTCTTAGAGCAGTACTTTTTTTGAATATTTAGTTGATATGGTTTGGCTCTGTGTCCCCACCCAAATCTTACCTTTAATTTTAATCCCCATAATCCCTACAGGTCAAGGGCAGAAACAGGTGGAGGTAATTGCATCACGAAGGCGGTTTTCCCCAAGCTGTGAGTCTCATGAGATCTGATGGTTTTATTATCGTCTAGCATTTCCCCTCCTTGTGCTCATTCTGTCTTCTGCCGCCATGTGAAGAGGTGCCTTCCTCCATGATTGTAAGTTTCCTGAGGCTCTGCCAGCCATGGGGAACTGTGAGTCCATTAAATCTCTTTTCTTTATAAATTACCCAGTCTTGGGCATTTCTTTACAGCACCATGAGAACGGACTAATACATTAGCCCAGTGAAATACATTTTTTAAATTCCCATACAAGATAATGATAGGTCTACAACTTTGTTTTGACTATCTAAAAACTGAAAAACAATAGTAGTTTAAAAAAAAAACAATATCACTGGACTAAGTACAAGATAATAACAGGGGAAACTGCGGAGGGAAGAGAAGGGATAATAATATGGGAACTCTGTGCTTCCTGCTCAATTTTTCTGTAAACCTGAAACTGCTCTAAGGAATGTCTATTAATTTAAAAAATATTGACAGGAGGCAGTGGCTAACATCTATAATCCCAGCACTTTGGGAAGCCAAGACAGGGGGATCGCTTGAACCCAGGAGTTTGAGACCAGTCTGGGCAACAGAGCAAGACCCTGACTCTGAGAAAATATTTTTAAAAAGCCATTCAGGGCTTGAACCTGGGAGGTGGAGGTTGCTGTGAGCTGAGATCGCGCCACTGCACTCCAGCCTGGGCAACAAGAGTGAAACTCCGTCTCAAAAAAAAGAAAAAACCATTCAGGAGGCTGGGGCAGGCAGATCACGTCAGCCCAGGAGTCCAGGGCTGCAGTGAGCTATCATCATGCCACTGCAGTACAGCTTGGGCAACAGAGCAAGACCCCCAACTCTAAAAATAAAAAGAAGAAAGTACTTGCAAATGAAAAATATGATCATTTCTGATATTATAAAATTATATCTAGAATATATTTATGTATGCATATTTTACATAAGAATTTAATTTTATTTGCAGAAATATTTGGTCTGTAAGAATATTCACTGCCATCTGCTTATTTATCCAACATATCATAGCTAATGAATATCTGTAGGAATTCTATCACAGTCGTATAATTTTAAGGGTGTCTCTGGTCAATCTGTTTAGGAAAATTGCGCTACTCTTTATTTAACTTAATTAATTAATTTTTTGAGACAGGATCTCACTCTATTGCTCAGGCTGAAGTGCAGTGGCATGATCTTGGCTCACTGCAACCTCCACCTCCCCAGTTCAAGTGATTCTCTCACCTCAGCCTCCTGAGTAGCTGGGACTACAGGCACACACCACCACGCCTGGCTAATTTTTATATATTTTTTTTATAGAGACGGGGTTTCACCATGTTGGCCAGGCTGGTCTCGAACTCCTGAACTCAAGGTATCCGCCTGCCTTGGCCTCCTAAAGTGCTGAGATTACAGGCATGAGCCACTGTGCCCAGCCTACTCCTTATTTTAAATGTGCAAACTCTGCAAAGTGGCTGTGCTGAGGCACTTCCAAATGCCACCCAGGTGGTGCTCAAGCTCTGGTTTCTGCTCTATGAGCCCTTCTTCTTCTGGACCTGGTGCCACCAACCCTTGCAGCCTCCTATGGAGGATGGTGCGTGTTTCCTTTCAGCCTTTCTGGTCATTTCTTTTCTTGTTTTAAAATAACAACACCAGGCCAGGTGAGGTGGCTCACTCCTGTAATCCTAACACTTTGGGAGGCCAAGGTGGGAGGATTCCTTGAGCCCAGAAGTTTGAGACCAGCCTGGGCAACATGGCGAGACCCTATCTCTACAAATAATTAAAAAATTAGTCAGGTGTGGTGGCACATGCATGTAGTCCCAGCTACTTAGGAGGCTGAGGTGGAAGGATCCCTTGAACCTGAAAATTTGAGGTTGCAGTGAACTGTGATCCCATCACTGCACTCCAGCCTGGGAGACAGAGTAAAAGCCTGTCTCTAAAAATAAAAAATAAATAAACACATAAATAACACTGACAATAACCAAAACCAAGTGAATACAGATAATTCCTTCTGACCCCAGGGTGACCCCAGAGTCCCAGGCCATGGCTGTGTCTGGGGCAGGCTCCTTTGGGAGAGCGGCCAAAGCCCTATTCACCTCGGCAATGAGATCACTCAGACCTGGGGGGAGGCGCGTTCTGGGAGAGCGTGGTGACTTCCACAGCAGGGGCTCTTGCATCAGTTCTGGTTACCCACGGGAGACTGCATGTGCTCAGGGTGACAGGAACACCACTGTTTACATGGGACCCACCTCCCGCCATGGCATCACAGGACTCGCCGCTCCGGCCTCCTTCCTGAGTCAAGCATTTTTGTCCAGTGAATACAGCTTTGGTGTAGCTTTCCATAGCTCCTCTCTCCTCCCCGCCAGGGAAGTGATGCATATTTTATAGAGATGTTCTTTCACTTCACTCTAACTGTACATTTTTTCCTCTGTGAGGAGTTTGCGCCAATCGAAATGAACTTGAGATCATTTTCCCCCCAGGCTTTCTTTATCTAAGGGGCACAGGGCTTCCTGTCTGATTTTAGTCACCGATTGGATTGATGGGCTTAATCACATCCCAAATGTTCGTTGTCCTATCTCCCTGTGTGTGCAGGACTGGCTCAGTCTGCAGCTTTTATTAGAAATCAACGGAAGCCACCAGAACACAGAGCCCTGAATGAACACTGTGGACCTGGATCATCCGACCTGAACTCCAATGTAGAAGAAAGCCCCTCTGTACGCACCTGCTGACCTGCCTGTCACCACCCTCACAGCTGTGCCGGGACAATGGCACAGACCCACCCATTCTAAAGTTACCATCTGATATGTGTGGGCTCATACAGAAAACATGCTGTAATGTGAAGACATAAATCAGATGGAAGAACACATTGATGCCAACTTTTTTTTTTTTTTTGAGACAGAGTCTTGCTCTGTCACCCTGCCTGGAGTGCAGTGATGCGATCTCGGCTCAATGCAACCTCTGCCTCCTGGGTTCAAGTGATTCTCCTGCCTCACCCTCCCGAGTAGCTGGGATTACAGGTGCCCACCACCATGCCCAGCTAATTTTTGTATTTTTAGTAGAGACGGGGTTTTGCCATGTTGGCCAGGCTGGTCTCGAACTCCTGACCTCAGGTGATCCACCTGCCTCGGCCTCCCAAAGTGCTGGGATACAGGCTTCAGCCACTGTGCCCAATGCCAACTTTTTAAAAATGCACACTCTTTCAAAGGGTTAACAGCACAGGAGAGGTTGTTGCTGAAGGTTTGCAAGGCAATTGCTCTGAAATCATATTGGAAACCAAAGCAGTAGGTGTGCTTCCCCAGTAGAGCGTGTTGACAGGGCCTTGGGGTTTAGAATAAGAAGGGAAGAGTTTCCAGCATGTCAACGGGCATCGTGGTAATGGTTCACAATGGGTCATTGAGTCTAGGCTGACAGGGCAAAGGGCTGAAAGACAGGGAGGATTGGCGCTGAGGAGCCATGGAGACTCCAGGAGCAGGAGGCAGGGAGCTGGGAGGGCCATCACACATGGTCATCCCCCTTAACCACAAGGATGTGTTCCAAGATCCCAATGGATGCCTGAATCTGTGGGTAGTACCGAGCACTATATATACGATGCTCTTCCCTACACATCCATACCTATGATCAAGGTTAATGTGGCCAGGCATGGTGGCTCATGCCTGTAATCCCAGCACTTTGGGAGGCCGAGGCAGGTGGATCACTTGAGGTCAGCCGTTGGAGACCAGCCTGGGCAACATGATGAAACCCTGTCTCTACTAAAAATACAAAAAACTTAGCCGGGTGTGGTGGTGTGTGCCTGTAGTCCCAGCTACTCGGAAGGCTGAGGCATGAGAATAGCTTGAATCCAGGAGGCGAAGACTGAAGTGAGCCGAGATCGTGCCACTGCACTCCAGCCTAGGTGACAGAGTGAGACCGTGTCTCAAAAACAAAACAAAACAAAACAAAACAAAGTTAATGTATAAATTAGGCACAGCAAGAGACTAACAACAATAACCAATAGTAAAATAGAACAATCATAACAAGGTACTGTAATAAAAGTTATGTGACTGTGGTCTCTCTATATATACCTCTCTCTCAACTTATTACAGAAGTGAGCTGGGCAAGGTGGCTCACACCTGTAATCCCAGCACTTTAGGAGTTCAAGGTGAGGGATTGCTTGAAGCCAGGAGTTCAAGATCAGCCTGGGCAACAGAGTGAGACCCACCTCATCTTTACAAAAAAATACAGAAAATTAGCCAGGCATGGTGGTTTGCTCCTGTGGTCCAGCTACTTGGGAGGCTGAGATAAGAGGATCTCTGCAGCCCAGGAGGTCGAGGCTGCAGTGAGTGCTATACCACAGGTAGTTACCCTGTGGCAAGTGAAACCACAGATAAGCAGGGGGGCCACTCTAACATGGAGCAGAGAAGGAAGCAGCAGTGGGGAAATGAAAGTTATTCTGAGTCACCAAGGAAAGTGACAATGATTCCTGATTCTGCATGGCGTGGCCCTCCAAGTCATCATACCACCACCACAATACCTCAAGGATGGTAAGGATTTGAAGAGAAGAGGGAGAGAGGAAGGAGAATCGAACAGGGAGAAGCAAGAGACTTCCCCAAGAGCCTGCCGAGACAGTATCATACTCAGTGCACAGAACAGGAAACCGAGGCCCAGGGAGGTCAGGTGACTTGCCTGTGGCCACAGGTTTGCTCATCGGTACATAAGGGAAACCAACAAGGCCAATCACGATGGAATCTGGGCTCCAGCCAGGGCACCATGCACAGAGACGCTCCATGCCTTTGGGCCACCTGTCAGCCTCCTAGGAGGCAGCTCAAGTGAGGACGGAGTTTGTTGATGTTTTGTCTGCCACGCTACCCGCAGGGCCCACACCAGAGGAGAAACACCGACAACAGCATGCTGGCCAGGAGGGATTGCGGTGGCAGTTGCATGTCCTGTGGCTTCCTGGAGCTCACGCCGCCCCTGCAGATGCTGCGGCTGGGTCCCCAAGGCAGAGGGGGCAAGTGGGGCTCCTGTCTCCGCAGAACATTCCTGAGACTTTGCATGGCGTTTCCTCCTGCTTGCTCACCCATAATGGGAACAGAGACCTCTTCCTGAGTCCCACAACTGCCCCACATCTGCTCCGGGGCCTTCCGTGCCCATGTCCCAGTCAGGAGCCCCTGGCCGGGCACAGGAACCATTGGTCTCAGTGGCCGCAGCCTCCTGGCGAGAGGGCAGGCGCCGATCCGGGAAGCTGCAGCTGCAGTGGCACTTTGCCCTCACAGCAGCCTCCACCCTGTGGGGCTGGGACAGGTGGCCCATTTTCCATCCCCAGAGATGCCAAAGGCATCCCCTGGCCAGAGTCTTTAAGTTGTCCCTGCAGATGTTGGCAGCCTCCTGGCCTGCGCTCAGCCATTAGGATGTCAGAGCAGCAAGAGGTTGTGTTCCTTGGGGCCCGAAGGGCAGAGCTGTCCTGGCTGTGCCACAGGGCTAGGAGGGGAAGCTGCCTTCCAGCTGAATGAGGCTGGAGGAGGCCAGTGGGGAAACAAGCCCACATCTGGAACACAACTACCCAAAGGCCCTGGCATTCTGCATTAGCATCAACACGATCCAGAGGTCAAACCACACCCGAGACCATCTGCCGGGAGCCACTGAGCAAGCCACTTCGCTTCTTGGACTGGGTTTCCTCATCTGTAAAATAGGAATGTGAGCCGGACACAGTGGCTTCTGCCTGTGACCCCAGCACTTTGAGAGGCTGAAGCAGAGGGATCACTTGAGCCTAGGAGTTCGAGACCAGCCTGAGCAACACAGTGAGATCTCATCTCTACAAAACATTTTTAAAAATTAGCCTGGCTTGTTGGCGTGTGGCTGTGCTAACAGTGACTTGAGAGGCTGAGGGTGAGGTGGGAGGATTGCTTGCTTGAGTCCAGGAGGTTGAGGCTGCAGTGAGCCATGTTCATGTGACTGCACTCCAGCCTGGGTGAGAGCAAGACCCTGTCTCTTAAATAAATAAATAAAGCAAAAGTAAATAAAATGGGAATGCACCTGACACTATCTACCCCAAAGGGCTTTTAGAGGATAAAAGGAGAATTTGTGCAACATTACTATAATCAAGCATACATTAAATTTTTATTCCCTAATAAGTAACTTTGTAAAGTGCACAGACCAGAAAGGAGGATCGGGAGCAGAGAAGGTGGGAAGGAATGCAGCTACCTCTGCAGCTCCGCTTGGGAGCCCAGCTGCATGGGATGTTCTTCAGGTCGCCCTGGGGTCCTCCAGCTGTGCTAGTGGAAGCACTGGGGGTATAGGGGTTCAATAGCGCAGGGAGCAAGCACCCAATGGCTGAACGGCACCATTTCCCTGAAGCACTCCTGCCTCTCCTAAACAAGAAGTGGTGCCTGACTACTGAATTCCTATAAATGATTCAAGGTAAAGCAATAAACAAAAATACATCTGAAGTGCTCCTATCCAGCGGCCAGGAGTTGGACAAAAGTCAAACTCAAGTGTTTATTAATGTATTAAGTCACCTACCCTCCCAAGCTGAAAGGAGAACGTGTTTCAGTGGATGGTCCAAACTTCCTCAATTGTGACAGAAGACATCAAAGGACCATAGCTCCCCTGTTGGTATGCATTGGCATGCCCACTGCAGAGAACATTTTGGGAACCCAGGAACCTGCATTCTTATTTCCTGGTGGTTTCAAGTCCCTGGGAGAGGCTGTGTTCCCAAGAGTGACTGCCATTTGCAAAAGCATGTCTCTGTGATTCTGTGTGGCTCTCTTGTGCCCCCTACAAGATGATCCAGCATGCAGGGGAGGCTTCTGGGGTCTTGCCTCTTGCTGGAACCAACAGTGACCACTGGCACTCCCGTTGTCAAGGTTTCAAATATTTCATCACCACAGGTTCCCTTGACCTGACTATACTTTAAAAAACAGGCCAGGTGTGGTGACTCCCGGCTACAATCCCAGTGCTTTGGGAGGCCAAGGTGGGAGGATTGCTTGAAGCCAGGAGTTTGAGACCAGCTTGAGCAACATAGCAAGATCCTATCTCTATAAAAAAAAATTTAAAAATTAGCCAGGCATGGTGGCACACACCTGTAGTCTCAGCTACTCGGGAGGCTGAGGTAGGAGGATTGTTTGAGCCCGGAAGATTGAGGCTGCATTGAGCTATGATTGCTCCACTGCACTCCAGCCTGGGCGACAGAGCAAGACCATGTCTCTTGAAGAAAAAGGGTAGGGAGAGGCGCAGTGGCTCACTCCTGTAATCCCAGCACTTTGAGAGAGTGAGGCAGGAGGATTGCTTAAACTCAGGAGTTTGAAGCCAGACTGGGCAACATAGGTAGATCCCATCTCTACAAAAAAAAAAAAAAAGTCCCAACCAATTTAATGTCATCATCACTTCCTGAGAAACTGATTTGATCATTTGTCAAGATCTGACATTTACAAAATCTGACTGTATAACACTTCCTCGAACAGAACTTCTGCCAGGTTTCCCTGCTGTTCTCCTGTCCCCAGAGTCTTCTCTCTGGTTCTGCGGCATCCTGGGGGCCATCCTCAGGAGCACTGTGCCAGGAGGGAACCTCTCCTGATGGAGCTTTTCCTGATCCAGAGAGGCTGCTTTACATCACAGTTTCACTCTGGTCTACTTACTAGGATCCAGGAAGCC
Source organism: Homo sapiens (assembly GCF_000001405.40). Classification (NCBI taxonomy): domain Eukaryota; kingdom Metazoa; phylum Chordata; class Mammalia; order Primates; family Hominidae; genus Homo; species Homo sapiens. The sequence continues at coordinate 42,220,489 of NC_000008.11, forward strand.
TTGACTCCATCAAACAGACCCTATACCTCTAATTCAAGCCACAGGAGGGGCCCTCACTCCCCTAGGAATGAGAAAGACAAAGAAGAAAACACACGCATGTGATTACGTGCTCAGCCTTCTCCTCCTCAGTGCTGGGTTCTGCTAGGCCAGGCAGCATGCTGCAGAAGCTAGTGACATTTGTTCTTGGCCCTCAGAACAAATGTCTCAGAAGTCTAGGGAGAGGAGACAAGGAAGTACTAGAGCTGGCAGCTGGAAATACTTTTCTGGGAAGGGCTGGGTGGTGAATAGTGCAGGCTTTACAGGCAGCGTGGTCTCTGTTGTAACTATACAGTTGTGCCCTTGCAACGTGAAAACAGCCAGGGACCCTATGCAATGAGTGTGGCTATGTTCTAATAAAATGTTATTTCTAGGCCAGACGCAGTGGCTCACGCCTGTAATCCCAGCTCTTTGGGAGGCTGAGGTGGGTGGATCACTTGAGGTCAGAAGTTGGAGACCAGCCTGGCCAACATGGTGAAACCCCATCTCTACTAAAAATGCAAAAATTTGCCGGGAGTGTTGGCACGTGCCTGTAATCCCAGCTACGCAGGAGGCTGAAGCAGGAGAATCACTTAAACCCAGGAGGCAGAGGTTACAGTTAGCTGAGATCGCACCACTGCACTCCAGCCTGGGTGACAGAGTGAGACTCCGTCTCAAAAAAAAAAAAAAAGTTATTTACAAAATCAGATGGTGATTTGGATTTGGTCCGTAGGCTGTTGTTTGCCACCTTACACTAGAGAGGAGACACAAGACAGAAGAAGCACCTGGTATGGGACAGCTCAAAGGAGGCACTGGTCGCTTTCTCTGAGCAGGGGGTTGGAATGGGACAGGCTTCGTGGGACAGGCATTGCTGTGCAGAGCTGAATAAGGGAAGTAGGCATTTGCCAAGCGAGCTGGGGCGAAGGGCACTGCTGGAAAGAGAGGCATAGGTGGGAGCCCAAGCCCTGAAGCATGGCACCATTGGGGCCTTGGCAGTCTCAGCCCATCAGTGTGGCTGGAGACGAGGGAGGTGAGAGCCAGAGATGAAGCTAGACAGGGAGGCGGGGCCAGCTCCGAGAGGCACTGTGAGCCATGCTAAGGGCTTTGGTCCTTATCCTCAGGGCAGGGAGAATAGGAACTAAAGGAGCCTCTGGGTTTCATCACTGTTCCAGATAGTTTGCATAAATGATTAATGATCTCATTCATTCTCACGAAATTCGATGAGGTGGGTGTTACACATCCCATTTTGCGACAGCAACACTAGCTCAATGTTCACTGCTTCCCCTAAGTGGCAGAGTCCCATCCAACCCGGATCCTCCAGGAGCTGGACCCCTGCTCTCTCCACAGTGCAGCCTCTAACGGAGCGTGAGACCCAGGATGATTTTCCTCCCTTGCCCTATCGCCAGAAACCACCCCCCTCCTCACCCCACTAGCAGGAAGGGTTCAGAGAATGCCACGATTTCCCAGAGTTGGACCCTGGAACCTGGGGTGGTACAGGGTGGGGACCTCAAGGCGTTGGCCACTCACCCCGGGAAGCTGCCTGGGGATGCAAAAGCCTGGCTCCCTTGGGGAGAAGGGAGTGGAGTGTTTGTCTGCTCCGCTCTCTTCATCCTGGCTGAGACCCACCTGGAGCCCACCCAAGGGGTCGTGGCTCCGCTGCTCTGTGACTGAGGTCACCAGGCGAGAGGAATTCCAGAGATTCCTGCTGAGGCATCAGCCCCAGCTCATCTCCTCTCTGCACCCAGTTTACTTGGTTGCTTAGTTGCAGAATATTTTGGTTCTTTTCGTTCCACCCTCTGAAAGTTGGAGCAGTTTGCAAGAATAGGTCTCTTTTCCTCTGTCATATGTGTCAGGCATTTGGGGAATCCTCACCAAATATCTGCTGAGTTAAACAATTAATACTGAAGTGCATCATTTGTACAAATGCCTTTTATTTACTCCTTCACATTTACTCCACACCAAGCAAGACCTGCCACCATTTTACAGAGATTTGTCCTCAAAGAAGTCTGGCTAAGCCAAGTGCGGTGGCTCATACCTGTAATCCAGGCACTTTGGGAGGCCGAAGTAGGTGGATCACCTGAGGTGAGGAGTGTGAGACCAGCCTGGCCAATATGGCGAAACCCTGTCTTTACTAAAAATACAAAATTAGCCAGGCATAGTGGCAGGTGCCTGTAATCCCAGCTATCAGGAGGCTGAGGCAGGAGAATCACTTGAGCCCAGAAGGTGGATGTTGCAGTAAGCCGAGATTGCACCACTGCACTCCAGCGTGGGTAACAGACTGAGACTCTATATATATATTTTAAAAAAAAAAAAAAAGCAAAGAAATCTGGTTCCTTGCAACTCAAAGTGTGGACTCGGGACCAGCAGCAACTGGGGGCTTGTGAGAAATGCAGACTCCCGGGCTCCACCCCAGACCTGCTGAACTAGAAGCTTTATTACAAAAAGATCCTCCAGTGATTCATATGCATGTTAAGATCTGAGAAACACTGGGGACATGACTTTGCGCTTGTACCCAGAAACAATCATTAACCCCAATTCCATTCCTTTGATAACTTCTAAAGTGATATTCTTTATATATTCAGAATCAAGTTACATTCTGAGGTCAGGAAACATCATGAGCCCCTACAAATTTCCTCTTCCAAATTCTTCCCCTTGAGTGTACCTGCCCCATCCCTGCTTTTGGCAACAATGATGGTTTTAAGTAGGAAAGAAGGAAGTGAGAGTAGAAAAATGTTGAAATGACACATTTGAGGGTGACAGCCAAACACCTCGTCTCTGAAATTGCCACTCTACATAGGGTGTGTACATCCTGTGCCCTGTTAATTCATTCCTTTGCCAAGTCTTTAACCATTTAAACAGAAGATAAGGTGGTTTTTCCAAGGTCACACACATAGTAGCAGGGATGGGGAGGGGAGAGGGACGCGTAAGCCCAGAGGATGCCCTGGTTGTGCCAGTGTCCCCAGAAAGACAGGAGAAACCCATGTGCCAGGCCAGCGCCCTCCCTTGCCATGGCAGGCAGGGTTTCTACATTTCTGGCTGCAGCAGCTGCTTCTTCATGGCCACTGCCTGGGGTGGAAGGCAGAATGTCGGCTCCCATGTCAGACACCTGTTTTGAATCTTAGTTCCACAATTTACCAGTAGCGTGGCCTTCAGCAAGACACATGCTCTCTGAGCCTGTTCAGACAGGGACAATATTCACTTTGCAGACCGGCTCTGAGGACTGAAGGAAGCATGTTGGCTGGGCCTGCAGTGTCCAACTCATATTAGATGTTATATCTCAGAGAGGGGCCCCTAGTCATCCCCACCACGTGTTCTACTCATTGCCACCTCGTTCCACAACCTTCACTGACACTCTGCTACCTGTGGGAGAATGTGCAGACTCTAGAACTCAAGGCCTCCCCGATCTGGTCCCCATCTCACCCTTGCAGCCTACTTCTATCCTACTTCTTTAAATGAAGGTGTGCTAACAAATCTGATTTTCTTATTTCTAACTTATACAATATTATTTCTTCTAGAAATTATAGACAAATCCAATGGCACAGGAATCCCCAACCCCTGGGCCACGGACTGGTACTGGTCCATGGCCTGTTAGGAACCGGGCCACACAGTAGGAGGTGAGTGGCAGGCCAGCTAGCATTACAGCCTGAGCTCTGCCTCCTGTCGGATCAGCAGCAGCATTAGATTCCCACAGGAGTGTGAGCCCTATTGTGAACTGCGCATGCGAGGGATCTAGGTTGTGTGTGTGCTCCTTATCAGAATCTAATGCCTGATGATCTGTCACTGTCTCCCATCACCCCCAGATGGGACTGTCTAGTTGCAGGAAAACAAGCACAGGGCTCCCACTGATTCTGCATTATGCTGAGTCGTACCATTATTTCATCATATATTACAATGTAATAATAATATAAATAAAGTGCACAATAAATGTAATCCTCTTATATCTTCCCGAAACCATGCCCCACAACCCTGGTCCACAGAAAAATTGTCTTCTACATAACCAGTCCCGGGTGCCAAAAAGGTTGGGGAATGCTTCAATGGGCTGTTAAGAGTGCTGGTTGAGGCTGGGCGCAGTAGCTCACGCCTGTAATTTTTTGGGAGGCTGAGGTGGGCGGATCACTTGAAGTCAGGAGTTCAAGACCAGCCTGGTCAAGATAGTGAAACCCCATCTCTACTAAAAATACAAAAATTAGCCAGGCATGGTGGCATATGCCTGTAGACCCAGCTACTTGGGAGGCTGAGGCAGGAGAATTGCTTGAACTTGGGAGGCAGAGGTTACAGTGAGCGGAGATTGCATCACTGCACTTCAACCTGGGCAACAGAGCAAAACTCCGTCTCAAAAAAAAAAAAAAAAGTGCTGGTTGATTATAGGACTTAAGCCACTTAATTGATTACTTCTCTTATGCCTGCTAGGGAATTTTGGTGTTTTTCTTCGTCGACAAATAATATTCCTTATTTCCAAATAGCTATACCTCCTTTTTTTATTAAAATAATCCTAAGGTTATTATTGGTAAAAGTGTATTTAAAGTTTAACCCAAGTTCCATTTAAACAACTATGTCTAAGTGAAGTTGGCCTCTCCCACTATTAATAAATCTTCTCACTATTTTGCAACATAGTTGGCTTCATTCTGTTAACTTTTAATGAGTTGTTCATTCAGTTATGGGATTTTAAACTGATAAGAGTTGGGCGTATAGTTCCGGTTAATTTTTTATGCTAACGATGTAACTTTTTGTCTTTGCTAACTTTTATTATTACTTTGTTATTTTCTTTTTTTTTCTTTTCTTTTTTTTTTTTTTGAGACGGAGTCTCGCTCTGTCACCCAGGCCAGAGTACAGTGGCGCGATCTCGGCTTACTGCAACCTCCACCTCCCGGGTTCAAGCGATTCTCCTACCTCAGCCTTCCAAGTAGCTGGTATTACAGGCTCATGCCACCATGCCCGGCTAATTTTTGTATTTTTAGTAGAGACGGGGTTTCACCATATTGGTCAGGCTGGTCCCAAACTCCTGACCTCAGGTGATCCACCCACCTCGGCCTCCTAAAGTGTTGAGATTACAGGTGTGAGTCACCGCACCCGGCCTACTTTGTTATTTTCATACAGCACTTTTTCTTTTTTTTCTTTTTAAAAATTTACATCACACAGGTAGTGTGCCGACATCTTGATAATGTTAGAGGGAGGCACATCCATCCATGAGCGTGAAAACTCAACTATCTGCTTATGAGCTACGAAAGGATCACATAGCACTTCTTCCAGATTCCCAGTGTTTTTCATGTCAATGACTGAATATGAATATTTTGGGAAATGTTAAACACAATTTAATTAGACGTGGGAAAGGACTAGGGTGAATTCAGAGTAATCAGATGTCCCCAAAACTACCCCTAGTAAATTAGTTTCTTGGACTGAGCTATAATTCGATCATCCAAACCTTTTAGCATTCTTACCATGTTCTGACTCATCTCCTTTAGAAGTTCCAATAAAATGCATCATATTATGAATTACAGATTTTTCATTGAGGAGAGAGAGGGGTGGTGTGTGAGCATTCTATGGACTGTTTTATTAATTGTCAAATTCTCCTTTGGACTATTTAACCATGGAGACCTTCATAAACATTGTAGTCTAAGCAAGTGAATGTAGCCTGTTGATTTTAAATTCAAAGTCTGCGCTTCTCCTAACAGTTTTTTTTTTCTTTTGTGAGATGGAGTCTCGCTGTGTCAATTATACTGGAGTGCAGTGGTGCAATCTCTGCTCACTGCAACCTCCGCCTCCCGGGTTCAAGCAATTTTCCTGCCTCAGCCTTCCAAGTAGCTGGGATTACAGGCACACGCCACCACGCCAGGGTAATTTTTGTATTTTTACTAGAGACGGGGTTTCACCATGTTGGTCAGGCTGGTCTCGAACTCCTGACCTCATGATCCACCCACCTTGGCCTCTCAAAGGGCTGGGATTACAGGTGTGAGCCACTGCACCTGGCCTTCCTAACAGTTTTATAACTACACTTGTACTGACTCTTCTATCCAACCAAGGCTTTGCTGATATGGTGGGTAAATAAGCTGAGGTTATAGAAGAATATCATTTCTAGAAGAGGTTCTCAGACAGATATAAGCACCACACATTTAATGTTAAGCCATTACTTGCAGTTCTCTGGTAAAAAAAATTCTTTGTATTTAGGACAAAGCATGGTGAGATACCTTAGTTCTTGTCAGGGTCTCGATTTATGTATTCTCCAATATTAAAGTCATTTTTGTAATATCACCTATTTACAAACCTAAATGTAATAATTTATTTAGTCAAGAATTATCAACAGATACTAAAACCATCAAGTGAAAGGTTATGGTAAACAGAGTATTTTCATGGCACTAAAGAATTATGCACAGATTCATTGTGAATTGCAAAGAGAAAATGTGCCTTTATATGGAGAGATCTGGCAGTCACCACTTTAATAAGGCAATCAAAATTAGCCTCACAGATAGTGGAACAGCCTCACCCAATGTGCCTCCTAATGTGATGCAAAAAGTACACCCTATCATCCATGAACTCTTTAGTGTCCAAAATGTTTAATCTGAGTCTATTCAAGGTGGCAAATGTAACTTCCAGGTCCCTGGAAGTAGAGGGGATAGAGAAAAAGTTTAAAAAGGCATCAAGAGATCAATTACACAGATCTAGGCAACTTCAACCTGTGTAACATTGCACAAGATGACTGTCCCAGACTTACCACAAATTCAAGGTCAGCCTACAGGTGATGCAGTGGCACAAACCTGTAACCCCAGCACTTTGGGAGGCCAAGGCAGGAGGGTCACTTGAAGCCGGGAGTTCAAAACCAGCCTGGGCAACATAGTAAGACCCTTTCTCTACAAAAAAAAATGTTTAAAAATTAAATGGCTAGGGCACGGTGGCATGTGCCTGTGGTCCCAGCTACTCAGGAGGCTGAAGTGGGAGGATCGCTTTAGCCTGGGAATTCAAGGTACAGTGAGCTGTGACCACACCACTGTACTCCAGCCTGGGTGGCAGAGCAAGATCCTGTCTCTAAAAAAAAAGAAAAAAAATTAAAGTTATTGGGGGGAATAAAAGGGGCTGGGTGTTTCAGGGCTAGGCTGAAAGGGATGATGGAAGAACACACAGCTAGCACTTGCAAGCAATGAAAGCTACGAAAGACATTCCTGGGATCATTTCAGAAATTGGAATACTGTTTGTAGATAGATGATCTTATGGAATTATGATTCATTCTTATAGGTCTGATAATAGTACTATACTTACATAGGAGATTATTCTTAGATTAACACTGGAGGCTGGGCACAGTGGCTCACACCTGTAATCCCAGCACTTTGAGAGGCCAAGTTGGGCGGATCACCTGAGGTCAGGGGTTTGAGAGCAGCCTGGCCAACATGGTGAAACCCCGTCTCTACTAAAAATACAAAAATTAGCTGGGGGTGGTGGCTGGTGCCTGTAATCCCAGCTACTTGGGAGGCTGAGACAGAAGAATCGCTTGAACTCGGGAGGTGGAGGTTGCAGTGAGCCGAGATTGCTCCACTGCACTCTAGCCTGGGTGATGAGAACGAAACTCTGTCTCAAAAAAAAAAAAAGCCGGGCAAGGTGGTGGTGCCTATAGTTCCAACTTTTTGGGAAGCTGAGGCAGGAGCATCGCTTGAACCCAGGAGGTGTAGGTTGTGAGCTGAGATCATGCCTCTGCACTCCAGCCTGGGCCACAGAGTGAGACTCCATCTCGAAAAAAAAAAAAAAGAGAAGATTCACACTGTAATATATAGGGATGACCTGTCATTCATAATAATGTCTACAGCTTATTTTCAAATGACATAGCAAAATATAAACATAAATTTTCTATTTATCTATCTGTCTCTCTATCTATCTATCTCTCATCTGTCTACCTAACAGACAGATTGAGAGAGAAAGAATGCACAAATATGATAATATGTCAGCAATTGTTTAATCTGGGTGGAAGGTATGTAGATTTTCATTGTACCATTCTTTCAACTTTTATGTGTTGGAAACCTCTGCCTTCAAAAATGGAGAAATAATTTTAGCTTCATTTATACTTCAGCTGGAGCTATCCATGATTTAGTTGAAACTTAACTGCACTTTTTAAATCTTAAACATACTGTACATTGGGGAGTACTGGTTTAAGTCAATGGTATGAATTCAGTTGCTATGCTAGGATGAAATTTACCATTCTAAGGATAGCTTAGTCAAACCCTCATGTATCACTTGATTTTTAAAAATCACTGCTGATTCCCGGGTGACACAGTTGAACAAGATATGGTAAGCTGCCTTATGGTGTGCTTGCTGCCAGGGCCCTTTAGCTTTCGGTGAACGAGGGGTCTTTATGATCAGTAATGCTGATGCTCCCATGCATAGTTCTGCTGACAACTAACAGTGAAGCCAGGCCCAACCTCCATGCATCTTGGCCTATAAAAGCCCATCTGTGGGTTTCCATTGCCTGGCTCTCATATAAGCTAAATTAATTCGGGAAGCTTTTGTGTCCTGTGTCCGTATTATTATTATTTTTTTGAGACAGAATCTCACTCCGTTGCCCAAGCTGGAGTGCAGTGGTGTGATCTTGGCTCACTACAACCTACGTCTCTGGGGTTCAAGTGATTCTCCGCCTCAGCCTCTCGAGTAGCTGGGACTACAGGCACCCGCCACCACGCCTGGCTAATTTTTGTATTTTCAGTGGAGACAGGGTTTCATCATGTTGGCCAGGATGGTCTCAAACTCCTGACCTCAAGTGATCCACCCACCTCGGCCTCCCAAAGTGCTGGGATTACAGGTGTGAGCCTCTATGCCCAGCCTGTGTCTTTATTAAAGCAGAAAATCAGGTAATTTACATACATGTAAATCCAATTTACAAGTATTATAAGACCCATTAGTAATTTAAACATTGTTTATACTTAACAGTTAACCTTCTGATATAGTATAATAGTTATTGCTGTTGTAGATACTAATCTTCCTTTAGAGGCTTAACAAGATAATAAAAGTAATAGGGTTAGTAATTCAGGGAGGTGGGAGGATTTGCAGTAAATTAATTAGATTAATTTAATTTTATATTTATTTCTACTTTATACTTTTTTTGTTTTTTTTTGAGATGGACTCTTACTCTGTCGCCCAGGCTGGAGTGCAGTGGTCTCAGCCTCCCAAAATGCTGGAATTACAGGCGTGAGCCACCGCACCCGACCACTCACAAACATTAAGTAAACAGCATTTACAGATTGCACATGGCAAGCTGTGAGCCTATTTTTCGGTTTCCATGGCCATATCAGGATTGCAGCATCCCTCATATTTAATAAGATACCATGTGACCTGCGTGACGGCAAGATGTATCCGTAGGATTTGTGCACTTTTCTGTTTGTCTGCTAAGGTTACATTAAAATAAAACAAAACAAAAGATATCCAACAGATGAAACCAGTTATGCATGACTATAGACCTATTAGTCATGAATTCATTGTCATGAGGTTTTATTCAAGAGAATGAAGGGCAATTTTGGGTTGCATGATCTTGAAGAAAGACCCAGATACTAGCTGTCTATATTTCAGCCTAGAAATTGTTTTGAACAGTAGGCCAGTGCCAAGAAGAAGGATCCTTGGCCAAGCACGTTGGGGCACACCTGTGGTCCCAGTACTTTGGGAGGCTGAGGCAGGAAGATTGTTTGAGCTCAAGAGTTGGAGACCAGCCTGGGCAACATAGTGAGACTTCATCTCTACTACAAATTAAAAAAAAATTAGCTGGGTTTAGTGACACACACCTGTAGTCCCAGCTACTCAGAAGGCTGAGGCAGGAGGATCGCTTGAGTCTGGGTGAATCGAGACTGCAGTGAGCTATGATTGTGCCACTGCACTCCAGCCTGGGTGACAGAGCAAGACACTGTCTTAATTAATTAATTGATATAAAATTTCCTACATTCTATTATAATGATTCCGTACAATTAGAGAGCTGTAAATACTTAATTTAGACCTACCAGTAAAACAGTAATGTTTATGTAGAGGAGGAAAGATCATTTTCTATTTTTCACAGTTCTTAACTGGAACTGAGAAAAGAACTTTTATGTGATGTGTGTGAGCCTTTTAAATTAGCATCCCCAGGCTGGGCGTGGTGGCTCAGGCCTGTAATTCCAGCACTTTGGGAGGCCTAGGCAGGCGAATCACTTGAGCCCAGGAGTTCAAGACCAGCATGGCCAACATGGCAAAACTCTACCTCTACTAAAAATACCAAAAATTACCTGAGCGTGGTGGCGGGTGCCTGTAATCCCAGCTACTCTGGAGGCTGAGGCATGAGAATTGCTTGAACCCAGGAGGCAGAGGTTGCAGGGAGCTCAGATTGCACCACTGCACTCCAGCTTGGGCAACAGGGCGAGACTTTGTCTCAGGAAAAAAAAAAAAAGAAATTATTCAGCCCCAGAGAGGCATAAAAATGAGCCAGCAATCATGTCCTGCTCCCCATTGAGCTATGTGTTCATCTACTGAAACTACTTGCTAGTGCCACAAGTAGCTATGAATTAACCTAAGAATGGTGCACTGCACACTATGACACATACCCTATACCTTATAACAATATACAGCCAATCACAAATCAGTGCTATTTCTGTAAACAATGAGAATTCTGGACAAGGAACTTTGTATTCCCCTTTTATTGCCTTTAAAAACCCACTTGTAGCCAAGACCAAATGGAGCGCCTATTCGAGGTGGCTTGGGTCTTAGTCTTCCAGGCAGTTGTCCTCACGTTGGCTCAAGTAGACTCTAAATTATATTTTGTGTCTCAACCCCTTCCTTTTAGGTGGACAGGACAGACCCATGTAACAAAAGACAGATTAACAAGAGAAAAAGAAGCAGATATTTAATTACTTGTGTGCCTCATGTGTATATGGGAGATACCTAAAAAATGAGTAAATCTCAGGTGTGAGCCACTGCATCCAGCCACTTTTTAAATTGTAAACATACTGTACACTGGGAAGTACTGGTTTAAGTCAATGGTATGAATTCAGTTGCCAGGATGAAATTTACCATTCTGAGGATAGCTTAGGATGAAATTAACCATTCTGAGGATAGCTTAGTCAAACCCTCATGTATCATTTGATTTTTAAAAATCACTGCTGATTCCGGGGTGACATGGTCAAACAAGATGTGGTATGCCTTATTGTGTGCTTGCTGCTAAGGCCCTTTAGCTTTTGGAGAATGAGGGGTCCTTATGATCAGTGTGCTGACAGCAATCACATTCTACACATTCTACTCCCCGCTGTTGAGCTATGTGTTCATCTCTTGAACCTGTTTGCTATTACCACAGGTAGCTATAAATTAACACAACAATGCTATAACAGACACTATAACCCACACTCTCAGCTTAACGATGTATAGCCAATCAATAACTGATGTTGTTTTAATATAAATTCTTGGTAAACAACTCAGAAACTGCCTCTTGCCTCCCACAAAAATCCACTTGTAATTGCCGCTAAGCAGGGTATATATTTAGGGCAACTTGAATCTGTGTTCCTGGGTTGCAATCCTCAAGCGTGACTCAAAGAAACATTTTACTTGTACTAACTTTGCCTCAGCTTCTTGCTTTTAGGTTGACACCATAAGGCCAGGTGGCTTTTTGAGCCAGGTACCAAGTCAATTCTTCCAAAAGGCTTTATTGGTTCCTTAAAGTCCTCCTTAGTTCCCAAAAACAGTCAGGTCATATCTGATTCTGTGCATGTTCTTCTCATGTATGGCTCAGTGAAATAATTGGTAATATCACCAATGTTTCCAGTTGAGTTCTGTCATACAGAGAACAGATTCTCATTGAACCTATGCAAAAAACTACATTGCCATGAAAATAAGAATGCTTCGTAAAAGTTCTGAATTCCAGATGGAACAGGTAGGGAGAAAAAAATAAATACTTCAATTCTGTTTACAAACGTATAATTTACCAGATTGCTGTAAATTATAGTTAGCTTAAGAAAAAGAGAAAAAACGTTTCCTTAAATCAGCAAAAACAAAACATTTAAAAAAAGCAGTGTTCAAACAAGGAGTCATAAAAATTATAATCAGCCTCCTCAGTTTATTTAGTCCCAGGTAATTAATTCTTGTTCTGCTTGATCTTAGTTCAGTTTCATTATTAGAATTCTGGAAATTCCTACCCAATCCAGTAAGATGATCTTAAAGTTATTATATCAGAAACTTATACTTGTCAGAGTTGTCATCATGCATTTCCTTGGAGACAAAGCTCTTTCAGGTTATAGTTGCTTACAAAAGCTTTCAGGAAAGGATCAGAGTGTTAGTGGCGGCAAATCCATGCCCGTCTGCAGCAACCTCAGTTCTTGCCTCCTCAGAAGAAAGAATTTGACTGAGGGGCATAAGGCAGAAGAAGAGACCAAGGCAAGTTTCAGAGCAGGAGTGAACGTTTATTAAAAAGCTTTAGAGCAGTAATGAAAAGAAAGTAAAGTACACTTGGAAGAGAGCCAGGTGGACATCTTGGAGGTCCAGCAGGGGGTCTGACCTTTTTATCTTTTTATTTTTTATATAAGATGGAGTTTTCACTCTTGTTGACCAGGGTGGAGTGCAATGGCTTGATCTCGGCTCACTGCAGCCTCTGCCTCCTGGGTTCAAGCGATTCTCCTGCCTAAGCCTCCTAAGTGAGTAGCGGGGATTACAGGTGTACACCACCAAGCACGGCTAATTTTGTATTTTTAGTAGAGACAAGATTTCACCAAGTTGGCCAGGCTGGTCTCAAGCTTCTGACCTCAAGTGATCTGCCTGCCTCGGCCTCCCAAAGTGCTAGGATTATAGGTGTGAGCCACTGTGCCCAGCCAGGTTTGACCTTTTGACTTGGGGCTTTATATGTCGGCTTACTTCCAGCATCTTGCATTCCTTTTCTGGTGGAATACCCCAGAAAGGTCATATACCAGTTAAACTCCGCCATTTTGCCTCTTAATGTGCATGCTTGAGCTCACTTGCCCAACTCCTGAGATCTTATCAGGAAGATGCTGATCACCAGTTTCAGGGGTTTTTTTTATCTATAGGGAGACTGCCTTTCCCTGGCAGTGGTTAGGACCAGTTGTTATTTTAGAGAGGCAGTGTGACAGCTGCCTGACTGTAACTACCCAAGGGGTTCACCTTGCTCGCCTCCTAGAAAGAGCCAATTCATCAAGACAGGGGAATTGCAATAAAGACTAATTAATGCAGAGCTGGCTGTGCAGGAGACCAGTTTTATTATTACTCAAATCAGTCTCTCCCAGCAGTCGGGAGCAGAGTTTTTAAGGACAACTTCGTGGGTTGGGGGAAGCCAGTGAGCTAGAAGAGCTGATTGGTCAGGGATGAAATCACAGGGAGTCGGAGCTGTCTTCTTGCTCTGAGTCAGTTCCTAGGTGGGGGCTGCAAGATAAGATGAGTCAGTTTATTGATCTGGGTGGTGCCAGCTGATCCATCAAGTGCAGGGTCTGCAAAATATCTCAAGCACTGATCTTAGGAGCCATTTAGGGAGGGTCAGAATCTTGTAGCCTCCAGCTGCATGACTCCTAAACCATAATTTCTAATCTTGTGGCTAATGTCAGTCCTACAAAGGCAATGTAGTTCCCAGGCAAGAAGGAGGTCTGCTTTGGGAAAGGGCTGCTATCGTCTTTGTTTTAAACCATAAACTGAGTTTCTCCCAAAGTTAGTTCAACCTACGCCCAGGAATGAACAAGGACAGCTTGGAGGTTAGAAGCAAGATGGAGTCAGTTAAGTTAGACCTCTTTCACTGTCTCAGTGCCTTTTGCAAAGGCAGTTTCATGACCATCACCTGATGTTCGCCTGACTTTCCTGGTGAGGCATGAGGCCCTCTCCTGCCCTGTTCCTGCCTGACGAGCTTCCCACTGTAACAAAAATAAAACAATTAACTGTGGATGACAAAATTCTTAAAATGGTCATGATAAAAGATTTTATGAGAGTTCATTATAATGTAATTGACAAGAAAATGTGATTATTTCTGTGATACACAACATTTTAAGACAATAATGAAATCACCTTTGCAAAATTAAGACAGGAAGATAAATCTGATGTGTCTGACTGCATTTGCCTGTAGCCTCACAGGTTGGCTGTCTGGGCATGGACCAAGCTAACTTTGGGAGAAATTTATTTTATACTTTATTTATTTTATTTTATTCTATTTTATTTTATATTTTGAGATGGAGTCTCACTCTGTCACCCAGGCTGGAGTGCAGTGGTGCAATCTTGGCTCACTGCAACCTCCACCTCCCAAGTTCAAGCAATTTTCGTGCCTCAGCCTCCCAAGTACCTGAGATTACAGGTGTCCACCATCACGCCTGACTAATTTTTGTACTTTCAATAGAGATGGCATTTCACCATGTTGGTGAGGCTGGTCTCGAACTCCTGACCTCAGGTGATCTGCCCGCCTTGGCCTCCCAAAGTGCTGGGATTACAGGCGTGAGCAACTGCGCTGGCCTATTTTATAGTTTAAATGATAATAGTCCTTCCCCAAAATTAAACTGTTATAAAACTAATGAAAGGCCACCAAGTTAAGAGAAAGAAAATGGTTCAAATTCTAAATAATTACCTGCCATTATTCCAGAGGTCATAAGATTTGCAACTTCTCCAATTACTTGTGAAGATAACATCACTACTCTAGAACCTAACATTGGCCTTTTGATGTCAATTTTTTTTCTTTTTTTTTTCTAACTCTTTTTACTGTGGATTTTTCTTTTTTCTTTTCTTTTATTTTCTTTTTTTTTTTTTTTTTGAGACAGAGTCTCCCTCTGTCACCCACGCTGGAGTGCAGTGGCACAATCTCAGCTCACAGCAACCTCTGCTTTCCAGGTTCAAGTGATTCTCGTGCCTCAGCCTCCCAAGTAGCTGGGATTACAGGTGTACACCACCACGCCCAGCTAATTTTTTGTATTTTTACTAGAGTCAGGGTTTCTCTATGTTGACCAGGTGGTCTCAAACTCCTGGCCTCAAGTGATCTGCCCACCTTGGTCTCCCATATTGCTGAGATTACAGGCATGAGCCACCGCACATGGCCTGATTGTCCTTTTGAGATGGCTTTTCAAGTTTTTGCATTTCTAACAACCAGATGGCCCCACCCAGGAACTGACACAGCATAAGAGGACAGCTTCGATTTCCCGTGATTTCATCTCCAACCCAATCAATCAGCATTCCCCCTACTTTACCGGCCTGCCCACGAAACTATCTTTGAAAACCTCCTAACCTCCAAGCCTCTGGGGAGATTGATTTGAGTAATAACTTCATCTCCCACGTGGCATGGCCAGCGTCATGTCAATTAAACCGTCTTTACTGCAATGCCATGGTCTGAGTGAGTTGATTTTGTTTGTGCAGTGGGCAGTAAGAACCAATTGGCTCAGCCTGGCCAACATGGTTAGACCCCATCTCCACTAAAAATACAAAAATTAGCTAGGCATGGTGGCGGGCACCTGTTGAGGCAGGAGGATTGCTTGAACCGGGTGGGGGTTGGGGGGCGGAGGTTGCAGTCAGCTGAGATCACACAACTGCCCTCCAGCCTGGTGACAGAGTGAGACTCCATCTCAAAAAACAACAACAACAAAAAACAAAAAACTAGAATTATGACTGATAACATTATACAAGGACATGTCATGGAACATTCATATTAATAACATATATCCATACAAAGGAAACTTTTAAAAGATTAAGCATCACTTCTCTCTTTTTTTTTTTTAATATTTAGAGATGGGGTCTTGCCATGTTGCACAGGCTGGTCTTGAACTCCTGGCCTCCAGCAATCCACCCACCTTGACCTCCCAAAATGCTGGGATTCCAGGTGTGAGCCACTGTGCCTGGCTACTTCTTTTTCAGCCATGCTTCCTATGTAATTTAACATATCAAATAAGCCTAATTAGTTTAATATCTCTCTGTAAAATCTCAAAGTGAGGTCTAGGTCAAAAAGACTTCATTTAGATTTTGATTTGGGAAAGTTGTCGAAACTGTCAAAACATTTAAAACTCTTGATTAAAATAAATCACAGGGGCTGGGCGCAGTGTCTCATGTCTGTAATCCTTGCACTTTGGAAGGCCGAGGCGGGTGGATCACCTGAGGTTGGAGTTTGAGACCAGCCTGACCAACATGGAGAAACCTCGTCTCTACTAAAAATTAGCCGGGCGTGGTGACGCATGCCTGTAATCCCAGCTACTTGGGAGGCTGAGACAGGAGAATTGCTTGCACCCAGAAGGCAGAGGTTGCGGTGAGCTAAGATTGTGCCATTGCACTCCAGCCTGGGCAAAAAGAGTGAAACTCCATCACACACACAAAGAAATCATAGGTCACTGTGAAACAATACTTAGTTATCCATATAACCAAAGTGAAAAAAATTTCAAGAGCAAATACAAAAACTAACATAGCCTTTTAAAAATATTTCAAAATTTTAATTTAAAATATTTTTTAAATTAGAGACAAGGTCTCACCATGTTGCCCAGGCCGGTCTTGAGCTCTTGAGTTCAAGTAATCCTTCCACCTCGGCCTCCTAAAGTGCTGAGATTATAGGCATGAACCACCACACCCGGCCAATGTAGTTGTTTTTTTAAAAAACACCCCAAATCTTATCTCTTTTACGAGAGAAGGCTCAGTTTTTTTTTTTTGTTTGTTTGTTTTTGAGATGGAGTCTCACTGTTGCCCAGGCTGGAGTGGAGTGGTACAATCTCGGCTTGCTGCAATCTCCGCCTCCCGGGTTCAAGCGATCCTCCTGCCTTAGCCTCCCGAGTAGCTGGGATTACAGGTGCCCATCACCATGCCCAGCTAATTTTTGTATTTTTAGTAGAGACTGGGTTTCATCATGTTAGCCAGACTGGTCTTGAACTCCTGATCTCAGGTGATCCTCCTGCCTTGGCCTCCCAAAGTGCTGGGATTCCAGGCATGACCACCATGCCCGGCCTAGTCTTATGATCTCTATTTTAACATTAATACTTATCAGTTGTTGCATCTAAACTCTGAAAGGGAGGGGTATAATGGGGCATATCTGACCTCCTTTCCCGTAATGCCTGGGAATTCAGTTTTTAAGGTGTTTCTAGGGTTCCCTTGGTCAAGAGGGGGGCCCTTTCAGTTGATGTGGGCCTTAGGATCTTATTTTTAGTTTATACCTTGCCAAACGTCGAAGAAAAAATTCTGGACTGACACCCACCCCTACCAGTAAAGGCCAAGTGGGGGACTCTCTCCCTCCCCAGGCTACAATGAGGGGGATCTGCTCCTCTCTTCTGGGGGTTGCAGAAGAGCCTGGTGAAGAATAAGGACTGGCCAGGTGCAGTAGCTCACACCTGTAACCCAGCACTTTGGGAGGCCAAGACAGGAGGATTGCTTGAATCCAGAAGTTCAACATCATCTTGGGCAACAGAGTAAGACCCCCTCTCCACAAAAAATCAACAAAATTAGCTGGGTGTGGTAGTGCATGCCTATAGTCCCAGCTACTCCAGAGGCTGAGGTGGGAGGACCACTTGAGCCCAGGAGGTCAAGGTTGCAGTTAGCTGAGATGGTACCACTGCACTCCAGCCTGGGCAACAGAGCAAGGCCCTCTCTCAAAAAAAAAAAAAAAAAAAAAAAAAAAAAAGGACTTTCACCAAGACCAGGGGTAACAAGGCTACCCCACAACTCAGTATCAGTAAAGAACAAATGGGGAGCAGTAACTAGGAATTCCGATCCCTGCCAGCCAGAGAAATGTTAGTGGAAACCATTGTCCCTGCCTAGCAGTAATGAGTCCCTACCCTTGAGAACCAACATTGGCTGAGTGGGGAGCGTGTGAAATCATCTTTGCAAAAATTACGAGAGTGAGAGAAGTCTAGCCTGGCTGGGTCCATCTTGCTTCTAGCCTTACAGGCTGACTGTCCTCACTCATTCCTGAGTGTAAGCCAAGCTAGCCACAGGAGGAATTTAGTTTACACTTTAACTTTGAAGCAAGGATGATAATAGCCCCTCCATAAAACTGACCCCCTCCTTGTTCAGGGACTGAAAGAGCCTTTGAAAGACTAATGAAAGTCCACAAGATGAGGATGATGGGAGGGGCCCAAATTTTGCTAAGATGCAGGTGTAGTTAAATGATAACCAGCCATGGTTCCTTAGGTGGCTTTCCTATAATCCTTTACTGGTTAGGAGTCACGGAGCCAGAGGTCGTTGAGATTTGTGACTTCCCCAATCACTTCTATAGATAACATCCTTGTTGTAGAACCTAAGATTGGTGTTTTGTGATGTTTTTCAGGCTTTTTAATTCTGGGACCAACTGACTCCACCTGGACCCAAGGGTCATGACTCACCCAGTCCTGTGGCCACCATCCAGAGACTTACTTAGCACGAGGGCTCTTTTTCACACCCCTGTGATTTCATCCCCTACCAATCATCAGCACCCATTCCCTAGCCCCTGCTTGCTAAATTATCCATAAAATCCCTAGCCTCTGAATTCTTCAGGAGACTTATTTGAGTAATAAACTCCCATCCTTTTGCTTGGCGAGCTTTGAATTAATTAAACTCTTTCTCTACTGCAACACTGCTGTCTCTGTGAATTGGTTTTTTCTGTGCAGCACACAAGAAGAATCCATCTGGTGATTACACCTGGACCTGTACCCCCATCTGGCTGTGATGAGGTAGCTCCTCCTCCCCTGTCAGAGTGGTATCAGAGGAAGCAAGCTAAAACACATGCTTTAAGTAAGATCCAGAGACTCATAGTCTAATGCCCCAAAAGTCCATGGATCAATCAAAAAACACTCATCACAGTTCCTTTGGCTGGAGGCTTTATGTCAGCAGCCACAGCTACGGGGCCTCTCCTGTGAGCCTGGGGTGACCATCCTCGAAGCCCAACAGCATGGCCCTCATCCCGCTTCCCATCTCCTTCTCGCTCCCTTTAGCCGCCCTCTGGGCCACTGCGTCTGCCATTCCTCAGGTGGCCTGGCCCGACCTGCTTGGCCCCCATCCCCTCCGGTGGGTATCTCTCCCCACCAGCTCAGCCTAATTTAAAGTGTTTTTAAATTGGACCTCCTTTATATTGTATTTAGAATTAGCATCCAAAATTGACAAATTACCAATTTGAGGCCCAACAACAGTGTATTTGTTTCTCCAAAACAAATACTTTCTTTTGAATGGTTTCAAATGAGCCAACCAATTTTTGTAAAAGGCAATTTATATATATATATATATATATTTATTTATTTATTCATTTTTTTTTTTTGAGATGGAGTTTTGCTCTTCTTGCCGAGGCTAGAGTGCAATGGCACGATCTTGGCTCACTGTAACCTCTGCCTCACAGGTTCAAGTGATTCTCCTGCCTCAGCCTCCCAAATAGCTGGGAGTACAGGCACCACCCACAGCTAATTTTTGTATTTGTAGTAGAAAGGAGGTTTTGCCATGTTGGCCAGGCTGGTCTCGAACTCCTGACCTTAGGTGATCCACCTGGCTCAGCCTCCCAAAGTGTTGGGATTATAGGCATGAGCCACCGTGCCTGGCCGTAAAAGGCAATTTTTTAAAACTATAAATACAAGATTGTAAACTGAATGATGATATGTCTTCCAGGAAAAATCTTTTTGAATTTCTGTTTTCCTTTATAACAAACTGATTTTTACATTCCCAAGTCATTTGCACGTTAACAGAATACTTAAATTTGCTTGTTCTGTACATAAACTATGATACAGCCTCTAGACATAAGAAAATTTGAAAAATTAAAGATGGTTGCACAAGATGCTTTCATAATCAAGCATGTGACACCAGATGGCAATTTGTTAGCCAAATGCTGTTTTTTTTTTTTTTGAGGAATCACTTTGGTTTTTTTGTTCCCCTGTTAGTTACAACTTTATTAGAAGTGTTAATTCTAAGCCTGTCTCTTAAGTTTATTTAGAAACAGCAAGTAATTGGGGCCAGGCACAGTGGCTCACACCTGCAATCCCAGCACTTTGGGAGGCCGAGGCGGGCAGATCACGAGGTCAGGAGATCGAGACCATCCTGGCTAACACAGTGAAACCCTGTCTCTACTAAAAATCCAAAAACATTAGCCGGGCATGGTGGTGGACGCCTGTAGTCCCAGCTATTTGGGAGGCTGAGGCAGGAGAATGGTGTGAACCCGGGAGGTAGAGTTTGCAGTGAGCCAAGATCATTCCACTGCACTCCAGCCTGAGCGACAGAGCAAGACTCAGTCTCAAAAAAAAAAAAAAAAAAAAAAAAAAGAGCAAGTAATCTATATTGCCACACACCTTGAAAACAGAATGTGGGCCAGACACTGTGGCTCATGCCTGTAATCCCAGCACTTTGAGAGGCCGAGGTGGGTGGATCACAAGGTCAGGAGTTCGAGGTCAGCCTGGCCAATATGGTGAAACCCAATCTCTACTAAAAATACAAACATTAGCCAGGCATGGTGGCACACACCTTTACTCCCAGCTACCTGGGAGGCTGAGGCAGAAGAATCGCTTGAGCCCTGGAAGCAGAGGTTGCTGTGAGCTGAGATTGCGCCATTGCACTCCAGCCTGGGCAACATAGCAAGACTCCGTCTCAAAAAAAAAATGTGGTACATTTAGGACACCGACAAAATGAATTTTTTCTTGTTCCAATTCAACCTTCTTTTCTGTCTGGCTGTGCTAGGAAAACAGATATTACATGTTCTGTATCATTTTTGCCATTATAGTCAAATGTTAAAAGAAAAAATCAGTTGCTTTTAATCTTTGTTTCCATTGTTTGTCAAGGTTAAATTAAGAAGCTACTGGTTTATTCCCAACAGTTGATGCCTTTAGATATGTTGGAATCTTTTTTTTTTTTTTTTTTTTTTTTTTTTTTTTTTTTTTTTTTGCCTAGGAAGGGCCAGTTGAAAATCTGTGGCCCAGGAGGCAGAGAATGTAATACCATTTTCTGGGGAAAAACTGGTTGGCTACTTGATGTTAATTATGGCACAGTAATAGGAAAAGGTTATTGTCTGTGTCTTTAAGTTTTTCTTTATTCTGCTTTTTTGCTGCTATAAGAGTTTTCTGAAATTTATATTTTAAACTTTTCGTACACTTTACTGCTTCTAGTTTCAAAATGTGACATTCTTAATAAACAAGGAATTTTCCACTAAAAAAATACTAATCACAGCAAGAACCAGGAAGATCTCACACTGAATGAAAAAGACAATCAACAGAGGCCAACGCTGAGATGTTAGAACTATCTGACAAAGATTTTAAAGCAGTCATCCTAAAAATGCTTCAATGAGCAACTAGAAACCTACTGGAAACAAATGAAAAAATAGAAAGCTTCAACCCTTTGTGGTAGAATAGAGTGGAATTGATAGGGACATATCAGCCCACCTGCTTATAAGTAGCAGTGGTAAAAGTCATGTTAATGCTGGCAGGAGAACACAAAGAGAATGGGTAGAACTGGTTAGTATGGAACTCAAGCTTCAGTTAGATGGTCGAACTAATATTAGAGGAGAGAGGTCAGTTAATATGAAAAAGGGTACCCATTTAAAGTAAGCAGATGGCCTGGCGTGGTGGCTCACACCTGTAATCCCAACAGTTTGGGAGGCCGAAGCGGGCGGATCACCTTGAGGTCAGGAGTTTGAAGCTGGCCTGGCCAACATGGTGAAACCCCATCTCTACTAAAAATACAAAATTTATCTGGGCATGTTGGTGCGCGCCTGTAATCTCAGCTACTCAGGAGGCTGAGGCAGGAGAATTGCTTGAACCCAGAAGGCAGAGGTTGCAGTGAGCTGAGATTGCACCACTGCACTCCAGCCTGGGTGACAAAGCAAGACTCCATCTCAAAAATAAATAAATAAATAAATATTTAAAAATAGACATAAGTAAATAAATAAATACAGTAAGCAGATTATAGCATCATCCCTGTGGTTGGGATAAAGATTCCTAGCATTGAAAAATGGATTTTGAATAGAACTAATATCGTGGGGTTTAGATGCTGTTATTAGCAGAGCTCACCTTATAGCAGTATTTTACACTAAAAATAATAAGGAAATTAGAGATATTAAGGTGGATGTTGTCAAGTGGATGTATCAAGGAAGTAGGGTCTCTATAACCCATAATTAAGGTATAATGAGAATTCTATATATGTGGTTGGTATATTAATTGTAGCTGAGTTCTGTAGAGAGTGGGGAGTGTACTGGTCCATGCTATCTTCTGCCACCCTGTACAGCAACGTCCTCCATTTGGCCTGGTCGCTAGTCATTGACCTCACTTGCTGCAGCATCTGCGGCTGATGCCTACAGTCCTTCCCCGGCCTCTGGCTTGTATAGCCAGGGCCACCTCTGCCAAGTGTCCCCTCATGCATGCTGAGAAGTCACTGCTGGTGCTCTGAGCCTCCCCCAGTCCCTTCTGATGCTCTACAGGGAGCTGAGGGACACTGGCTCTGGCCATACCCAGTGCGATTTCCACATGATGGCTGCAGGACCGGACTTTGTAGTAATGAGCAGGCCACTCAACGAAGGCCCAGATCATAACCAAAATGCAGGGTCTGTCAGTTGCTACTTGCAGAATCCAATTCACAAGCGCGAGTTCTGGTATAAAGTGGCTTTTATTCCAAAGCCAGCTTAGGGGAAGAAGCATAGGCTTCCTGGCTTAAGGGTACGGCTTTGCTCTCGGAGTAGAAAGTGGGCACTTTTAAAAGGCAGGGGAGGAGGTGAGCAGGTTGGGGGTGGTCCTCGTGCCAGCTTAGTGTCTTACCTACTGGGCGGTTGGACTGGCATTTTCATGGCAGAAATGGGTTGTAAAAGTGGCCTAAAACTCTCCAGGTGGGGAGAGAGTTTTGTAGTGGGACTTTGGATTGTAAATTGACTGTTATCTCTCCATGCAGCCTCCTGGTGGGTGAGCGTTCTGCTCTGGAGCATCTAAGCACAGAGTTAGATGAATTTGTAAGAAATATCTGATGAAGAGGAGGTAATAGACTATTATTGCATTTCTAAAGAGCTAAAGTAAGAAGTGGGGAAAAGGAGGAAAAAGAAGAAAGAGAAAAAAATAATTAAACTATTTCTTAGAAAAATTGGGGTACTTGGTTACAGATCTGTGTTCTCAGAACCCCAGAACATCTCTGGAGGTTTTATGTCCCACCACTTCCCTGAGTTTTGGTTAGGATTAATCATAATCTCAACTATTAATTGACATCATGGACAGTAGAAGAATAACTAGTGTAACTTCACGTGAAATTTTTGGTGCTACTGCTTATAGCACTCCATAAAGCCACTTCGGTTTGAAGTTTGGTCAGATGGTAGAATTGAGTTTAATTTAGACGGACAGTACTCACAGGAACCCAGTTTGTAACCGGTAGTGAGTAAGGTCATGTTGTTCAGAACATTAAAATAAGGATAAACAGTTCTGGATTCTGGGTTAATCATTTTAAGAGTCTATGTATTTGGATAAGTTCATTTATTGGGTCGCACAATATTTGAGGTTTTGCAATTGCACATGGTCTAGAATTTTGTTCATACTGGAAAAATTAGAATATAGGTAGAAACTGGCTGAACTCAGATGATGTAGGATCACCTAAGCAGATGTGGATTAATCTACTGCTGCCCCATTAGGGAATTCTAATCTAACTCCAAGCCTGTATGCCCGATTGTCTATACAAACTGCAAAACAAGTTCCTATTATCCTTGGGATAACTGTTTCTGGAAACTAAGCTTTGGTTCCCTCAATTATATTTATGAAAATGTTTCACAAAATGTATTCCTTATTTTATTTGGAAGTTTTGCCATGCTTTGAGGTCATCCACCCAAAATGAGGAAACCCAGGCCCATGTGTTTGTCACATGGATCAGGTAATTTTATTTGAATGGATTAATTATTTTTAAATCTTCAGAGTCTTCCAGTCTTACTTGACACAGGGTAGTCAGTTATCCTATTTGGGAGAAGAAGATCTTGGAACAGAGCCCATTCCGTTTCCCCTTTAGAAAATAAGGGAGGGGGCTTCCCGGGCAGTTCCAGCACTGTGTCATTGGTGGAGATGGTTAACAGACAGACACATACGGAGCTATTGGTTATATTTTGGGTAAACAGACCTGATTTAAGTATGCCACATTCCTTTTACTTCTTTTAATCTTCCTTAAGGTATTCCTGTGCTGATTAATAATAATTTGAAAAAGCAATTGAATTTTTTTTTAATTTTTAGAGATGGGATCTTGCTCTATCACCAAGGCTGGAGTGCAGTGGTGCTCACTGCAGCCTTGACCTCCTGGGCCTAAGTGATCCTTCTGATTCAGCCTCCCAATTAGAGTTTCATTTTATATGTGAAATTGTTAGTTATAAATGGATTAGCTACATTGGGCTGCCGCCTATAATTGGGTCAGGGTTTGGAAAGACCCAATGTCCAAACTGACCACACACAAAAGTGCTATTTCCTATGCCCTACCAGGCTGAACTGCACTTCAGTGCTAGCTCTGTGCTCTAGTTTATAACCTATGGAAAAAGCTCTTCTGTGGCATTTGAGAGACTAGTCTGAGAGCATGTAGTTGCCAAATGATTTACTTTCCAAGGGCTTTTGGGCCCTTTCTTTAGAAATTCTAGTTTGGGCCGGGCGTGGTGGTTTACACCTGTAATCCCAGCACTTTGGGAGGCCAAGGCAGGAGGATCACGAGGTCAGGAGATTGAGACCATCCTGGTCAACATGGTGAAACCCCGTCTCTACTAAAATACAAAAAAAAAAAAATTAGCCAGGCGTGGTGGCACGTGCCTGCAGTCCCAGCTACTCAGGAGGCTGAGGCAGGGGAATCGCTTGAACCCAGGAGGTGGAGGTTGCAGTTAGCTGAGATCGCACCACTGCACTCCAACCTGGCGACAGAGCAAGACTCCATCTCAAAAATAAAATTTAAAAAATAATAATAATAAAAGAAATTCTAGTTTGATGATTCTTTACGTGTTGGGAATACCTCACCCCCATGTCTCCAATGACACCATGAGTTTACAACTTCTGGTGTGATGGAAGCAGAAAATGGGTCAGGACGCCTCAGTCCCTCAGTTCTGCAAACTGATTGTGTTCACAAAGGCTGATTGACAGGCCCCAGGCCATCTGCCAGCAGCTCCCAGGGAGCCACACAGAAATGTGTTGGAGAAGCCTTTGAGCGGTGGAGAATCACACAGCCAGGCAGAGTAACGCAGGTTCTGTCTGAACACACTTGGCATGCATTTGACAGCAAGATAAAGGAAGAGTGAAATCCTGTCTCGAGGGGCTCATTGTTTCATCGTTCTGTAATCATTATAGAATCAAGTACTCTAAAGCTCAGAAAGGAAAGACAGCCCTTAGTTTACAAGACCTGAGAGCCCTTACCCGGAAAATGTACTGAAAAGATAAACATTTTGGAAAGCAGTTGGGCAAGAACTATTACAATATTTATATCTGCTTACTTTCTGAAGCAGCCATTTCACCTCCAGGAACTTCTCTGAAACTCTTGACATATAAAAGGATGTTTACTGCAGATACACGTAAAAGGATGTTTATTGCAGCATTTTACAGTAGCCAAAATTGGAAACAATCATAAACAGGGAAGTGGTTAATTAAGAAGTGATACATCAATCCAATGGAATATGATCCTGCTGTTAAAAAGAATAAGATCTGATGCAGAGATATTTTCTTTTATGCTTGTTTTGTTTTTTGTTTCGAGACAGGATCTTGCTCTGTCACCCAGGCTAGAGCGCAGTGGCACAGTCACAGCTCACTGCAGCGTCAACCTCCCAGGCTCAGGCAATCCTCCCGCCTCAACCTCCTGAGCAGCTGGGACTGCAGGGGCATGCCACCATGCCGGGCTAATTTTTGTAGAGTCAGGGTCTCACTATGTTGTCCAGGGTGGTCTCAAACTCCTGAGCTCAAGCGATCCACCCCACTTGGCCTCCCAAAATGTTGGAATTACAGGTGTAAGCCACAGTGCCCAGCCCAGATATAGTTTCAAGATATAGTACTAAGTAAAAAAAAATTGCAGAAAAGTTTATCTCTGTGAGTGACTTTGTCAGAGTTTCACTTTCTATAATATGTTTCTCTATTGCTCTGGTTCCCTTCTCCCCAAAATACATTGTTTTGCACTTTAAAAATATCAAAATGGGAAAGATATGTGTAATAAAACTTATATGTCAGGATCCAGTGAGATGTAGCAGGCCCCTAGCACAGTCAGGCATCAAGTGATGCTCACTAAATCTTAGCTCTACGATATCAGTAAACATCTATGTGCAATGGATACCTTCTTGATCTTGTTGCATAAAACTGCAGAATCTCAGAGAGAAGGGTTAGGAGAAAACAGCTTCTTAAGCAGCTTTTCTACCCTTTGACTATCCCTACATGGCAATTTCAAGTTTTCTAAGGAAGTTGGGACTGGTTTCTTATAGCAGCAGTCCCTAAACTTTTCGGCACCAGGGACCGGTTTCGTGGGAGACAATTTTTCCACGGACCTGGGGTTGGGGTGGGAGTGAGGGGGAATGGTTTTGGGATGAAATTGTTCCACCTCAGATCATCAGGCATTAGTTAGATTATCATAGGGAGCAGACAACCTAGATCCCTCACATGCATAGTTCACAACAGGGTTCCTGCTCCTAGGAGAATCTGAGGCCGCCACTGATCTGACAGGAAGCGGAGCTCAGGCAGCCTAGTGAAGCTATGAGAAGACGGCCACCATCCTTCAGACCCCAAAATGGTAGATCCACCGACAGCTTGCATCGTGTGCCTGTAAAAGCCACAGACAACGCCACAAACACTCAATGCCTGCTTGTGAAAGCAGCTGGCAGTCGGAGGGGGTGGGCTGTACCCTGCAAAGCCACAGGGGTGGAGCTGCCCAAGGCCATGCATCAGCGTGTTTTGGATGTGAGACATGGAGTCAAAGAAGATTATTTTGGAGCTTTAAGATTTAATGACTGCCCTGCTGGATTTCGGACTTGCATAGGACCAGTGGCCCCTTGGTTTTGGCCAATTTCTCCTATTTGGAATGGGAGCATTTGCCCAATGCCTGTACCTCATTGTATCTAGGAAGTAACTAACTTGCTTTTGATTTTACTGGCTCATAGGCAGAAGGGACTTGCCTAATCTCAGATGAGACTTTGGACTGAAACTTTTGGGTTAATACTGGAATGAATTAAGACTCTGAGGGAAGACATGATTGGTTTTGAAACGTGAAAGGGCCATGAGATTTGGGAGGGGCCGGAGCAGAATGATATGGTTAGGCTTTGTGTACCCACCCAAATCTCATCTTGAATTGTAATCCTCAGGTGTTGAGGGAGAGACCTGGTGGGAGGTGATTGGATCATGGGGGCAGTTTCCTCATGCTGTTCCCATGATAGTGAGGGAGTTCTCGTGAGATCTGATTGTTTTATAAGTGACAATTTCCTCTGGGCTTTTCTCTATCTTTCCTGCTGCCTTGTGAAGAAAGTGCCTGCGCTGGGTGCAGTGGCTCACACCTATAATCTCAGCACTTTGGGAGGCTAAGGCGGGTGGATCACAAGGTCAGGAGCTCAGGACCAGCCTGGCCAACATGGTGAAACCCTGTCTCTACTAAAAATACAAAAATTAACTGGGCACAGTAGTGGGCGCCTCTAATCCCAGCTACTCAGGAGGCTGAGGCAGAAGAATTGCTTGAACCTGGGAGGCGGAGGTTGTAGTGAGCTGAGATCTCACCGCTACACTCCAGCCTGGGCGACAGAGCAAGACTCCGTCTCGGAAAAAAAAAAAAAAAGAAAGTGTCTTCTTCTCCTTCCACCAGTAAGTTTCCCGAGGCCTCCCCAGCTATGTGGAACTGTGAATCAATTAAACCTCCTTCATTTACAAATTACTATCTCAGGTATATCTCACACTTTATAGCAGTGTGAAAACGGACTAATATAGGTGGTAATGCTCGCTTGCCCACCACTCACCTCCTGGTGTACAGCCTGATTCCTAACAGGCCACAGACCGGGACCTGTCTTCGGCTCTTGGTTTGGAGACCCCTGTCTTAGAGTATTGATACTACCATTTGTTGTTCTGGCCATTTTTGCCAAGCAGCTGTACAGTGCATATCAATTGCTGGTGATGTAGAAAGGTAGATGTTTTCCAGGAAGCATTGATCTTTACCTTAGAGCCCAATGTTACTGCTCTTTTTACAGAGAGTTTTGATTTTCACAAACATTTTCCATAATGCAATTTGACTTTAATTGGGTGGGTATGCCTTTTTTTAAGAGACCCAAATAGCCGGCTGCAGTGGCTCATGTCTGTAATCCCAGCACTTTGGGAGGCCAAGGCAGGCGGATCATGAGGTCAGGAGTTCGAGGCCAGCCTGGCCAACATGGTGAAACCCTGTCTCTACTGAAAATACAAAAAGTGGCCAGGTGTGGTGACAGGCACCTGTAGTCCCAGCCATTTGGGAGGCTGAAGCAGAAATCAATTGAACCCAGGAGGCGGAGGTTACAGTGAGCTGAGATCGTGCCCCTGTACTCCAGCCTGGCAACAGAGGCTCTACCAAAAAAAAAAAAAAAAACAAATATCCCCTCCAAATTTGCATCACAAAACAGATAAACAAAGGTGTAAATTTTACTATTGCAAAAGGACTCTGCTTCACTGGAAGTTCTTTCAAGCATTCTTTTACACTGGTTCATTTGAAAAGGGATTCACTTTATAAAAATTTGACAATACAACTTTTATTAAACATTTCTTTCACAGAACGAGATTTTTTTATTGGGCCGGGTGCAGTAGCTCACACCTGCAATCCCAGCACTTTGGGAAACCAAGACAGGAGGATCACTTGAGCCCAGGAGTTTGAGACCAGCCTGAGCAATACAGGGGACCCCATCTCTACAAAAAAACTGAAAAATTGGCCAGGTATGATGGCACGTGCCTGTGGTCCCAGTTTCTTGAGAGGCCGAGGTGGGAGGGTTGCATGAGCCTGGGAGGTCAAGGCTGCAGTCCGCTGTGTTTGTGCCACTGCACTCCAGCCTGGGCGACAGAGCAGGCCCCTGTTTCAAAAAAAAAGACAAAATATCCCTATAATTTATATATGCATGTATATATATGTGTGTGTGTGTGTGTGTGTGTGTGTACATATATATATATGTTTTTTTATTAACTGGGACTAAGACTAACAAGACCAATAAACTACAAGACTTTTGATTCTACCAGGGGAAACCTGATGGACTTTCTGAGTCTTAGGATGACATGAGAACCTACAAAGCTCTACTAGAAGGCCATGCATTCAAAAAGGCCCTGGAGAGAAATGCAGAGGCTAGTGCAGATCTCAGGGTTGCACTTAACATCCCTGTGGCCAGGGACAAGTTGCTTCACCGCTGTTCCATTTCCTCATTTGCAATCATGGAAGAAGGATTTTACTCACTGAATTATTTTGAGGATTAAAGAAAACATGTATTATTCTCCAGATGTTAAGACATTATGGGATGGGCACGGTAGCTCACACCTGTCATCCTGGCACTTTGGGAGGTGGAGGTAGGAGGATCACTTGAGCTCAGGAGTTCGAGACCAGCTTGAGCAACACAGTGAAACCTCGTCTTCACTAAAAATAAAAAAAAAAAATTCAGCTGGGTGTGGTGGTGTAACTGCCCAGTGAATTCTTGTCCACTGCCCAGATAGAGCCAATTTATCAAGGCAGGGGAATTGCAGTGGAGAAAGAGTTTAATTCACATAGAGCTGGCCGAATGAAAAACTAGAGGTTTTTGTTTGTTTGTTTGTTTGTTTTTATTACTCAAATAAGTCTCCTAGGGCATTTGGGGGCTAGGGTTTTTCAAAGGTAGTTTGGGGAAAGGGGTTGGGGTGACTAGGTAATGATTGCTTGCTGCTGGTTGGTTGGTAATGCAATCACAGGGGTGTGGGAAATAGTCCTCCTGGGCACTGAGTCACTTCTGGGTGGGGCCACGGGAGTAGTTGGTGGATCCAGGTGGAGCCATCGGTATCAGACATACAAAAAAACCTGAAAAGACATCTCAAAAGGCCAATCATTGGTTCTATGTTAGTGATGTTATCTGCAGGGGTAATTGGGGGAAGTTGCATATTTTGTGACCTTCAGAATAATGGCTGCCAATCATTTACATCTACACCCTAGCAGAATTCAGGATCTTCTATCCTCCTAGCCTGGTGCTCCCTCATTAGGATTATAAAGGCAGCTGAGTTTGGGGAAGGGCTACTATCGTTTAAACTATAAACTAAATGTCTCCCAAAGTTATCTTGGCCTAAGCCCAGGAATAATTAAGGGCAGCCAGAAGGCCAAAGACAGGGCCGGGAGGGGTGAGGAGGTGGGGGCAGGGAACGGTGGTGATGGGGCTTGGCAAGATCAGATCTTTCCCACTGCCATCATTTTCCCACTGATATACTTTTTGTAAAGGTGGTTTCAGTGGTGTGTGTCTGTAATTCCAGCTACTCAGGAGGCTGAGGCAGAAGGATTGCTAGAACCTGGAGGATCAAGGCTGCAGTGAGCTATGATCACACCACTGTACTCCAGCCTGGGCAACAGAGTGAGACCCTGTCTCACAAACAAACAAAAAAACATATTATGAAGTTATAGTAATTAAAATAGCTCCTAGAGAAACAAATGGAGGGCTGCACGCAGTGGCTCACACCTGTAATCCCAGCACTTTGCCCAGCACTTTGGGAGGCCAAGGTGGGCAGATCACTTGAGGTCAGGAGCTCGAGACCAGCCTGGCCAACGAGACCAGCCTGGCCAACATGGTGAAACCCCACCTCTACTGCTAGAAATACCAAAAGTGTTAGAAATAGATCATCGGTGCCACGAACAAAAGAAAGCACAGAGACAAAAGATCTCTCAGCAAGGCCATCTTTACTTTCTGCAGAAAGGGTGCTCACTCACAGATGGAACAATGGCGAGAGCACACTTGAACAAAGGAAAAGCAGACATAGTTATCCCTTAAGCATTTGGGTCGTCTCTACTGCTGTATCCTGCATCCATTGGCTGGAGCAGGACCTCACAATCTTAAACTGATACCTGATTTGCTAATAGCCTAAAACTTTCCTCAATAGGTTAGTGCAGGGAAGAACAAAGAAGTTGCTTACGGAAGGTTTAAGGAAGCAATAACATGTCCATATAAGGAAGGGGCATAGGCTGTGAGCTGGAACGTGCCTGTGAGCATGTCCAACAGTTACATAGGATAGGGTTTAACAAAGAGTTATTAGCACAAAGCAAGGAGGCTTGAAGAAAGTTAGTCTTTAAAAGAAACTATTTTTCCTAACACTTATGATTTATTCTTTAACAAGAAGGAAAACTTTGAAGAGGAAACTTTTTACTTTCTACATCTACTAAAAATACAAAAATTAGCCAGGCATGGTGGCAGACACCTGTAATCCCAGCTACTAGGGAGGGTGAGACAGGAGAATCACTTGAACCTGGGGCAGAGGTTGCCGTGAGCTGAGATTGTGTCACTGCACTCCAGCCTAGGCAATAGAGCAAGACTCCATCTCAAAAAAAAAAAAAAAGAAAAGAAAAGAAAAGTAACAAATGGAGAGATTGTTAGCAGTGACAAATCCATACAGGTCTGCAGCAACCTCATTTCTTGCCTCTTCAGAGGAAAGAATTCATCCAAGGGGCATAAGGCAGACTGAGAGCCTGTAAAATCAAGCTGCAGACATAGATAAGCAAGCTGGAAGCTTGCATAAGTGAATGCTGGCTGCTGCGCCAATAGGAAAAGGCTACCTGGAGGCCAGGCATGTTCAACATGGAGGCTCCATCTTCCCTTTTCTTTGTCCCCACATATGCAGTAAAAGAGCAGGTGACATGGCACTGGCCAGGTAGAGACCCCATCTGCATAATAAAAGATTAGGGTGGGATGGCCAGCTTCTTCGCACTATGCAAACGGCACACCTGGTCCAACCAAGGTCTTGTGCCCTATGTAAATCAGACACTGCCTCCTCAAGCTCCTCTATAAACCCCATGCATTCCACCACAGAACCGGATGACCCACTCAGGAGTCCCTCTCTCTCTGTAGGAGAGACAGCTATTCTCTTTCTTTTGCCTATTAAACCTCTGCTCTTAAACTCACTCCTGCGTGTGTCTGCATCCTCTATTTCCTTGGTGTGAGGCAATGAACCTCAGGTATTACCCCAGATGAGCAACACCACCTCACTAATAGCTGGGACTACCGGTGCGTGCCACCACACCCAGCTAATTTTTTAAATTTTTGGTAAAGACCAAGTCTCACTAGGTTGATGAGGCTGGTCTTGAACTCCTGAGCTCAAGCAATCCTCCTGCGCTGGCCTCCCAATGTGCTGGGATTACAGGCGTGAGCCACTGCACCCAGCCAAGATAGATTTTTAAATAAATGTCTGGAATAATAAGCTAGCCCACTGGGGAAAAGAAATAGTGCTGAATCTCTTCCTCATTCCTCATACAAAAGGAAATTCCAAATGAATCATCATACCTTAAAAAGTACAAAGGGGTCATTCCTCTACAAACCATACATTCTCATCAGATGGGTTTTATTTAACCCTATGTATTGTGACGTACTTTCCAATCTGACTCTAGCATAACATGACAAAGAAGAAAGTTAAAATATTTTAACCCAAAACATGTTTCTTTGCCATATTTTGAAATGGCCCTGCAAAGCTGTCCTTTGTGGGGGAAAATTTGTATCTGTAAAGAATCTCTATTAACAAAGCTAGATCTTTTTCTTCCAGGCCCTTCCAATCCTGAAGAGATTAACGAAGAGTCTAGCACCTTTTAAAGATCTGAATAGGAAAATTTATCATCTATTGTCTCTAAGGGCAGCCACTATAAGACTTCAAAAGAACCTTGGTCTCCACAATCTTTTATCTTAACCTGAACATTTCCTTTCTATCATTGCAGGTCTTAGACAAATTCAACCAATTTTCAACCAGAAAATGTTTCAATTTACCTATAGCCTGAAAGCCCCTGCTTTGAGTTGTCTTGTCTTTCTGGACCAAACCAATGTATTTCTCAAATGTATTTGATTGATGATGAATACATTTGACATCAATCAAATGTTTGATTGGATCATCAATCAAAGAGTCTGACTCTTCATCGATACTCTAAAGTTAATATCAAGTCAAGCAGCTTCAGCTTTTGCAGCTTCATGAAAAGAGCAGTTTGTTCTTAGTGATTCCAAGTCAGAAGGGTTGGAAAAAAATTGGAATGTTAGTTTGGAGAGTCATAACCAGATATTGGAGGAAACTAGAATTGGGGATCCAGTCCAGTTTGCAGGTAAATAACAAAACTTCAAAGACAATGAACAGAACTAGAATCTAGTCACAGGTGTGTTTGAAATGCTTGTTCCCTGGTGCTGTAAAGAAATAGCACTTGAACATAAATTTAATTTACTCAGCAAGGCCATTTGTATACTTTCTGCAGAAAGGGTACACTCGCCAGCAGTTTTGCCATGAGAGTACACCGAACAAAGGAGTCAGGGTCATTTATAACCCGACGCATCCACCCTACTGCTGTGCCCAGTTTCCATTGGCTGCAACAGGACCTCACATTCTGTATTCTAGCAACTCAGAACTTTTTAAAAGAGGCAAAGGCAGAGGAGAACAAAGGAAGGAGGAGGTAACGTGGAATGCTGAGAAAGGTAAAAACACCTTCAAATAAGGAAGAAGAACAGGCTGTGACCTAATGCTTTCTTGGACCAGTATAAGCATGCCAGGGCAAATATTTAGGCTAAATTGTGGGAGCTAACATAAAGTACATTGATTTCTTTATTACGGCTAGCAGATATTTAAGAATGTTAGCACAGGTCTTTGAATAAATTTTGCTTCTAAGAGAAGTTACTATTTGTTCCTAATCAGACGGGGAGGAAAGTCTTTGAAGAGGAACCTCTACTTTACTTTTTACAGGTGCATAATAGTTTTTTTTACTAAAACATAATATTTCTCTCTGTCACCTCCATTTCTACCAAAGATAGTCACAGTAAAGACTAATTTGCAAAATAAGTCTAGTCTCTTTATACTTGCCCTGATTAAGTGCAACAAGAGTAGTGATTAATCATATAGGCTCTTGGCCACTGCCCCATCTGGGAAGTGAGGAGCGCCTCTGCCCAGCCACCGCCCCGTCTGGGAAGTGAGGATCACCTCTGCCCAGCTGCCCACCATCTGGGATGTGAGGAGTGCCTCTGCCCAGCTGCCAACCATCTGGGAAGTGAGGAGCCCCTCTGCCCGGCTGCCAACTGTCTGGGAAGTGAGGAGCGCCTCTGCCCGGCTGCCCACTGTCTGGGAAGTGAGAAGCACCTCTCCCCGGCTGCCCAACTGACTGGGAAGTGAGGAGCACCTCTGCCCGGCCAGCCTGTCTGGGAAGTGATGAGGGCCTCTGCCTGGCCTCCCCATCTGGGATGTCAGGAGCACCACTGCCCAGCTTCCCACCGTCTGGGAAGTGAGGAGCGCCTCTGCCCAGCCGCCCAACTGTCTGGGAAGTAAGGAGCGCCTCTGCCCGGCTACCCCATCTGGGAAGTGAGGTGCCCCTCTGCCCGGCCGCCCCACAGTCTGGGAAGTGAGGAGTGCCTCTGTCCGGCTGCCCACTGTCTGGGAAGTGAGGAGCGCCTCTCCCCAGCTTCTGCCCTGTCTGGGAAGTGAGGAGCATCTCTGCCCAGCTGCCCACTGTCTGGCAAATGAGGAGTGCCTCTGCCCGGCCACCACCCCATCTGGGATGTGAGGAGCGCGTCTGCCCAGCTGCCGCCCTGTCTGGCAAGTGAAGAGCGCCGCTGCCCAGCTGCCCCACTGTCTGGGAAGTGAGGAGCACCTCTGCCCGGCCACCCCATCTGGGAAGTGAGGAGTGCCACTGCCCAGCCGTCGCCCCATCTGGGAAGTGAGGAGTGCCTCTGCCTGGCCACTGTACAACCTTCCAAGTGTGACGTGACAGCCTTGTTTGTGATCTTTTCTGTCTTCCCCAAGTTCGCATTTTCGACATTAAAGTTTACTTTTTAATTAAAAAAAAATCATATAGGCTCTTTTTAAGTCTGTTTTGCTGGAACTTTTAATAAGGAATCTCAGGTTAGACTTTCCAAGTCTCTCAAGAATACAAAGAGAACTTGTCTGGCTTGTTTCAACTTTGCCTGCAATATCTGTAGACTTTGATGAATTATTCTTTTCTTGATGTCCCCAATATACCTGAGGTCTGCCAGGAAGTGACCTTTCTTACTCATCTGTAAGGCAACCACATAAAGAAACCACATAAGCAAAGTATGAGGTTGGCTTTTTGGCTCCATAAAGTCAACCTTAGTTCCTTAAAACTGTCTGATCATATCGGATTATATGTTCATTTTCATATTTGATATTCCAGTCAACGTCTTAGCAATATAATCAAGGTTTTCAATTGTGTCCCTGTTATAAGGAGACTAGATTCTTACTGAATTTATGAAAATAACTATATAGTGCCAAGCATGGTGGCTCACACCTGTAATCCCAGCACTTTGGGAGGCCGAGGCGGGTGGATCACGAGGTCAGGAGTTCAAGACCAGCCTGGCCAACAGAGTGAAACCCCGTCTCTACTAAAAATACAAAAAAATTAGTCAGGAGTGGTGGCGGGCACCTGTAATCCCAGGTATTTGGGAGGCTGAGGCAGGAGAATCGCTTGAACCCGGGAGGTGGAGGTTGCAGTGAGCCGAGATTGCACCATTGCACTCCAGCCTGGGCGACAAGAGTGAAACTCCATCTCAAAAAAAAAAAAGAAAAAGAAAAAGAAAATAACTATATAGTCATGAGTAGTCATGAAAATAAGAATAGCCAGTAAGAGTTTCTGAATTCTACAGGGATCAGGTAGAGAAAAAAGGATAAATGTTTCAATTCTGTTTACGAAGGTATAATTTACCTGATTGCTGTAAATTTTAGTTAGCTTAAGAAAAAAAGAGAAAAGCCATTAAAGACCCAGAAATGTCCTAAAACAAGAAGTCATAAGAATTATAATCATCAGTCGGGCGTGGTGGCTCATGCCTGTAATCCCAGCAGTTTGGGAGGCTGAGGCAGGTGGATAGCCTGAGGTGAGAAGTTTGAGACCAGCCTGGCCAACATAGTGAAACCCCGTTTCTACCAAAAATACAAAAAAAAAAAAAAAATAGCTGTGGGTGGTGGCATGCGCCTGTAATCCAAGCTACTCAAGTGGCTGAGGCAGGAGAATCACTTGAACCCGAGAGGCAGAGGTGGCAGTGAGCCAAGATTGTGCCATTGCACTCCAACCTGGGCAACAAGAGCAAAACTCCATCTCAAAAAAAATAATAATAATTAAAAATAATTTAAATCATCTTCATTGGGTCATCTAGTCTGATGTAATTAATTCTTGTTCTGCTTGATCTTTGGTTAGCAATTTCATGAATGAGTCAGTTTTTCCATTAGTGTTCTGGAAGTTGAACGGTATGATCTTAAAGTCATCAGGAACGTGTACTTGTCCGTTTTCTCCATGAATCTCCTTAAATACAAATGCACTTTCTTGAGGTTCCTGGGCCTACCAGGAAATGACTTTTCTTACTCATCAGCACAGCAGCCATGCAAAGAAACCACATAAGCATGGTGGTTCATATTATAGTTGTTTGCAAAAGCTTTTAGGAATGCATCAAAATAAAACAATTAACTGTCTGTGGATGACAAAAGACTTCAAATGGTCATGGTTAAAGGATGAGAATTAATTGTAATACAATTGAGAAAAAAATTCAGTTACTTCTGTCACATACATTTTAAGATAATAACTAGAATTATAACTGACAACATTATAACTTCATGCAATTTCTGGAACACATAAATACATACAAATATGACATAAAGAAGCTTTAGTATCACTTCTTTTTTAACAATGCTTCCCATGTAATTTAACGTACCAAATTAATTTAACAAGTTTGTTTTTATAAGAAGAAAGACAAGGCCGGGTGCAGTGGCTTATGCCTATAATCCCAGCACTTTGGGAGGCCGAGGCAGGCGGATCACGAGGTCAACCAATTGAGACCATCTTGGCCAACATGGTGAAACCCCATCTCTACTAAAAATACAAAAATTAGCTGGGTGTGGTGGCACGCGCCTGTAGTCCCAGCTACTTGGGAGGCTGAGGCAGGAGAATCTCTTGAACCCGGAGGTGGAGGTTACAGTGAGCCAAGATCGCGCCACTGCACTCCAGCCTGGCAACAGAGCGAGACTCCATCTCAAAAAAAAAAAATTAATAATAAATAAAAAAGAAGAAAGACAAGTCCTTTGTGACTTTTTAGGGGCCTTCAGGAAAATTCCAAAGTTAGCTCAAGGTCAAAAACACTTCATGTAGAGTTTGATTTTTCAAAGTTGTCAAAAATGCCAAAAGACGGCTGGGCTCAGTGGCTCATGCCTATAATCCCAGCACTTTGGGAGGCCAAGGCAGGAGGATCACTTGAGCCCACGAGTTCGACATCAGCCTGGGCAGCATAGGAGGAGACCTTATCTCTAAAAAAAAATTTTCAAAGGACAATTTTTTTTTTAAAAGTCAAAAGACTAAATTTTTTGATTAAACAGGATCACAGATCACTGTAAAACATTACTCAGTTATCCATTTAACCAAAGCGCTGGAAGATTTCAGAGGTAATTACAGAAAGGTATACAGTTTTCTTTTTTTTTTTTTTAGCTTAGCTCTTTTAACAGAGAAGACTGAGTCTTCTTAAGTAATCAAACACCTGAAAAAGACAACATGAAACACAGGAAATTATTCTGATAAGACGCAGATTTTTTTCCACCTCAGCAAATTCTAGATTTCCTACACAGATTACATAGACGGTAAAGAAAAACGTTCCACAGTATTTTATCAAGAGAAGTCCAATACTCCAATAAAACTTTGTAATTTTAAGAAAGAAGATGAAACTCTAGTTTTAGATTGTACTTTTGATATTAAGGCTCATTTTTGAGATCCTTATAATAAATTGATTCAATTTTAGCCAACTTAATCACACAAGATTCTCTCTCTCTAACTTTCTAAATCTATTCAGGGTTTTTTTTGTTTTATTTTTGTTTTGAGACAGTCTTGCTATGTTGCCCCAGCTGGTCTTGAACTCCTGGGCTCAAGCAATACTCTTGCCTTGGCCTCTTGAGTAGCTGGGACTACAGGCATGTGCCACCATGCCTAGCTCCATTCAGTTTTTGTCTTTCTTTCTTTTTTTTTTTTTTGAGACGGAGTCTCACTCTGTCGCCCAGGCTGGATGGAGTGCAGTGGCGCGATCTCTGCTCACTGCAACCTCCGCCTCCTGGATTCACGCCATTCTCCTGCCTCAGCCTCCCGAGTAGCTGGGACTACAGGCGCCCACCATCATGCCCGGCTAATTTTTTGTATTTTTAATAGAGACAGGGTTTCACCATGTTAGCCAGGATGGTCTAGATCTCCTGACCTGGTGATCCGCCCGCCTCGGCCTCCCAAAGTGCTGGAATTACAGACTTGAGCCACCGCGCCCAGCTGCTTCATACCTTGTCTTACAGAAATCCCGTATCCTATTTTCCTTGCATACAAGTTTTGTTCTTTACACTTTCTGGTTTTCACTAGAAACTAAGCAATCATTAAGAAATTAAGCAATCATTAAGAAATTTCTAGTTTTCACTAGAAATTAAGCAATCATGAACTGTCACACTAGCATTCTGTAGACAGGCAAGTCTATGAATATACCATTTTATAATTTTTCGAAACATATATTTTTTCATAGCAGTTTTTCTTTCTTTCTTTCTTTCTTTTTTCCGAGATGGAGTTTCACTCTCCTTGCCCAGGCTGGAATGCAATGGCGCTATCTCGGTTCACCGCAACCTCTGCCTCTCGGGTTCAAGCGATTCTCCTGCCTCAGCCTCCTGAGTAGCTGGGATTAAAGGCATGCACCACCATGTCTGACTAACTTTGTATTTTTAGTAGAGACAGGGTTTCTCCAGGTTGGTCAGGCTGGTCTCAAACTCCCGACCTCAGGTGATCTGCTCCCCTTGGCCTCCCAAAGTGCTGGGATTACAGGCATGAGCTACTGTGCCCAGCCTGTAGCACAGTTTTTCAATGTGGCATGGGATATGTTTACTAACACACTCAAACATCTGGAGTCTCTTGTACTATGAAGCCAAGAGTAGACAGACCTATATTCAGCAATTAATGCTTCCATGTTTTATTATATTTGGAAAATATCTAGGTATGCAGTAAATATTTATCATTTAATTTAACTTAACTTAGCAAAACCCTGACTATAGGTTACCAAAGAGATTTGGGGAACCATTTTTAGTAGACATGTGATAAACCATAATCATTGTTAAAAGCTCATTTATATACTTTTATCCTATTTTTATAACTGCCTGACAGGTTCTTCCCGCCTGCTGCACAAATGAAGAGCATGGCATTGCAATAAAGTACGAGTTTAATTGGCCAGGCTCAGTGGCTCACACCTGTAATCCTAGTGCTTTGGGAGGCCAAGGTGGGTGGATTGCCTGAGCTCAGGAGCTCAAGACCAGCCTGAACAACATGGCAAAACCCTGTCTCTTCGAAAATACAAAAAATTAGCCAGGCATAGTGGCAGGAGTCTGTAATTTCAGCTACTCGGGAGGCTGAGGCAGGAGAATTGCTTGAACCCCAGAGGCGGAGGTTGCAGTGAGCTGAGATTGTGCCACTGCACTCCAGCCTGGGCAACAGAGTAAGACTCCGTCTCAAAAAAAAAAAAACAAAAAAAAAAGAGAGAGAAAAGAGAGAGAGAGAGAGAAGTGGAGAGAAGATGAGAGAAGGAAGGAGAAACAGGAGCAACGGGAAGGAAGAGGTTGTAGGGGAGCCAGAGTCGGGAGATCTCAAGTTCCCCAAAGAAGCCAGTAAAGTCCCATATTATCCTCAGAAAAACTGTGCCAACCATAGGGAAGTGACAGAGTTGGTTGAGCACATAGACAGTGGGGCTTCAGGAAGGGAGTTTCAAGCGATGGAGACATTCCCATAGGAGCTGCAGGATCAGCTTGACAGAACAGAGAGGACTTAAAACAGTAACTCCTACTAGGGTCTGAATATTGGCTTCTAGTCAGGCCAACTTCTGACCATAGAGCTCCTTTAAAAAAAAGCCTTTCAAGGCCGGGCGCAGTGGCTCATGCCTATAATCCCAGCACTTTGGGAGGCTGAGGCGGGCAGATCAGGAGGTCAGGAGTTTGAGACCAGCCTGACCAACATGGTGAAACTCCGTTTTAAACCCTACTTAAAATACAAAAATTAGCCTAGCTTGGTGGCACGTGTCTGTAATCCCAGCTACTTGGGAGGCTGAGGCAGGGGAATCGCTTGACTCTGGGGCGCAGAGGTTGCAGTGAGCCGAGATGCACCACTGCACTCCAGCCTGGGTGACAGAGCAAGACTCTGTCTCAAAAAAAAAAAAAAAAAAAAAAAAATCCTTTCAAATATCCTATTATCAAATTCTCCTGGGACAAACACTAAGTATTCTTGGCAATATTGAACTCCTATTTGAATAGTTTTTTTCCTTTTTCTTTTACAGAAAATGTATACTTAGCAAATGACTGAAGACCAAAGCCATAAACCTCTTAGGACTTAAAACCAATGAGCCTTTTATGGCTTTGCCACAGAAATGAGATGCCTCTCCAAACAGGGTGCAAAGATACAGCCCTTTCCATAGACTATGGGAGCCACTCCCATAGACAGCCAAGGGAAGAAAGTCTTAGAAAACACCCCAAGAGCTGGCAGTGGTTGGTAGGATATGAGAAAAAGAAAAATCATTTCATCTGGCTAGCTGTTATGGCCTACATCTGTAATCCCAGCACTTTGGGAGGCTGGGGCAGGTAGATCATTTGAGCTCAGGGGTTTGAGACCAGCCTGGGCAACATGGTGAGACCCCACCTCTACAAAAAAATACAAATATTAGCTGGATGTGCTGGTGTACACCTGTAGTCCCAGTTACTCAGGAGGCTGAGATGGGAGGATTGCTTAAGCCTGAGGAGGTCGAGGCTGCAGTGAGCCATGATCACGCAACTGCACTCCAGCCTGGGTGACAGTGAGACCCTATTCACCTCCCCTTCCAAGAAATATATTTCTTTTGAGGAATGCAAGCCCCTTTAAATTATGAGACCCAGAAAGGCATTTAAAATGTAACACCAGTCATGTCCCTCTCCCCCTTGAGTGAAATAATTACCTCTAGCAGCCACTCACTATGGGGGCTCTAGATTAACTGTCACCAAGTAGCCATAAAATGCCATACACCCTGTAGTTCAAGAATGCACAGCCAATCACCAATGTTATTCATAAAAATAACCGAGGTTATTTCTGTAAACCAATGTGAATTCCTGACAAACAACTTTTGTAATTCTCCTTCTCCTGATTTTTTATTTTTTCCTTTCAAAACTTGAGCCTCTCTTTTGTTGTCTGGAGCAGTCCCCAAGGCAACTTGGAAGTGTGTCCCGGGCTGCAGTCCTCAACTTTGTGCTGATGACCTCTCTTTGAACTAGATTCTGACCGTTTTGATGATTGTAGGTTGACAGACACTGGTCACAGA
Organism: Homo sapiens; assembly: GCF_000001405.40. NCBI lineage: Eukaryota > Metazoa > Chordata > Mammalia > Primates > Hominidae > Homo > Homo sapiens. Next base: position 42,261,809 of record NC_000008.11, read on the forward strand.
TGGGATGCAGCCCACACTTCTCTTTCTGTCTGGTTATATTCCTGGGTGTCCCTGACCTGGTGGTTGGCTGGCCGTATTCTGGGGTGTCCCCGACCTGGCAGTTGGTTGCCTGCACAGGCAGCCTGGATAATCTGGGCGCCTCAGCAGGCGGATAGTCATGCTACATTTTTAGGACACAAAAGGAGACAAACAGGAAAGCAATAGCTGTCCCTGGGAGTGAAAGGATCAATAACCAATGGTTACCCCAAACCACATTTCACCAGAGTCACTGTCCAAAAAAATTAATTCTTACAAATGATTTCTCCTGCTAATGTGAATTTGAAATAGAAGGTGGGAGGGGGGAGGGATAGCATTGGGAGATATATCTAATGCTAGATGACAAGTTAGTGGGTGCAGCGCACCAGCATGGCACATGTATACGTATGTAACTAACCTGCACAATGTGCACATGTACCCTAAAACTTAAAGTATAATAATAAAAAAAAAATAAATAAAAGATGACCACTTTATTTAAAAAAAAAAAGAAAAGAAAAGAAATAGAAGGCACAAAAGAGAAACTTGTACCTTCCTCCCCTGACTGACATCACACAGATCCAGGAGAGCTAACTACCACATTCTTTTATTTATTTATTTATTTATTTATTTATTTAAGACAGAGTCTCACTCTGTGGCCCAGGCTGGAGTACAACGGCGCAATCTTGGCTCACTGCAAGCTCCGCCTCCTGGGTTCACGCCATTCTCCTGCCTCAGCCTCCTGAGTAGCTGGGACTACAGGCACCCGCCACCACACCAGGCTAATTTTTTTTATTTTTAGTAGGGATGGGGTTTCACCGTGTTAGCCAGGATGGTCTCGATCTCCTGACCTCGTGATCCGCCCGCCTCGGCCTCCCAAAGTGCTGGGATTACAGGCATGAGCCACCATGCCTGGCCTATTTTTTTATTTTTTTGAGACAGGGTCTCATGCTCATTGCCCAGGCTGGAGTGCAGTGGCGTAATCACGGCTCACTGCATCCTCAATTTTCTGGGCTCTAGTGATCCTCCTGCCTCAGCCTCCTGAGTAGCTGGGACTACAGGCGAACACCACCATGCCTGGCTAAATTTTTTGTATTTTTAGTAGAGACAGGGTCTTGCTGTGTTGGCCAGGCTGATCTCAAACTCCTGGGCTCAAGTGATCCACCAGCCTTGGCCTCCCAAAGTGCTGAGATTACAGGCATGAGCCACTACGCCCTGCTAATTTTTTGTATTTTTAGTAGAGACAGGGTCTTGTCATCTTGCCCAGGGTGGTCTCAAACTCCTGGGCTCAAGTGATGCACCTACCTTGTCCTCCCAAAGTGCTGGGATTACAGGTGTGAGTCACTATGCCTGGCTAATTTTTTGTATTTTTAGTAGAGACAGGGTCTTGCCATCTTGCCCAGGCTGGTCCCAAACTCCTGGGCTAAAGTGATCCACCTGCCTTGGCCTCCCAAAGTGCTGGGATTACAGGTGTGAGCCACCACACCCGGCCGACACCACATTCTTACCTGTTGCCAGATTCTGTCACTTTTCCAGGGATCCCAATTGTAGAGCAGGCAGGGTGTCCCAGAGATCCCATCTGGGTCACCGAAACTGTAGGGGCAGAATAATAATTTTCTCCATATCCTTTCTGTGTTTCCGGCTGGGACTTCCTATAACAAAATGGCAGATTAAGAAGAGAAAGACAAAAGGAAGTTTAACAACATGTATATTTCAGGTATACATAGGAGATACCCAGAGAAATGAGTAAAATCTAGAGGGGTGGCTTAGAATTCGGGCTTAAATACCATCTCCAGTTGAAACAAAACAAGAACGGTGTTGGGGTGGACAGTTATGGGGTGGTGTCCAGAAAAAGCTTGGTAAGTAAAGCTAAGGTTTGTAGTGCAGATTTATGTTGGTGTCTTCTCTAATGATTAGAGTTTCTGGTGCATTAGAGCCACACTTCTTTTCCTGGTATAGGGACAAAGAAACCCTTACAAATGGAGACGCGTTTTTTTGTTTGTTTTTTGAGATGGAGTTTCATTCCTGTTGCCCAGGCCGGAGTGCAATGGCACGATTTTGGCTCACTGCAACCTCTGCCTCCTGGGTTCAAGCAATTCTCCTGCCTCAGCCTCCTGAGGAGCTTGGATTACAGGCGCCCACCACTATGCCTGGATAATTTTTGTATTTTTAGTAGAGATGGGGTTTCACCATGTTGGCCAGGCTGGTTTCGAACTCCTGACCTCAGGTGATCCACCTGCCTTGGTCTCCCAAAGCGCTGGGATTACAGGTGTGAGCCACTACGCCCAGCTGGGCTTTTTTTTTTGGTATTTAAGTATACATAGATAATTATATTTTATTTTAAAATTAATTTTATTTTTTATAATTAATTATAAAATTATATTTTTAAAAATTAATTAGAGACAAGGTCTTGCTGGTCTCGAACTCCTGATTTCAAGTGACCCTCCTACCTCAGCCTCCCCAGTAGCTGGGACTACAGGCACGACACCACACCCAGCTAATATTTTGATTTTTTTGTAGAGATGGGGTCTCCCTATATTGCCCAGGCTGGTCTCAAACTCCTGGGCTCAAGCAATCCTCCTGCCTGGGCTTCCCAATGTCCTGGGATTATAGGCATGACCCACTACGCCTGGCAAGAGATGTTTTTTGTTGTTGCTGAGGCTAACAGAAAACAGCAGAGAGATGGTTTTTATAGATGTAAATTTCCCTTACAAAAGGGTAGCTTTTAAAATATTATTTAATTTAACTTAATTTAACTTTTTGAGTTTCACTCTGTCTCCCAGGCTGGAGTGCAGTAGCACGATCTCAGCTCATTGCAGCCTCCGCCTCCCTAGTTCAAGCAACTCTCCTGTCTCAGCCTCCCAAGTAGCTGGGATTACAGGTGCCCACCATCATGCCCAGCTAATTTTTGTATTTTTAGTAGAGACAGGGCTTCACCATGTTGGTCAGGCTGGTCTTGAACTCCTGGCCTCAGGTGATCCACCTGTCTCAGCCTCCCAAAGTGCTGGGATTACAGGTGTGAGCCACCATGCCGGGCCTTAAACATTTTTTTTTTTTTTGAGATGGAGTTTTACTCTTGTCACCCAGGCTGGAGTGCAATGGCGCCATCTCTGTTTACTGCAACCTCTGCCTCCTGGGTTAAAGTGATTCTCCCGCCTCAGTCTCCCGAGTAACTGGGATTACAGGTGCTTGCCACCACGCCCAGCTAATTTTTGTACTTTTAGTAGAGATGGGGTTTCACCATGTTGGTCAGGCTGGTCTCAAACCCCTGACCTCAGGTGATCCACCCCACTCGGCCTCCCAAAGTGTTGGGATTACAGGCGTGAGCCATCGTGCCCAGCCCATTTTATTTTCTAAGTAAAGATAGGTTCTTGTTATGTTTCCCACGCTGATTGTGAACTCCTAGACTCAAGTGATCCTCTTGCTTCAGCCTCTGGGATAGATGGGACTACAGGTGCACACCACCACACCCGGGCAAAAGGGTCATTTTTATTCTGCTTTCGGAGTTGCTTCTTCGGTTGCTGTTTCTCAGAATAATCTGTATGCCAAAGAGGCCTATTTTGGGTGGCATATTCTGGTCTCCTACTGTGATCTGGCCTCCCAGATAGTCACCAGCAGACTCCTGCAGAAAGGAAAAGTTGGGACAGGCAGGTAGGAGGGCCAGGCACCACTGACAAGGGGAAGTGCAGAGAGAGGCCTGAGCCCAGGAAGGACTAGAGTCCGGCAGCTGAGCTGCAACACAGCCCATGGGTCAAAAGTAGGAGCTCAGAACCAAGGTAAGCCGAAAAGCATACCTGTTGGTTTCTTAGACGTCTACACCGGCCCATAGCCTTTGTCTCCGCCACCATGGCCTGAGGTGGCAGCTGCCCTTTCATGACTTCTTCCTCTTTAGTTTGAATTTACTGGAATAAAAACGTGTGTGTAAAAGTAAAGGGAGCTTAAAAAGTGATTTCCTCCTCTAAGCTCTTGTTCCTCCAGAGAGGGTGACTCAGAGCCCCAAATCCTTGCCTTTGCTTGTTTCTGCCTAAGTTTGAGGCACAACAGCCGGCTGGCCCTGCTCCTCTCAGTTTCTTGATTGGCCCAGGTCCAGTCACAGAGACAGCAGCTGGCCAATTTCCTTTCCTTCCTCTTCTGCAGCCAGCTCTGCATGGAGCCCAAAGGGTCTGCGGCAAGGTTCATTCTCACCCTCGTCTCCACCAGCCCACCCTCATCTCCCACCAAGGTCCCCAGAACAAAGGCAGACTTCTTCACATCCTCCGACTTTCTAAACTAGTTTCTCCAACTTTTCTGGCAGAGGAGTTTTTGTCTGTTGAAGAAGCAAGTCCTGACCTGCAGAGTCCTTTCTCTGCAGGGCTGGGATAAAACAAAATCAGATGGGTCATGAAAGAGTTGCTGAAATCGCTGAACCAGAGCTGACTATGGGGGCTGGGGTGCTGGGGAAATCCTCCCCATCCTCTGTGGTCTGCCTTACGGCCTCTTATCTTTCAAGCTGTCTTCTCCTTCTATGATTCAGCTCCAGGTTGTACAGAAAACAATTCTTTCTTTACTTGGAGGAGCTCAGTGCTGCTTTGCTTCACTGCCATCAGGTGAGAGAGCAGAATTTAATCAGTGGATGACATAAAAGACTGAGTAAGAAGACAGTTATCTTTGACTTACTCTGTGAACAAGATTTCATTTTAAATTTAACAGTGCTCAGAAACCTTATCCTTATCACTAGTACTGCCAGAAGCATTTGAACCAGAGCAACTCCATCTTGAATAGGAGCTGGGTAAAATGAGGCTGAGACCTACTGGGCTGCATTCCCAGATGGTTAAGGCATTCTAAGTCACAGAACGAGACAGGAGGTCTGCACAAGATATAGGTCATAAAGACCCTGCAGATAAAACAGGTTTCGGTAAAGAAGCCGGCTCTAACCCACCAAAACCAAGATGGCCACGAGAGTGACATCTGGTCGTCCTCACTGTTATACTCCCACCAGCACCATGACAGTTTACAAATGCCATGGCAACATCAGGAAGTTACCCTATTTGGTCTAAAAAAGGGAGGCATGAATAACCCACCCCTTGTTTAGCATAAATAAATAAACATAAAAATGGGCAACCAGTAGCCCTCGGGGGCTGCTCTGTCTAAGGAGTAGCCGTTCTGTTATTCCTTTACCTTCTTTTTTTGTTTGTTTTTTTTTTGTTTTTTTTTTTTTTGAGGTGGAGTCTCGCTCTGTCGCCCAGGTTGGAGTACACTGGCGCGATCTTGGCTCACTGCAAGATCCATCCACCTCCTGGGTTCACACCATTCTCCTGCCTCAGCCTCCTGAGTAGCTGGGACTACAGGCGCCCGCCACCATGCCTGGCTAATTTTTTGTATTTTTAGTAGAGACGGGGTTTCACCGTGTTAGCCAGGATGGTCTCCATCTCCTGACCTCGTGATCCACCTGCCTCCCAAAGTGCTGGGATTACAGGAGTGAGCCACCATGCCTGGCCCCTACTTTCTTAATAAACTTGCTTTCACTTTACTGACTCGCCCTGAATTCTTTCTTGCGCGAGATCCAAGAACCCTCTCTTGGGGTCTGGATCGGGACCCCTTTCCTATAACGGTACTGTACTGTGGTACTAATTACTGCAGAACAAATCCGTGTGTGATTTTATATTGCCTGGCCTTTGTCTGTCCTTACTTCATGGCTCCCTGTGGGTCTTAAAAACCCAGTAAGATTCTAAGTGCCTCTGATGAGATCTCATTCCATTGCTTGGATCCCCTGGGTCAGTAATGCCCTGGGCTGAGCTAGGCACTCTGGCTGGTCAGTATTTCTTGATTTCCCTATAGCACAGCTAAAAAGCACACTCAGCCTCAAAGCAGGAAGAAAAGGGGACATTTTTCTGCTGAATCTGAAAATATCTTTTGTAAACAGTCTGCTCATATCTCCAGAGCAGGACAGAAACCAGATGCAGGCAGAGATAGCTAAACATGTCTTATCTGGATAGAAAATTGAGCTTAAGATAATAAATATCTTGGAATATGATAAAACCCAGAGGCCCCTTCCTGGTCCATGATTAATTGAAGAAAAAAAAAGCCTAGTAATACGTGACCTTATCAGAGAGATTTATGTTCAGTTGAAAGCCAAGTTATTTTGAGCTGAGCAAAATGAGGATTCAAATTACAGGAGCGCAGAGTAAACTTTTGGCATATTAGCGGACATCTTGGTAAGTTTCTCAGGACAGTGTTTTTCAGAGATGACAGGATTAAAGAGAAACCTTTTATGACATTGTACTGGAAATGGACTCTCCACAGTGCCCAGCACATATAGGTGCTCAATAATTTTTTTTTTTTTTTTTTTTTTTAGATGGAGTTTTGCTCTTGTCGCCCAGGCTGGAGTGCAATGGCACGATCTCGGCTCACTGCAACCTCTGCCTCCTGGGTTCAAGCGATTCTCCTGCCTCAGCCTCCCGAGTAGCTTGGATTACAGGCACGTGCCACCACGCCCAGCTAATTTTTTTGTATTTTTAGTAGAGATGGCGTTTCACCATATTGGCCAGGATGGTCTTGATCTCCTGACCTCGTGATCTGCCCGCCTTGGCCTCCCAAAGTGCTGGCATTACAGGTGTAAGCCACTGTGCCTGGCCTAATTTTTGTATTTTTAGTAGAGACGGGGTTTCACTATGTTGGCCAGGCTAGTCTTGAACTCCTGACCTCAAGTGATCTGCCTGCCTCGGCCTTCCAAAGTGCTGAGATTACAGGGGTGAGCCACCACACCCGGCCAAATTTTTTTTTTTGAGATGGAGTCTCGCTCTGTCGCCCACGTTGTAGTGCACTGGTGCGATCTCCACTCACTGCAACCTCCAGCTCCTGGGTTCAAGTGATTCTCCTGCCTCAGCCTCCCAAGTAGCTGGGATTATAGGCACCTGCCACCACGCCCAGCTAATTTTTGTATTTTTCGTAGAGACGTGGTTTCACCATGTTGGCCAGGCTGGTCTCAAATTCCTGACCTCAAGTGATCTGCCTACCTTGGCCTCCCAAAGTGCTGGGATTACAGGCATGAGCCACCTCACCTGGCCAATAAATATTTTATTTAAAAAATTTACTTATTAAGCAAACACTTATATTGCACTTAGACAATGCAGTCACTATTCTACGTGTGTTACAACTATTTACTCATGTTCCTGTTGCTTCTGGCCTTGAGGCTGAGCTTGCCATTTAGCTGGGAGTAATCAAGAAATACCAGGCCAGAAGCGGTGGCTCACACCTGTAATCCCAGCACTTAGGGAGGCCAAGGCGGGAGGATTGCTTTGAGGCCAGGAGTTCAAGCCAAGTCTGAGCAACATAGTGAGACCCCCATGTCAACAAAATAAAATTTAAAAATTAGCTGGTCATGGTGGCACGTGCCTGTAATCTCAGCTAGTGGGGAGGCTGAGGCGGGAGGACCCCTTGAACCCAGGAGGTCAAGACTGCAGTGAGCCGTGATCCTGCCACTATACTCCAAAGTGGGCGATAGAGAAAGGCCCTGTCAAGAAAGAAAAAAGAAAGAAAAGGAAAGAAAAGGAAAGGAAAGGAAGAAAGGAAAGGAAAGGAAGAAAGAAAGGAAAGAAAAAAAAGAAAGCTAGCAGCTGGGAAGGGAAGGGGAGGGGAAGCGAGGGGAGGGGAGGGGAGGGGAGGGGAGGGGAGGAAAAGGAAAGGAAAGAAGGAAAGAAGGAAGGAAGGAGGAGAGATAGGAAGGAAGGAAAAGAAGGAAAAGAAAGAAACCAAGTAGCCGGGAAGGGAAGGGAAGGGGAGGGGAGTGGAGGGGAGGGGAGGAGAGGGGAGGGGGAAGGAAGGAAGGAAAAGAGAGAGAGAGAGAAAGAAAAAGAGAAAGGAGAGGGAAGAGGGGAGAGGGGAGAAACCGAGCAGCCAGCGTGCCTAGCACAGCCCTGGACACCATTGACCCCTATGTTTGGGTTGAGATCTGTCCCTGAGTTAACTTCAACCCCAGGGCTGTCAGGCACTGCTGCTATCAATACCTCATTTGTCCCTCACAACAACTCTGGGGTGGCCTCCTTTCTATGACTTTCTATGAGCCCGCCTGTCCCCCTGCTATTACAATGAAGCAGATGAAACTGCTGATCTTTGTTACTGATGTTTTGGCTGTTTTCAATTTCCAAAAAATGACAATTAAATGCAATTCAACCTAATATTGCCTAAATTTTAAAAGAGGAAATAGGTTCTCACAGTGTTTAAGTAACCAGCCCCCGTGCCTCAGAGGTAGTCAACAGCAGTATCTGGATTCAAAATCCAGTTTGCCTCCTTCTGAACTTCTTAACATGCTACTTTTAGCCACGGATTAAGAACCCGGGAACCAGTTGCTAGGGTTTGAGTATCAGCTCATCTACGTAGCAGCCATGTACCTTGGAAATAATAATAATGCAGACCAGGTGCAGTGGCTCACAGCCTGTAATCTCAACACTTTGGGAAGCCCAGGCGGGTGGATCCCTTGAGCCCAGGAGTTGGAGACCAGCCTGGGCAACACAGTGAGTGAGACCCCGCCACCAGGTATGGCGGCCGCGCACCTGTAGTCAGGAGAATCACTTGAGCCCAGGAGTTGGAGGTTGCACTGAGCTGTGATCACACCACTGCACTCCAGCCTGGGTGACAGAGCGAGATAATAATAATAATGATGATGATGATGCAGTATTTTCCAATTTACAGGGTTGCCCTGAGGATTGAATAAGGAAATCTAAGTACAGAGATTTAGAACAGAGCCCTGCACTGTGTAAGCACTCTATAGATGTGAGCTATTATTATCATCTTCAGGTTCCTTTGGTAGTTTTTTTCTGCTTGAATAAAATATAGCAACACACACACACACCTCCTTTGTCCACTAATGTAATCCCATAAAACGGAGAAACTCAGCAGTGAGGACATTCTGATTCCAAGCAGGAAGGAGATGAACGATGAACCTCAGGCTGAGCGCCTCACGGTTTCCTCATGTCACCGGGGCTGGGGGTGCAGTTTGGCTTCACACTGCTAGGTCTTTTCTTGTTTTTAAGGGGGCAGGGGCTGTCACCTCTGAGGAGTCAGCTGTGATTGATCCTTCTCCACACCCAGCCAAGCACCCCCCAGACAGGGGAGCGCCCGCAGTAGGGCGGTAGGCAAGGGCAGTTCTAGCCAACAGTCCCTAAATCATCCCAGCGGGGGCGCGGGAAATTCCACCGAGGTGAAAGCCTAGGGGGCCGGGTGAAGAAATCCCCATACCCGGGCCCAGAAACCGCTCCAGGTGGAAGTAACTTGTCTAAAGAGAACAGGGTGTAACGGGGGTCATTTCAGGGCTGTTCTTTTAAATCGGTGAGCACGGTCTGTCTACTTTCCCTCAGTTGTCTAGAGACCACACGCCACCCCCGCCCCGGGGGAGTCGCCCGGTCGAGGGTCCCGGGACAGGCGCAGCACTCGCAGCATCCGGACCTGGTCTGCCTCGCGCCGGGAGCGGCCTCTTTAAGAGCGGCCGCGGCCAACGTGCTCCGTGACGTCAGAGCAGGAAGTGTTTGAGGAAGTCGCGCCGCGCTGCCCGCGTTAAGATTCCCGCATTTTAATGTTTTCAGGGGGGTGTCATAGCCCCGGGTTTGGCCGCCCCAGCCCCGCCTTCCCCGCCCCGGGGAGCCCGCCCCCTGCCCCGCGTCCCTGCCGACAGGTGAGTCCCCCTCGTGGGTGCGGCCCGGGTGCCACCTGCAGGCCCCGCCGCCCCGCTGCCTGCAAGGCCCGGAAGACCCCTCTGTGCCGCTGGGAAGTCGCAGCTTGCGGACTGGGGAGCGTTTCACTTGTGCGGGTTGGAGTTCGGGAAGCCGGGAGAAACAGCTCTCCCTGGGGTGGCTTCTTGGGGGTGGGTGGCTTTGAGGGGAACCTGCGATTTATGGGAACATTGTAAAGAAACACGTGACCTCGGCGATGCTCAGAAGTAGGTTCTGCCCCTGCCACCTCGGGCAGAAGGCGGGCAGGCCCGGGCGCCCCTGGTGGAGTCAGCTGGGGATCCCCTCGCTAGGGCAAGGGCGTGGGCATCGCCTCCCTCGGTGACTTTCTTCCTTGCCTGATGCCACAGCAACCGGATGGGGGAGGGTGAGAGGGACAAAAGTTTGCCACAAAGTTTGGACCAACCAAACACATTGGTTTCTTTACAAAATAAAAAACCAGTTGTATTTTTCTTCTCTCCCATTCAAGAGCAGTGGTATCTCTTGCCTTCTCCATCCCTTTGAGCTCCATTTTTTTCTTAATCCTAACCTTTTTTCCCCATCCCAAATTGCTTATAGAGTTAGCACGACATCAGTATGAGCTGGTCACCTTCCCTGACAACGCAGACATGTGGGGCCTGGGAAATGAAAGAGCGCCTTGGGACAGGGGGATTTGGAAATGTCATCCGATGGCACAATCAGGTAGGCCCTCTGTGCAGCTTGGGGAGGGGCGGGGAGCCAGGCCCCCTCCTCACTGCCTCCACTTTCTCTGATCCTGCTGGGCCAAGGGCTCACCTTTGGCTTTGGTCATCTTGGGACAGTGAATAGGGGGACTGGGAAGAGGGCTTCAGGACTTCTGAGCTGACTCCAGGTTAGTGGTCTCCATGCTTTATTGACTATGTCACCTAAATAAATAGTAAAATAAAGTTAAGCTCTTAGTCTCTATTATATATATATGGTAACAGTAGAATATCATGTACTAATATATACTGATATTATATGTTATAAAACATATAGAAATAGGAAAATTTAAAGGATGAGACTAAATAAATAATTTAAAATATTTTAATTCCTTGAGGCCAGTAGTTCAAGAGCAGCCTGGGCAACATAGCAAGACCTCGTCTCTACAAAAAAGGTTTAAAAATTAGGCAGCCAGCTGGGCGTGGTGGCTTATACCTGTAATCTCAGCACTTTGGGAGGCTGAGGCAGGCGGATCACGCAGTCAGGAGATGGAGACCATCCTGGCTAACACTGTGAAACCCCATCTCTACTAAAAATACAAAGAATTAGCCAGGCTTGGTGGCACGTGCCTGTAGTCCCCAGCTACTTGGGAGGCTGAGGCAGGAGAATCGCTTGAACCCATGAGGCGGAGGTTGCAGTGAGCCAAGATTGCGCTACTGCACTCCAGCCTGGGTAACAGAGTGAGACTCCGTCTCAAAAAAAAAAAAAAAAAAAAAACCTTAGGCAGCCTTGGTGCGTACCTGTAGTCCCACTACATTGGAGGCTGATGTGGGAGGATTGCTTGTCCAGGAGTTTGAGGCTGTAGTGAGCTATGATTGTGCCACTGCACTCTAGCCTAGGTGACAGAGTGAGACCTTGTTTCAAAACCATTTTTTAAAAATTATTTTAAATGTCGGGTGCAGTGGCTTACACCTGTAATCCCAGCACTTTGGGAGGCCGAGGCAGGAGGATCACTTGAGGTCAGGAGTTTGAGACCAGCCTGGCCAACATGGTGAAACCTCATCTCTACTAAAAATACAAAATTAGCTGGTGTGGTGGTGCATGCCTGTAACTTCAGCTACTCAGGAGGCTGAGGCAGGAGAATCGCTTGAACCCAGGAGGCAGAGGTTGCAGTGAGCCGAGATAGTGTCACTGCATTCCAGCCTGGGTGACAGAATGAGACCCTGTCTCAAAAAATATATATATATATATATATTTAAAATATTTGCTAATTATGATGTCTTCCCAGTATTGCTTGCGATACTGCACGGCAAAAAATAAGCAGATCCACATGAAAGTGAGAATTCATTTAGAATGATGATGAAAATCCATATTTCAAATAATTAACATTTTTTTAAATTTTGTAGAGATGGGGTCTTGCTATGTTGCCCAGGCTTGTCTCAAACTCTCATCCTCAAGCAGTCTTCCCGTCTTTGCCTCCCAAAATGTTTGGATTACAGGCCTGAGCCATGGGACCTGGCCTCAGCTGAGGTTTTTTTTTTATTTTTTGTAGTGATGGTGGTCTCACAATGTTGTCCAGGCTCGTCTAGAACTCTTGGCCTCAAGTGATCTTCCTGCCTTGGCCTCTCAAAGTGCTGGGATTACAGCCATGAGTCATTGAACCTGGCCTGTTTTTATTTTTAATTGACACATAATAATTGTACATATTTATGGGGTACAGTGTGATATTTTGATACATAATGTGTAATGATCAAATCGGGGTAATTGGCGTGTTCATCACTTGAAACACGTATCCTTTTTGTTGGAAACAGTCAAAATTCTTTCTTCTGGCTATTTTGAAATATACAATATTTTTTTTTTTCCGGAGACAGAGTCTCGCACTGTTGCCCAGGCTGGAGTGCAGTGGTGTGATCTTGGCTCACTGCAACCTCCGCCTCTTGAGTTCAAGTGATTCTCCTGCCTCAGCCTCCTGAGTACCTGGAATTACAGGTGTGCACCACCATGCCAGCTAATTTTTGTATTTTTAGTAGAAATGGGGTTTCACCATGTAGGCCATGCCGGTCTCAAACTCCTGACCTCAGGTGATCTGCCCACCTCAGCCACCCAAAGTGCTTGGATTACAAGCGTGAGCCACTACGTCCGGCCTGAAATATACAATAAAGTTTTATTCACTGTAGTCACCCTGTTGTTCTTTAGAATACTGTAACTTATTCCACCTAACCGTAATTTTGTACCCATTAACCAGTCTCTCCCTATTTCCCTCCACAACTCCCCCCACCCCCACCACCCTTTCCTGCCTCTGGTGACCACTATTCTACTTTCTACTTCTGCGAGATTAGTTTGTTGTTGTTGTTGTTGTTGTTTTGAGACGGAGTTTTGCTCTTGTCGCCCAGGCTGGAGTGCAGTGGCGCGATCTTGGCTCACTGCAACCTCTGCCTCCCAGGTTCAAGTGATTCTCCTGCCCCAGCCTCCCGAGTTGCTGAGATTACAGGTGCCTGCCACCACACCTGGCTAATTTTTGTATTTTTAATAGAGACGGGGTTTCACCATGTTGGCCAGGCTGGTCTCGAACTCCTGAACTTAGGTGATCCCCGCCGGCGCGCCCCCCCCCCCCCCCGCCATCCCAGCCTCCCAAAGTGCTGGGATTACAGGTGGGAACTACCGAGCCTGGACGAGATCAGTTTTTTTTTGTTTGTTTGTTTTGTTTTTTGAGATGGATTCTTGCTCTGTTGCCCAAGCTGGAGTGCAGTGGCACAATCTTGGCTCGCTGCAACTGGTGTCTCCCAGGTTCAAGCGATTCTCCAGCCTCAGCCTCCCAAGTAGCTGGGATTATAGCCGTGCACCACCACGCCTGGCTAATTTTTGTATTTTTAGTAGAGACAGGGTTTTACCATGTTGGCCAGTCTGGTCTCAAACTCCTGACTTCAGGCGATCTGCCTGCCTCGGCCTCCCAAAGTACTGGGATTACAGGCATGAGCCACTGTGCCTGGCATTTTTTTTTTTTTAATTTTTAATTTCTTTGGAGATAGGGTCTCAATCTGTCATCCAGGCTGAGTGCAGTGGTGCCATCATGGCTCACTGTAGCCTTGACCTCCTGGGCTCAAATGATCCTTCTGCCTCGGCCTCCTGAGTAGCTGGGACTACAGGTGTGCGTTGCCATGCCCGGCTAATTTTTGATTTTTTGTAGATAGGAGGTCTGTCTGTTGCCCAGGCTGGTCTCGAATTCCTGGACACAAGTGATCCTCCCACCTCAGCCTCTCAAAGTGCTGGGATTACAGGTGTCAGCCAACAGACTTTACCCAACTGAGATCAGTTTTTTATTAGCTCCCACGGATGAGTGAGAACATGTGGTATTTATCTCCCTGGGCCTGGCTTAATTCCCTTAATGTAATGCCCTCCAAGCTCATCCATGTTGCCACAGATGGCAGGATTTCATTCTTTTTTATGGCTGAATAAGAGTACATTGTGTCTGTGTACCACATTTTCTTTGTTCATTTGTTCATTGATGGACATTTAGGTTGATTACATATTTTGGCTATTGTGAATAGTGCTGCAGTAAACGTGAGGGTGCCCATATCTCTTTGATAAACTGATTTCCTTTCCTTTGGATAGATACCCAGTAGTGGGATTGCTGGATCATATGGTAGTTCTATTTATAGTTTTTCTTTTTTTTTTGAGACGGAGTCTTGCTCTGTCAACCAGGCTGGAGTGCAGTGGCATGATCTCAGCTCACTGCAACCTCCGCCTCCCGGGATCAAGCAGTTCTCCTGCTTCAGCCTCCAAGTAGCTGGGATTACAGGTACATGCCACCATACCCGGCTAATTTTTATGTTTTCAGCAGAGACGGGGTTTTACCATGTTGGTCAGGATGGTCTCGAATTCCTGACCTCAGGTGATCCGCCTGCCTCAGCCTCCCAACCTGCTGAAATTACAGGTGTGAGCCACTGCGCTAGCCTTGTTTGTAGTTTCTCAAGGAACCTCCATACTATTTTCCATAATGGCTGTGCTAATTTACATTCCCACCAATAGTGTATAGAGTTCCGCTTTCTCCACATCCTTGCCTTCATTTGTTACTTTTTGTCTTTCTGATAATAGCCATTTTAACTGTGGTGAGATGATATCTCATTGTGGTTTTGATTTGCATTTGTCTGATGATTAGTGATATTGAACATTTTATCATATACTTGTTGGCCATCTGTATGTCTGAGAAATTCCTGTTCAAATCATTTGCCCATTTGAAAAATTGGATTATTTATTTTTTTGCTGTTGAATTGTTTGAGTTCCTTGCATATTCTTGATATTAATCCCTTGTTGGATGGATAGTTTGCAAATAATTTCTCCCATTCCATAAGTTGTCTCCATAGGTTCCATAGGTTTATTCTGTTTTTTCTTTTGCTGTGCAGAAGCTTTTTAGTTTGATGTAATCTCATTTGTCTACTTTTGCCTCTGTTAACTGTACTTTTGAGGTCTTATCCATAAAATCTTTTCCCAGACCAATGCCCTGAAGCACTTCCCGTATGTTTTCTTGTTTTTTTTTTTTTGAGACAGTCTCACTCTCAGCTGAGACAGGTGCGATCTCGGGTCACTGCAGCCTCTATCTCCTGGGTTCAAGCGATTCTCCTGCCTCAGCCTCCTGAGTAGCTGGGATTACAGGCAGCGCCATCACACCCGGCTAATTTTTTTTTTTTTTTTTTTTTTTTGAGACGGGGTCTCGCTCTGTCGCCCAAGCTGGAGTGCAGTGGTGTGATCTCGGGTCACTGCAAGCTCCGCCTCCCGGGTTCATGCCATTCTCCTGCCTCAGCCTCCCAAGTAGCTGGGACTGCTGGCGCCTGCCACCACCCCCGACTAATTTTTTTTTTGTATTTTTAGTAGAGATGGGGTTTCACTGTGTTAGCCAGGACGGTCTCAATCTCCTGACCTTGTGATCCGCCTGCTCGGCCTCCCAAAGTGCTGGGATTACAGGCGTGAGCCACCGCACCCGGCCACGTGTGGCTAATTTTTTTTTTTTTTTTTTTTGCAACGGAGTCACGCTCTGTTGCCCAGGCTGGAGTGCAGTGGCTTGATCTCGGCTCACTGCAACCTCTGCCTCCTGTGTTCAAGCGATTCTCCTGTCTCAGCTTCCCAAGTAGCTGGGATTACAGGCACCTGCCACCATGCCTGGCTAGTTTTTATATTTTTAGTAGACACGGGGTTTCACCATGCTGGCCAGGCTGTTCTCAAGCTCTTGACCTCAAGTGATCTGCCCACCTTGGCCTCCCAAAGTGTTGGGATTACAGGCATGAGTCACTAACAGGCGCCTGGCCTGTTATTTATTTTTAAAAAGCCAAAAGCCAGCTTCCTCCTCCTGCCGGCTGAACCCCACACAGTCTGTCTGCACCTGCCTCTCCATCATTCCTCCCCTTGGCTGCCTCTGTTTTGAGCGCTGAGCCCTCTTGCCGGACAGGCCTCCCCCTCCTCCACATTCCTCCAGGACCAACTCTAGGCCATCTCCTCCTCATATGCGTCTGGGATGGCTTTGTTCTGTGGCAACTGGTTCTCCCGGTGAGTTCCTCTGGGCTGGTTCCTGTGCCGCCCTTCCTGTCTGCGTGTGGAGTAAGTCTTGTCAGGACCCTGCATTCCTGGTCAGCCAGGGCTGGGTCTGGCCTTTGGAGTTCCTTCAGTTCTCCTGTAGCAAGTGCCTGACGTTGTATATGTGCTAGGTGCCCCAAATCATCCACTCTGCCAGTCCACAAATATTTATCGAATGTCTATTATGTGTACATTGGTAATTAAAGCAGACCTTTGGAGAAGGGAAGGAGCCATTAGTCAACTAATTATAAATGTAAGCTCCTAAGTATGGTAAAGTGTGAGTTGGGAGAAGGACCCAGTGCACTGAGACCTTCCGTTGGGGTGGGATCAGTCAGTGTCAGAGGAGGTTCCCCAAGGAAGTGACACTTGAACTGAGGCCCTAGTAGAAGTCAGCTTGACAGAGAAGGTGGGAGGAGAGTTCCAGGCCAAGGGAGAGGCTCCTGAGGGGCCTCTGTGGAGGGCAGGTGTGGCAAGTGGGCAAGACTGAAGGCCAGCGTGGCCGGAAGGGAGGATGGGGCACAAGTGCCTGGGTGGCTGAGGGTGGACGGTGCAAGTCAGATCCTGTGGTGTTTTTTGGGCAGTTTCAGCCGAGGAGGTTTTGTTTTGATGGAGGAGCAGTGGAACGATGTTAGAGGGAGGCGCTGTGCCCATGGGGACAGATTGGGAGGGCCCAAGCAGTGGGCAGCGTGCTGGGAAAAAATCAGCTCTCGGAAGAAATGCCTTGATCCATAGTGTGCAGCAGTTCTCATGGAGTAGCTACTCCCACCAGGGCTGACTTCAAGCCACCAGTAGTTTAATAGCCCGCTCCGGCCTGATTCCTGAGTAGTTAACAACCAGCTCTCAGTGACTGCTACTACAGTGTCACTGGCTCCGTCCCAGTGATGCAGGCAGACCAGGTCTGAATGTTTTGGAGTCGTCTAGGTGAGAGATGGGGAGAGGTGGGCAGACTTAAGAGATATTTAGCCTGGTGCAGTGGCTCATGCCTGTAATCCCAGCACTTTGGGAGCAGAGGCAGGTGGATCACCTGAGGTTGGGAGTTCGAGACCAGCCTGACCAACGTGGAGAAACCCCGTCTCTACTAAAAATACAAAATTAGCCAGGCATGGTGGCGCATGCCTGTAATACCAACTACTCAGGAGGCTGAGGCAGGAGAATTACTTGAACCCAGGAGGTGGAGGTTGCAGTGAGTCGAGATCGTGCTACTGCACTCCAGCCTGGGCAACAAGAGCGAAACTCTGTCTGAGAAAAAAAAAAAGAGAGAGAGAGATTTAAGGGGTGGAATTAACAGCGCTTAGTGGTGGAGTAGAGGTGGAGGGGAGCAGGAGGAGTGGAGTGCCTGCAGGTCCTCAATGATGCCTACCCGTGAGCCCGGCCCAGGCCAGGAAGCTCTCTACCTTCCTTCCCCGTGGGTTCTCCCCAAGTTTGGGAAATCTCTAGGGCTGCTTTGGGTGCTGAGGAGAAGTCTTTGATCATTGTCCAAGTTCAGAAGATGAGCGTGTATGTTCTCTGTTGGGAACCCCTCTGTTCACAGCCTCTTAAAAGAAGCAGCTGGGCTATGGTGGTGTTGGTTCCTTGACTCTGATGGTTTTACTCCACGTAACAACAGTGTGCACTTTCCTGACACTCCATGCACTGCATCTTGTCTGCAGAAGAAGGAATGTTGTAGTTATCACAATAGAAGTTACATGAAAAAGCCCCTAAGCATGGGTATCCTCAGTCAGAGAAGTGGCCTGATAATCAGAGGCATCATTTACTGAGAACCTGCTATGCGCCAGCATCAAACTAGGTATTTACGTGCTTTCTCTCCAGCCCTCACAACTCTGAAAGGAAGTACTGTTGTCTTTGTTCCCATTTTATAGTTGAGGAGACTGAAGCACAGTCTCTGTGACTCACCCACAGACCTGAGCTCGCAAGCAAAGAGGCTAGGATTGGAACCTGCGTCTGTTCGGAACCCAACCTCATGCTTTTTCCATTGTGCCTGTGGCTTCTCTGTGGTGAGGACTCAGGGGGAGGCCTTGGTGTTCCTTAGGCTCTCATTGTTCACCACAGTCTAAACCTTTTTGAAGCAGGAAGGGGAAAACACTTCTTTATTGATTTTTTGTTGTTTGTTTTTTGAGACAGGGTCTCCCTCTGTCACCCAGACTGGAGTGCAGTGGCTCGATCAGGGCTCACTGTAGCCTTGAACTCCCAGGCTCAAGGAGTCCTCCCACTTCAGCCTCCTGAGTAGCTGGGACTACAGGCGTGAGACACCACGCCTGGCTAATTTTTTTATTTTTGTAGAGATGAGGTCTTTCTATGTTGCCCAGGCTGGTCTGGAACTCCTGGGCTCAAGCAGTCCTCCTGCCTTGGCCTCCCAAAGTGCTGGGATTTCAGGCATGAGCCACTGTGCTTGGTTGAAAAACACTTCTTTGGAGGACAAAACACTTATAAGTCTTCCTTGTTAGACAGAGAACCCCACATTGAGTGTTTCCCAGGGAGGGAGGGCAGTGAACAAGCGAGCCCCACCACAACCTGCTTCCCCTGTTCTTGTGGTTCTCCTGCCACGCGGGCCTCACCATTCCACATTGTGTCGGGACTCCCTAAGACCTCCAGCCCAGGGGTCAGCACAAACCACTTCCCAGTACCGTTTAGATAGGCTGATATTTTCAATGAGACCTTTGTTAAATACAAAGGAAGAGGAGGAGGAGATAACCGAGTGCTCCCACCTGGCAGCATGTTTTGGGAGTGGGGGCGGGAAACACGATACTCAGTCACACAGACCTGGGTTCAGATCCTGGCTCTGTCAGCGTCTTGGCTGTGGGTCCCCACTTTTTGCATGGATTATGGGGATTCTCCAATACTGATCTCCTCAGTGCTGGGTCCCCAACATGGCTGGGCA
Source organism: Homo sapiens (assembly GCF_000001405.40). Classification (NCBI taxonomy): domain Eukaryota; kingdom Metazoa; phylum Chordata; class Mammalia; order Primates; family Hominidae; genus Homo; species Homo sapiens. The sequence goes on from NC_000008.11 coordinate 42,280,631, forward strand.
GGATGTGGGTCAGCTACCTTCTGGAAGCCACCCAGGGTACCTTGTGATATCATCATGTTCTGTGTACACTTGGCTGTGAGGAGGGCCAGGAAGCGCTGCCTGGGGCCCTGCGGGATGCTCGTTGGGGTGGAGGAGGCAGTGTGTGTACTGGCTGTTAGAAGGCAGAGTATTAACGATCCCTTCTATGAAGCAGCACGGACCTGTACTTGTCCCTTTATGGGACAAGGCAAAGCTTTCCACAGCTTATCTGTGTGCTTGGAAGCCTTAAAGCCTCTGCTCCGTTCAGTCACTTCTCTAGGGATTTATAGAGCCTGGGCCCGAGCTCTGTCAGGGATACCAGGAAAAAAGGGTCCCTGCCCTTCGTGTGCTTACTCTCTGATCACAGTGATCCAGGGAGCATTCAGAAATGCATTAAGTGAGTCTAAATCCAAGCACCGAACTGCATGGATAACAGTGGCTGCCATTTTTCCAGGGCATCATGTGGCATCTGAGCTGGGTTCCCTGTCCGCATGATCTCTCCCGAACGCTGGGGAAGGGAGGCTTCTTGGGGTGAATGGAGCTTTAGCAGGATCTGGAAAGGAGGTACACTTTCGAGGGCCTGGCAAGAAGACAGAAGCCGACTCAGGTGGGCAGAGCAGCATCTCCACAGGGCCAGAAAAGGAAGTGAGGCTGCGGTCGTTTATTCCCGGCTCCCTGTGGTCGGATGCTGTGTTTCATTTTAGCTGACATCCCTGGAGTGGATGGAGCCATCCCCATCTTATGGATGAGGACCCAGATGCTTGTACCATGGGCTTCTATCGCACCTTTACCAGGCGGTGGGGGAGGGAGTTACACCTGGACCTGCTTGTCTCCTGAGCCCGAGTGCCTGGCTTCTGTGGGTGAGGCGGCAGGCCACTGTGCCCCTTGGGGGTCTGCACTGTAGGGAGTAGGGTGAAGAAGTCATGGCCCTCTTAGCGTAGACCAGGCGATGCTGGGGCCCAGGGTCTGTCCAGTTACCTGCTGAGCCAGGGGTGAAACTGCAGCTGGATCCCGGACCTTTTTGGCTCCCAGCCCTGGGTCCTCCTGCCCAGTCTCTCTGGTCCCAGCCCTGCACCTCCTTTCTGAAGCATTCATTTCAGGGGGTGGGGTCTGAGAAGGAGGAGGAGGTTTTTACTAATTGCCCCCATGTCCACAGTGGCCTGGTTGGATGCTTGCCATGATAACGGGACACTGGGCTTTCTGCGCTAAGGGTCTAAACATGGCTCTTGGCCTCTGTGAGTTTCCCCTGAGTCGCTGGAAGAGGCAAACTTGAGGAAGCTGGGCCCCTTTTGTTTCTCCTGTGACTGGGTCTTCAGCTCGCATCTGCCAGGCACCTTTTGGTCTGAGGATGTGCTCCCCCTCTGCCTTTTTTACACCTTATGACACACATGCTTATATATAAGTTTTATGTTTACATGCATCAAAGGCAAGGAATTGCAAACTCTGAGGACCTTCATAATCACTACATTCAATCTGGACATACAGGGGACCCTTTCTCCGTTTTCTCAAAATACAGACCAGTTTTTTGTTGTTTTGTGTGTGTTTATTTTTTGAGACAGGGTCTCACTCCAGTAGTCCACGCTGGAGTGCAGCAGCATGATCACAGCTCAACGCAGGTCTCGCTCTATTGCCCAGCCTTGACTTCCGAGGGTCAGGAGATTCTCCCACCTCAGCCTCCCAAGTAGCTGGGACTACAGGCATCTACTACTATGCCTGGCTAGTTTTTAAAAATATTTTTAGTAGAGACAGAGTCTTGCCATATTGCCCAGGCTGGTCTCAAACCCCCGGGCTCTAGCGATCTACCTGCCTTGGTCTCCCAAAGTGCTGGGATTATAGGTGTGAGCCACCATGCCCAGCCACAAAGCAGTTTTAAGTTTTGTCCTTCACGAGGAGTTCATATACCAGAAGTTGGGTACTGAGATGGCGCAGGCCTAGTCTGGGTTTCCACAGAACTAAGCTAAGACTCAGTAGATTCCAGGAAAAATAAAGTAAGCCATCCTTCTTACCTTACATGTGTTTGAGTTCCACTGCTAGTGAAGAACAAACTCCCTGGGGTTTCAGAACCGGTGATCGTAGCCTGCTTCTGTTTTAATTGAATTTTGCTTTCTAGAGCAGGTATGTTTTTAGTAACAAAGTCATTCTGTTTGCATTTCTGTTTCAAATGAAACATTACTCATGGAAAAACTGGGAATATTTCGGAATACTTCCTAGAGGCAGATGAAGGCCACTGTGTTAGGAAAAGTTTAAGTATGTCTGTATCTACGCAGACCTTCCTAGGCCCAGGGAGTTAGGATTTCGCCTCAACTCTAGGGCGAAGCTGAGCTGTCTGTGAGTAGAAAGTTAGTTTTGGTATCTATGCCCAGTTATTTCAAGACTTGTTCAGTGTTCACATTGCTGAGTTCAGTCTTTTTAGTTTGCATTTGGATATTTAAGACCAATATCAAGTCTTCAGTATCAGAATCTCCTCCTGATTCTGGGTTGGGCCAAGTGACAGCTGTGTATCAGGTCCAGTGTTTGTGTTGGGCAAAAGACTGCAATTATCCAATTTGTAGCTAGACAGATTACCTAAAATCACTTAATAAACTAAGTCATCTAATCTATTTTTTGGATCTGATGATCTGTCCTGTTTCATTTATGATAGGTAGAATAATCCCCCCCAACCCCACCAAGAAATCTGGATCCTAATCCCTGAACCTATGACTGGGTGGGGCAGCATGGCAAAGGGAAATTAAGGTTGCAGATGAAATTAAGTTTTCTAATCAGCTGACCTTAGAGATTGGCCTGGCTTCCCTGGGGGTCCCAGTGTAATCCCAAGGGTTCTTAAACGTGGGAGAAGGAGGCAGCAGAGCCAGGGTCAGCCGATGCATGTGAGGAAGATGGCGGGACATGGCTGACACACGGATGGGCTAAGGGGCTACGAGCTGAAGAAAGTGGCGCTTCTAGAAGATGCAGAAGGAAAAGTAGGGAAACAGACTCTCCCCTAGAGCCTCTGGATGGAGCATAGCCCCACCAACATCTTAGCTCAGGGAGACCCACATCAGGCTTCAGCAGATAGAACTGCAAGGAAATAAAGTGTGTTATTTTAAGCCACCAAGTTTGTGGTAATTTATTACGGCAGCAATAGAAAACAAGTGCCCTCTTCTGTGTATTGAAGTTACGTTGCTGCAGATTTTTCAGTATCTTGGTTTAGTCTCAGTCATTCTAAGGTAACGAACCATAAGTTACAGTCTCTTTGGCTAAACCATTGCTTGGAATAGTGTCCATGGAAATGTTGCAGGGTGGATGGAGGTGGATAGATGCTCTTGGCAATGGCACCTCACGCTGCAGCGGGGCCATCGGTCTCTGTTTGTGGAACCCTGCGTTCCCCACGTCTGAGCTCCTCTGCAAACTCCGCCTAACTGGAGGCAAGTGTCTGTAGCAGTGTCTCAGTCGGCTCAGTGCTGCTATCACAGAGTAGCTGAGAATGGGTAATTTATAATGATTTTATTTCTCATAGTCCTAGAGGCTATGAAGTCCAAGGTCAAGGCATCATCATAGGGTGAAGGCGAAAGGGCAAGAGACAAAAGGGACCAAACTTGTCCTTTTATAACCATCAGTCCCACCTGGGATGCAGAGCCATTGTGGCCGAATTGCCCCTTAATACTGAGGTGATGTCCTGGCGCAGTGGCTCACACCTGTAATCCCAGCACTTTGGGAG